>NC_000002.12:101125981-101429011 GCF_000001405.40 Homo sapiens
TTGCTATAAAGGAATACCTGAGGCTGAGTCACTTATAAGGAAAAGAGCTTTATTTGGCTCACAGGTCTGCAGGCTGTACAAGAAGCATGGCACCAGTATCTGTGTCTGATGAAGCCTCAGGAAGCTTCCACTCGTGGTGGAAGGTGAAGGGAGCTGGCATATACAGAGAGCACATGGTAGGAGAGAAAGGCAAGAGAGAGAGGAGATGGTGCCAGGCTCTTTTCAACAACCAGTTCTTGCAAGAATTCACTCTCATGAGTATGGCACCAAGACATTCATAAACGATCCACTCCCACAACCCAAACAGCTCCCACCAGGCCGTACCTCCAATACTAGGTGGGCATCAAATTCCAACATGAAACTTGGTGGGGCCACACAAACCATATCCGAACCATAGCAAATGTCTTGAAGGTAAGAATTCTCTACCACAAGCTTCTCTGCTGGGTACATATGTCCTGCCCATAAGCAAATCTTGGGTGAGCACTGGTGACTAACCAGCATCACAGAAAGAAAAGACAGATACCAGGGCCCTGTTACCAACAGCCTGGCAAATAGATGACCACACTGGATCTCAATTTACAAAATGGGGGTAACCAGGTGGCCTAGATAAATCTTGATAGATATACAGAGAGAGGTAAAGTAGTGAAAGCCCTATGAAAAATGTAATTCAATATGAAAACGTATGGTATTATTACTACAATGCTAATAAGCAATAAATGTTTCTCAAAAATAGGAAGACTGGAAGAAGGAAGCATTACAAGCTAAGCTGGCTGTTCTTCCTTGGAGAAAATGAAGATTGGTAAATAAGTAATAAAGACAGACAAGGTCAATTGTAGAAAACGGCCAAGTCTTGAAGTGAGTGGAGCAAGAGAGTTTCTCTGTCCAATTCTTTGAAGACAGTTTAATTCTATTTCTGAGCAATCAAAAATCACATCCAGTGCCCCTTCCACCTTCTCATCTCCTTCGCAGATGTGGATGGCCCCAGGTCACAAGGGCTTGGGGGTTGACTCCTCATAGGTATTGGAATTCTGGGCTAGAGCCAGAGAACAAGCTGTTAAGAAATTGAGGCCCCTGGCCAGGCGCAGTGGTTGATACCTGTAATTCCAGCACTCTGGGAGGCCGAGGCAGGTGGATCACGAGGTCAGGCATTCGAGACCAGCCTGGCCAACACAGTGAAACCCCATCTCTATTAAAAATTCAAAAAATTAGCCAGGCGTGGTGGCAGGTGCCTGTAATCCCAGCTACTTGGGAGGCTGAGGCAGGAGAATGGCTTGAACCTGGGAGGCAGAGGTTGCAGTGAGCCAAGATCCCACCACTGCACTCCAGCCCGGGCAACAGTGCAAGACTTCATCTCAGAAAAAAAAAAAAAAGAGAAAGAAGGAAATTCAGGTCCCATATGGCCCTAAAGATCTTAGAATGACAAAAACTCCAGTCTGGGCTTTTCAATCTCTCAACTCACTTCATACACCACTGAGGAGATGGGTCTACCACGTGTAGAGAACAGACGTCAGTATGGAGAAAAGAAAGCACTCTGCAATCAAAAGAAGGCTACCCACAAACCTAACACTTTTTTTGAGACAGGGTATCACTCTGTTGCCCAGGCTGGAGTGCAGCAGAACAATCACAGCTCACTACAGACTCAAACTCTTGGGCTCAACCGATCCTCCCACCTCAGCCTCCCAAAGTGCTGGGATTACAAACTTAGCAACCACACCCAGCCTTGTTGACCTTTTAGCACCATGAGAAATCAGAGAGATGAGTCCAACCTCCTCATTGGATAGGTGAGGAACCTGAGCCTGGAGGAAGTTGGTGGAGGATGTGAGGGTCACAGCTCCTGAGTCCTGCTCGGAGCTCTTCCCATTGTTGCTGCTCTACCCTTCGGGAGCCTAGGACCACACACACAGCTTACTTAATGAATCCAGAACCACAAACAGGTAAGGACAGGCTGATGTTAACTAAGCACACTGGCTGTTAAGCCTGTCCCAGATACTTCAGATCCATTTTTTCCCCAATTACTCATAACATTCTTATTAGTTACATTATTAACTCCCTTTCACAAAATAAGAAACCAAGGTCCAAGGTCATTCAGGTTAATAAGGACAAGATTTCTTTTCTTTTCCACCTCCTAATAGTCCTATTCTTTCCCCCCAATAACCTTAGGTATAGATGTAACTGAGAACATGTTAGAAAAACTACCAAATACAGATTAAGCATTCCACTCCATATCTTAGTTATGAAAAACAAAACTACATGAAATCCAAAACAAATGACTGAACAGTAAACCTGAAAATGCCCCAAATCAAATTCTAATTCTCATTCTTTGTTTTTAAGTCAATTGCAATGCACCTCTAAACAAGCTTCAGCTCTCTTCAATTCTCCACTCAAGCTTCCTGGGAAGAGTAATGAGGGTCTCAGGGCCAGGCTTAGGGTACTCAGGAAGCCAGGGGCCCATGACTGGGGCCTCAGCCCCAGCAAATTCAGTACAATGCTAGCTGGGCAGTCAAGTCCTCAGAGGCCAGGAGAGACAAAGAATCAGGTGCAAAAGTCTAGGATTGTCTCAAAAAACTTAAGCACAGAATCACCATGTGATCCAGCAATTCCACTTCTGGGTCTATACCCAAAAGTGAGAGCAGGATCTCAAACAAATATTTGTACACCTGTTTTCACGGCAGCATTATTTGCAATAGCCAAAAGGCGGAAGTAACCCAGGGGTCCCTCAATGAATAAATGAATGAATTCTTTAAATGTGGCATATACATACAATAGAATATCATTAGCCTCAAATAATATTCCCTGAGAATCTTGAGAACCTTGATAACATTATGCTAAGTGAAATAAGCCAGACACAGAAAGACAAATACCGTGTGATTCTAATTATATGAGGAACTTGGGATAGTCAAATTCAGAGACAGAAAGTAGAATGATGGTTACCATAGAGGGAGGGAGCAGTGGTTACCATAGAGGGAGGGAGCAGGGGGAGTTATTTATTTAATGGGCTCTGACTTTCATTTAGAGAAGATGAAAAAGTTCTGGAAATTAGATGGTAGTGATGGGTGCACAACACTGCGAATGTATGTAATGCCACTTAAAAATGGTTAAGATGGTAAATTTTATGTTATGTATATTTACCACAGTTTTTGTGTGTGTGTTTTATTTTGTTTTGTTTTTTTTAAATTGAGATAGAGTCTTGTTCTGTCGCCCAGGTTGGAGTACAGTGGCACGATTTTGGCTCACTGCCAACCTCTGCTGCCCAGATTCAGGAAATTCTCATGCCTCAGCCTCCCGAGTAGCTGGGACTCCAGGCACACGCCACCACACCTGGCTAATGTTTTTGTATTTTTAGTAGACACGGGGTTTCGCCATGTTGGCCAGGCTGTTCTCGAACTCCTGAACTCGGGTAATCTGCCTGCCTCGGCCTCCCAGTGTTGGGATTACAGGCATGAGCCATGGCATCTGGCCCTGACCACAGTTTTTTTAAATATCTGTTACTTAAACCATTAAACAAACAAACAAGCATTTCAACAGTCGCCAGCCCAGAACAAAAGTAGCTGGAGAGATCTGGAGGAGCCAAGGTGGGCTGGAAGAAGGCAGCCAGGAACACCCACATTTCAGGGGTTTCTAGATTTGCTAGAAAGGGCTAGCCCAAGTCCGTGGCGGCTCACACCTGTAATCCCAGCACTTTGGGAGGCCGAGGCAGGCAGATCACGAGGTCAGGAGATCGAGACCATCCTGGCTAACACGGTGAAACCCCATCTCTACTAAAAATACAAACAATTAGCTGGGCGTGGCAGCAGGCGCCTGTAGTCCCAGCTACTCAGGAGACTGAGGCAGGAGAATGGTGTGAACCCAGGAGGCGGAGCTAGCAGTGAGCCGAGATAGTGCCACTGCACTCCAGCCTGGGCAACAGGGCGAGACTCTGTCTCAAAAAAAAAAAAAGAAAAGAAAAAGAAAGGGCTAGCCCGAGCCAAATCAAGTAACAGCATCCTCCCTCAGATCAGTCAGTGGACCTTTTCCTGGGCCCCAGCTTGTTCATCTGTAAAAAGGGGTACGAGCTGGTGGGCTCCAAGATCCCAGCAACGACGTTCATCCAGCCATGACCCTCAGAGCCACAATGACCAGGAGTCGCAACAATGAGTCGAGGGCCGGTCCTGCCATTGGGGTACTTGAACCCACAGCTGCTGGGGTTATTTTTAACTAAGAAAATGAGTCCACTTCATTCCAGTCACCTCCGGAAGGCTCCTGAGCTGCATCCCAAAAGGGAGTGAGAGCCGAGGAGGCCTGGAAGCGTCGATCGGGCCAGCTGTGCTGACACTTCAGTGGCTTAGCAGGGCTGGCCTGCAAGACAGGTGCCCGCGCCCTGAGGCCCACTGCAGGGTCGCAGAGGGCTAAGCTAAGCTGTGCTTCCCCTCACCAAGTCGGACCCTAGTGAGAAGGTGCCAGAAAGACTTCCAGGGGCAGAAGTTCCTCGCCCCAGTGCTTTTGATCCTGTCACAGAGCTTGCAGATGACACAGCCAACACAGGCAGGAACCTAAAAGACAGGGCTCAAAGGCCCTAACCCCCTTGACTAGATATTTCCATTTTCAAGGGCAAGAGCTACAAAAAGTCAATTTTTTGTGGTTCAGTGAAAACAGCACTAACTGTTTTAATGAAATAAGTTTAAAATGATGCCTGGGCTGACATATTTAGAAGGATTGGCAGTGCATATTTGAGAATTCCAACCCCAGATTAATCACTAGAGTAATCTTCAAGCTCCATGAGGATAGGATCTAGTTTTGTTCACTGCTACATCCAGGTGCCTGGGAAAGAGCCAGGCTCCTAGCAGCATACAGTAAATACCTGTTGAATGGCCTTCTTTTCCAAGGTCTTCATTCTCTTAATATCTAACTGTTATTGACCACAATCAAGCCCCAACCTAACACTGCAATAATGCATATACATTATATCAAAAACTCCTGTGTTGAAGTCATTTAATTTTAGGAAGGGATTAGATAAGATACCCTCATACACATCAAATAATACACAACCTGCCCTGCTGGGTGTGGCACCCAGGACCCCTGGGAAACCTCACCTCTTTATTTTATTTATTTATTTATTTATTTTTAGAAAGATGAGGTCTTGCTATGTTGTCCAGGCTGGTCTTGAACTCCTTGGCTTAAGTCATCCTCCCACCTCAGCCTCCCAAGTAGCTGAGACTATGGGCACAAGTCACTGAGCCCGGCTCCCTTACCTCTTTAAAAACAAGGTTCCAGGCCGGGCACGGTGGCTCACGCCTGTAATCCCAGCACTTTGGGAGGCAAAGGCGGGTGGATCACCTGAGGCCGGGAGTTTGTGACCAGCCTGACCAACAGGGAGAAAACCCATCTCTACTAAAAATACAACATTAGCCGGGCATGGTGGTGACGTGCGCCTGTAATCCCAGCTACTCGGGAGGCTGAGGCAGGAGAATCGCTTGAACCCGGGAGGCAGAGGTTGCAGTGAGCCCAGTGCGCTATTGCAGTTCAGCCTGGGCAACAAGAGCGAAACTCCGTTTCAAAAAAAAAACAAGGTTCTGGCCGGGTACAGTGGCTCACACCTATAATCCCAGCACTTTGGGAGGCTGAGGCAGTTGGATCACGAGGTCAGGAGATTGAGACCATCCTGGCTAATATGGTGAAACCCTGTCTCTACTAAAAATACGAAAAAATTAGCTGGGCGTGGTGGTGGGCGCCTGTAGTCCCAGCTACTCGGGAGGCTAAGGCAGGAGAATGACGTGAACCCAGGAGGAGGAGCTTGCGGCGAGCCAAGATCGTGACACGACACTCCAGCCTGGGCGACAGAGCGAGACTCTGTCTCAAAAAAAAGAAAAAAAACAAGGTTCCAAATATAGTTGTTCAACAAGAAAAGCTGGGAGTGGTTAGTTTCAGACTTACAATAAAGTTATTTTTCTGCAGAAATTTCCTAAATGAAAGGTTTTTTAAAAATTGTTATAGGTATATTTTACATCTTGTTAACACAGACTAAAAATACTTCAATCAAAGTAGACGGGTGCTTCCAGATTCACACATAAACTGGATTTGCATGTTCATTTCACTTTTTATTTGGAAATAAAGTCAAACTTAAAGGAAAACTAGAACTAAAATAAGACAGAGAACACTCATCCCCTCTCTGCCAAGACTCAGATTCATCTACTGTGAGCAGCTTATCCCATTCACTATATCATTTGCTATTTTTCTTTTTCTATTTCTTCCTCTAAATATAATGATACAATATGATATATGATATAATTACACACACACACACCTTTTCTAAATCATTTGAGGGGAAGCCTATTCCTATGAATGGGGACACTGTCCTACACAAAAGAGCAGTCATCAACTCCAGTGAATTTTACACGTGTATATCTGTATCTACCCTTCATATCCCCAAGCTGCCAGGTGACCCCATGATGTCTTTTATAGCACCTGCTCCCTTCAGTACAGTATGTATTCTGTGGTTCGTATTACATTGAGCTACCATGTCTTTTCAGTCTCCTTTAATAAAGAACTTTTCCAAACACAGCCTTTCTATGACTGACATTTTTGAAGACATAAATCCACATCCCATCCCTGTTTTGTGTTTGACAATTTTGATCAAGTTGTTTTGTTTGAGATAGGATCTCACTCTGCAGCCCAGGCTGGAGTGCAGTGGCATAAACACAGTTCACTGCAGCCTCGACCTCTTCGGCTCAAGCAATCTTCCCGCCTTGGCCTCCCAAGTAACTAGGACTACAGGGATATGCCACCATGCCCGGCTAACTTATTTTTTGTTTTTCAATTTTTTGTAGAGATGGAGTCTCCCTATGTTGCCCAGGCTGGTCTTGAACTCCTGGGCCCAAGTGATCCTCCTGCCTCAGCCTCCCAAAGTGCTGGGATTACAGGCGTGAGCCACTGTTTCTGTTTTTACTTTGCAATAAAAATATTCTTATATCTGCAATACGATTATCTTATTCAAATTTATAGATGTTTCTATAAATTTTTAAGTTTGGTTTTACTTAAAATGTACATCTCAAATTAGCTAGGCGTGGTGGCGGGCGCCTGTAATCCCAGCTACTCGGGAGGCTGAGGCAGGAGAATTGCTTGAACCCGGGAGGCGGAGGTTGCAGTGAGCTGAGATCGAGCCACTGCACTCCAGCCTGGGTGACAGTGCGAGACTCCATCTCAAAAAAAAAAAAAAAAGTATATCTCTCTGAACATGTAAGCAATAAGAAAATTATCTAACTTAGACAATTCTGATTCTAAATAAAACTTTTCAGAAATGCATATAGAAATATTAATCACATAGCATATTAGAATGAGCACTGCCAAATGCTTCTGGGATCATGATCTCTTTTTGTGTGAGTCCATTTGCCATTCAAGTCTCTCTCTGAGATATTCGCTCCCTTCCCCTCTCCCTCTCTCCTCTCTTTCCATCTTCCCTCTCTCCCTGTCTTAGTCCATTTCGGATGCTATAACAAAATCTCCACTACCTGGATAGCTTATAAATAACATAAATTTACTTCCCATGGTTCTGGAAGCTGGGAAATCCAAGATCAAGGCACCAGCAGATTTGGTGTCTGGTGAGGGGGGTTCACAGATGGTGGCTTCATGCTGTGTCTTCACAAGGTGGGTAGGGAGAGGGAGCTCTCTGGGGTCTCTTTCTAAGAGCACTAATCACAATCAGGAAGGCTCCACCCTCATAACCTAATCACCTCCAAGGAATCTACCTCCAGTACTATGACCTTAGGGGGTTGTATTAGTCCATTTTCACTCTGCTATTAATATAAAGAACTTCCCTGAGACTGGGCAATTAATAAAGGATAGAGGTTTAACTGACTCACAGCTCTGCATGGCTGGGGAGGCTGCAGGAAACTTACAATCAGGGTGGAAGGCTAAGGGGAAGCAGGCACCGCCTTCACAAGTCAGCAGGACAGAGAGAGTGTGTGAAAGTGGAACTATCTAACACTTATAAAACCATCAGATCTTGTGAGAACTCACTCACTATCATGAGAACAGCATGGAGGAAAACCACCCCCATGATCCAATCACCTCCCTCCCTCGACATGTGGGGATTACAATTTGAGATGAGATTTGTGTGGGGACACAGAGCCAAACCCTATCAGGGTTAGAATTTCAACAATGAATTTGGAGGGGGGACATAAATATTCACACTTTAGCACTCCCTCTCTTCTCTTTCTCTCTCTCTCTCTCTCTCTCTCTCTCACACACACACACACACACACACACACACACACACACAGACTTTCTAATGATCTTTCTGGTATAAATGGATGCTAACCTCTGGGGCCTCTGTCTCATCTTGGGTCTTAGTATGTTCAGGCACCATCAATACTAATCAGATCTCTGGCTTTGCCTAAGTTAGAGTCTTTATAAATTTTAATTCAAAGAAAGTAAACAAATTTACATTACATTATATGATTCTAACTTGTCTTAGCTCAGGCTGCTATAACAAAATACCACAGACTGAGTGGCTTAAACTGCAGAAGTTTATTTTCTCATGGCTCTGGAGGCTGGAAGTCCAAAATCAAGGGGCTAGCAAATGTGATGTCTAGTGAGGGTTCTCTTCTTGGCTTGCAGACAGCCACCTTCTCATAGTGTCCTCACATGGCAGAGAGGGTAAGCTCTCTGGTGACTGTCCCTCTTCTTATAAAGGGAACAGCCCTATAGGATCAGGGCCCTGCCCTTATGGCTTCAGTTAACCTTAGTTACCTCCCTGCAGGCACTATCTTCAAATATAGTCACACTGGAGGTCACAGCTTCAACACAGTAATTTAGGGGGCAGGGGGACACATTCAATCCACAACATAACTTAACTTTTGGTATTAATACAGAATGTTGAAATCTGGCTTTCCAGGTTGCACATGAAGTTAAAACCAAACAGAAAAAGCCATATTTGGCCGGGCACGGTGGCTCACGCCTGTAATCCCAGCACTTTGGGAGGCCGAGGCAGGTGGATCACAAGGTCAGGAGTTCAAGACTAGCCTGGCCAACATAGTGAAACCCCGTCTCTACTAAAAATACAATAATTAGCCGGGTGTGGTGGCGGGCGCCTGCAGTCCCAGCTACTCAGGAGGCTGAGGCAGGAGAATGGCATGAACCCGGGAGGCAGAGCTTGCAGTGAGCCGAGATCGCGCCACTGCACTCCAGCCTGGGCGACAGAGCGAGACTCCGTCTCAAAAAAAGAAAAAAGAAACAAGAAAAAAGAAAAAGCCGTTTTTACAGTGAGATACACGTCTTGTCAAAGAGAACCTTCCAGTTCTACAAGAGGCTCTCCAACCCCTTTTCTCCTCAAATCTAAATGTTTTATTTGGCTAAATGAAGACAATCAAAAGGCTGAAAGACGAAACAACATCTTCTTAGTACAGACCTTTTTGTTATAAGCCATCTGAACAGCAGAAAACAGAATTGTAGCTCAACTAATAAAAAAAAAAAAATGCCACCACCAACCTCACCTAACAGCAATCCCCCATGTAATATACCAAATGTAGGCATGATCACTGCTGGCCTCACCTGACTGTGAAGCCACCTCAAATGTTCTACGTGGAGGCGCAGTTGGCGTTATGGAGTAGGTCACGTGAATACATCACATTCAGCGATATGCACTGTCCAAACAAAGAGCAGGGAACAACAATTCAAACCAACTGCCCACCATCAGGGAGCACAGGCCCTGGCCTGAGTTCATGGAAGGGCTGGAATTCCCCAGGTCTCTAGGGGTCCTCACTTCCCAGGCCCTCCTGATAACATGAGCAGATTGCAAAAAGACAGGTAGCTTGCTGATTTCTGCAGTCGTTTTTCCCTCAAGCAATGTTTGTTCTTCATGTTGATTTTGGAACCTGATTTTGTTTGGATGTTTGTCTCATACAGGTCTCAGGTTGAAATTTGGTTTTTTGGTTTTTGTGTTTTTGAGAAGGATCTTACTGTCACCCTGGCTTGGTTCACTGCAACCTCTGCCTCAGGGCTCAAGTGATCCTCCAACCTCAGCCTCCCAAGTAGCTGGGACTACAGGCAGGCACCACCACGCCTGGCTAATTTTGGTATTTTTTTGTAGAGAAAGGGTTTCACCATGTTGCCTAGGCTGGTCTCCTGGACTCAAGTGATCCGGCAGCCTCTGCCTCCCAAAGTGCTGAGATTACAGCATGAGCCACTGGCCTGGCCTCACGTTGAAATTTGATCTCCAGTGTTAGAGGTGGAGCCTGGTGGGAGGTGTTTGGGCCATGGGGGTGGATCCTTCATAAAAGGCTTGATGCTGTCTTGGTGGCAATGAGTGAGTTTTCACTCTATTAGTGCCTATAAGAACTGATTGTTAAAACGAACCTGGCACCTACCCCTACCCTCACCATGTGATCTGTGTACACAGGGGCTCCCCTTCACCTTCCATCATGAGTGGAAGCTTCCTGAGGCCTCACCAGAAGCAGACGCCAGGACCATGATTCTTGTACAGCCTGCAGACCTGCAAGCCAAATAAAATTCTTTTCTTTATAAATTCCCAGCCTCAGGTATTCTAAAGGACTGAAAGAGAACCGAATCCCCACATTAACAGACAGCTACATAATACTGGGATTAAACATGGTCCAATTTGGAGCCTAAGTGAGCATCAAAGCCTTCCTTTACCTCAAAAATCTAAAGGAAGCTACAGGTTAAAATAAAAACACACGAGTATGCACACTTGTGCATACATACAATTTTGGGACACTGGATTTACGAAGATCTAGTCTGACCCTTCACTCCAGCCAAACCCTTGCCATGGCTGAATCCTTGATGATGAATGATCACGAGCTATACATTCTGTAAGCAATCTTAATGCCTTGCTTACGTTTCACATTTATTTTTAATTATAATAACAAAACAGCAATATAACAGATACTCAGAACCCATTTAACTCTCTATGCTCCCATGGTGGGTAAAATACCTACATCTCCATCTGAGGCTGCGCAATGCTCTTTACGCCTTTTTAAAGTGTTTCTGTCAAGCAAACACTGTTTTTCAAGCAAGAAAGCCCAGAAGCTTTCTAAACCATTCATCACTAGGCTAATTCTTTTTTTTTTTTTTTTTTTTGAGACAGTTTGGCTTTTGTCGCCCAGGCTGGAGTGCAATGGCGCGATCTCGGCTCATCACAACCTCCGCCTCCCAGGTTCAAGTGATTCTACTGCCTCAGCCTCCCAAGTAGCTGGGATTACAGGCGTGTGCCACCACGCCCAGCTAATTTTTGTATTTTTAGTAGAGACGGAGTTTCACCATGTTGGTCAGGCTGGAGTCGAACTCCTGACCTCCAATGATCCGCCCACCCCAGCCTCCCAAAGTGCTGGGATTACAGGCGTGAGCCACCACGTTTTTGAGACGGAGTCTCGCACTCTCGCCCAAGCTGGAGTGCAGTGGCATGATCTCGGCTCACTGCAAGCTCCGCCTCCCGGGTTCACGCCATTCTCCTGCCTCAGCCTCTCGAGTAGCTGGGACTACAGGCGCCCGCCACCACACCCGGCAAATTTTTTGTATTTTTAGTAGAGACGGGGTTTCACCGTGTTAGCTAGGATGGTCTCGATCTCCTGACCATGTGATCCGCCCACCTTGGCCTCCCAAAGTGCTGGGATTTGAAATGACTTTTAATCTGTATAGTCCTTCTGGAAATAGATATTTTTTGAATCCTGACAGTATTATTTCTAACAAAATACTAAATACATCTAAGCTGAGAAACATACTGAGTGGAGTTAGTTTCCTACCAGCATTTACCCCAGACAAGACAGTACAGGGGTGTCCTACATGCAGGCTCCATGTGACATGAAATGCCAAACCAGTAACATTACATTTTTAAGCTGCCACAGTCTCCTCAAAGAACTCTTTTTGCCAGGTGAAAACATCACTGTATAGTGCTAAGCCAACAGACTTGGGTTCTGTATGAGTTCATTCTCTTACTGCTATAAAGAAATACCCGCGACTGGGTAATTTCTAAAGAAAAGAGGTTTAATTGGCTCACAGTTCCACAGGCTGTACAGGAAGCATGGCTGGAGAGGCCTCAGGGAGTTTTCACTCATGGCAGAAGGCAAAGTGAGAGCAGGCATCTTCATACGACCGGAGCAGGAGGAAGAGGGAGAGGGGGAAGGTGCTACACACTTTTAAAGAACCAGACCTTGGGAGATCTCTATCACGAGAACAGCACCAAAGGGGAAATCCACCCTCATGATCCAATCACCTCCCACCAGGCCCCACCTCCAACACTGGGGATTACAATTTGACATGAAAATTGGGTGGGGACACAGATCCAAACCACATCAGGTTCCATTTAAATTAGTTAATTGTTTTGGTGGTAAAAGAAAAAAACATTATCCTTTACTATTCACATTTGTGACACTAAATGTATGGGGAGTTTTCCCATACCAACCAATTCTCCAACTCTCCAGATGCCACCTGGGTGTTCTACAATTCCATTCAATTCTGACACTAACTACCTGGAATTAGTGCAGGTTAAAGGCTCGGTCCCACGAGACTGGCCCCATTTCAGACGCCAGTCACAAGCCCAAGGCTGTCACCTGCACTTCCGACCAACCAGCTACAAGTCAGGGGTTCCCATAACCCCATCCTCAGGTTTGATAATTTGCCGGGATGGCTCACAGAAACACATTTCCCAGCTTATTATGTAATAAAGAATATGATCAAGGATACAGAAGACAGCCAGATGAAGAGATACACAGGGCGGGGTGTACTGGAGGGGACGTGGCACTTCTGTGCCCTCTCTGGGTGGGCTACCCTCCATGTGTTCAACAGCCCTGGAGCTCCCCAAACCCTAGAGTCCAGGGATTCTTAAGGTGGCTTCACCACCACCACCTGAGCATGACTGATCATTAATCTCCAGCCCCTGCTCCTTCCCAGAGAATGGAGGTGGGGCTGAAATCCCCAAGCTTCAAATCTGTTCTTGCTGGTGACCAGTCTCCACCCAGGAGCCCACCAAGAGTCACCTCATTAGAACAAAAGATGCTCCCATCACCCAGGAAATTCCAAAGGATTAGGAGCTCTGTGCCAGGAACAAGAAGCAGAGGCCAAACAAGAAATACATTTCTTAATATGTCACAGGTAGTCAGAGACAGATTCTTCCATGCATTTTTTTTTTCAGTAGTGAGTACTAACCCCATTTCTAAAACAACATTCCTCCGGAACTGGCTCCTGAGGTTCCCTCACTTGGATGAGGTGAACTACTCCCTCGACCTATTCAAATCTTTCCCCAGCCTGTCTCAAGACCCAGCAGCTTGGCCCCAAATCTACACTTGTGGATCCAGCATTCAACAGAGACTCCATTCATTGACAAATAATAAATATGTATCCAAAAACAAAAAACAACAAAAAAAAAAACACCACCACATCCCACCTTGAGAGAACTGCCTTCATCCGCCATCCCTACTTCCTCGCCACCCTCCAGTCTCCAGCCCGCTCCCACGCCACATCTGCCTGCATCCAAGCTGCTGTGGCTGAGGTCTCCAAGGTCTTCCTAGCCTTTTCCATACTGCAATGCAGAGCAGACCCCTCCCTCCTTCTCACATACACTTCCTCCTGGCTTCAGGGAAAATACACTGCTGAGGCCCTCCTGCCCCTTGCCCATGCCTCAGTCCCCTCTGCCCTTTCCTCCTCTACAGGCCTTTCTAGACAAGTCCCAGGTATCCCACACTTAACTTGTCCAAAACAGACTCTCGGAGGCCTCAGGACCTTTGCACATGCCATTTCCTCTGCTCAGACGGCTCTTTTCCCAACTTCTCACCAGCTACCACCCTCCTGCACACCATGCAGGTCTCAGTGGAGATCACAGCTCCTCAGAGACAGCTCCCTGATGTTCCAACCCAAATTCATTTCCTTCTTATTCTCTCTCGCATCCCCTGGCACTCACCACCATTGATAACTCAGTGTTTCGTGGCTTAGTATCACCCCACAATCACGACTACAAACTCCACCTCTCCAGACTATAAGCTGCATGACAGCACAGGGCCTGGCACTGCTGAATAAAATGCTCTTTGGGTTTCTTTCTGCTGCTTTATCTACAAGTAATTTCATTGATTTAACCAACATATTTAGAAAACATAACAGTTTGAAGCATAAAACCTCCCCCACAGCAAAAACTTTCATTATTTTTATGCAATCGTTGCTACTGTTTTACAGGTTAATAAACTGAGACCCTACAAAGAGTGGGTTATGGTCACAGAACCCCTCTTTAAAGTTGAGAAAGAAGACAAAGATCATGAGCTTGCAACTCTAAACCTATTTCCTCTACTGAGAGAGGGAATAAAATCCAGAATAGATATCTTTAATTTCAAATAAAAGTACCTGACTAAATTAGATTTCTGAAATTTAAAACATTTCTGAAAACAGTTTTAAAAGCTTCTGTAAAATGACACACCCCACGCATGCTAGACATTTTGAAGGCTAAATATAGCACACTGAGAGGACAAATAGCTGACACACAGGCGTCCGGGGAAAATCACGGCCCCTGGGCAATGAGGGGACACAGCTTCAATGACTTCCTGATCGCCACTACCCAAACAGAGCTGCCCACCAGAAAAAATGCCAAGCTCTCCCTGAGTTTAGATTCTGTCTGCATTATATCAACGTTACAGGTACGTGTCAATCAGCATATAATTCTGCAAGGCTCATGAGAAACACAAACAGTCCCCTTATTCCTTGCTGCTCCCACTTACCAACTCCCCAAAGGCAACCTCTTCCAACTCTTAATGGATTATTTTTGTATCCACCTTCGCATCTCCAAATAACACATCTATATTACTACTTTTTTTTTTTTTTTTTTTGAGACAGAGTTTCACTCTTGTCGCTCAGGCTGGAGTGCAATGGCACAATCTCAGCTCACTGCAACCTCCGTCTCCGGGTTCAAGCCATTCTCCTGTCTCAGCCTCCAGAGTAGCTGGGATTACAGGGATGCGCCACCATGCCTGGCTAATTTTTGTATTTTTAGTAAAGACGGGGTTTCACCACGTTGGCCAGGCTGGTCTCAAACCTCCGACCTCAGGTGATCCACCCACCTCAGCCTCCCGAAGTGCTAGGATTACAGGCGTGAGCCACCGTGCCCAGCCTACTTCTTGGATATTTAGTGTAGGCATTAGCTGTCAACTTTCAGAAGTGGAGGCTTTAGCTCCCTTTCACTGACTACCACCCGAGACCCAACACTCACACCCCAGTTATGCAATAATTTCAGTTAGATCGTGAGTCAATATTTACATTATTATAACTACAAAAACATTAACAAGAGCTGAGTTTTGCAGCAAAACTACAGTACTTTTTCCACACTATACAACTTTTTATTTTCCCTGGAGTTAACAACTATCCCAGAATTTCTGACTTACTCAGCTTTCCATCTATGGATAATCTAACCACAAATTCTCCCCTGATGTGCAGATCTTCATTCAATATGTGCAAACACACTTTACAGTCTATCACTTTCTCTTCTCCTAGAAGTTGTCCTGCAGCCTCCTGCCAGGCTCCAATCTAGACTGAACGCTGGGTTGGGGGAGGGAAGAAGAGAGGTTCTCACTGACATCTCAGGATTTCCCTTCACCATCATCTTAGAGATTCCCCTCCAAGCAGCTCTTCTTAAACAAGTAACAAAAAGAATAAACTCTGAAGGAAAAAGATCTTGCCAGAAAAGATCTAGGTAAATTAATTAATTAAAACAAAAGGGAAAAGACTGATACATCTGACTGCATGAAAATTAACAATGTGAGTTCAAAAAACCTACAATGAAAATAAAAAGCCTGACTTTAAAAAAAAATACATACAATTGAAAAAGAATACAGAAAAACCACACATGAAGGCGCGCACACACACACACACACACACATACACAAGGCTCATAAAAAAAACTAAAAAAAAGGTAAGCCAACAAAAAAAATGAGCAAAAGACTCAAGTATTTCTCAGAAGGAAAAACAAATACTTAATGAACACATAAAAATATTCTCATCCCTATTAGTAACAATGAGAAATAGTATCTTAGTGGTTCTAAGATACTATGTAAATACCTACCAGATTGGCAAAAAGTAACATCTCTGACAATATCAAGCATTAGCAAGGATGTACCACTGTGGGAAGTTTTTTCTTAGAGACAGTGGTCTCACTATGTTGCCCAGGCTGGACTTAAACTCCTAGGTTCAAGCAATCCACTTGCCTCAGCCTCCCAAGTAGATGGGATTATAGGCATGCACCACCATGCTCTGCTTGGAAACAATTTGGAATTATCTAGAAAGGTTGAAAATACACATAGCTATGACCCAGTATTAGGGCTGTTCACAAAAGTCCCAGTTCTCCGTCAGAAGAGATCCTTGCTGACCCACATTGAATATACAGCATGACAGAGAAATAAATTTATGTGTCGGGGTGTTTGTTACTGCAGCATAACCTAACTCATCCTGATGGATACACCCAACAAGGTCACTCATAGAAATATTCTCTAGAGAAATGTATACCTGTGTGAACACTACAGGAAAATGTTCACAGCAGCTTTATCTACTAAAACAACTACAACCCAAATATCCAAGGACAGGAGAATGAATAAATAATAATACATTCACTCAATGGATTACTACACATCCATGAAAATGAATGAACCACGGCAGCTACCATGGGTCAAAGTGAGAAAAACATAATGCAGGGGGTGGGGTGATCAAGTGACAGAAAAATACATAAAGCATGAATAAAAGTATATTTTGTAATAAAGTTACAAAAACACACAAAACTGAACTATGTATTGATTACGAATACATATAAATGTGTTAAAACTATAAAGAAAAGCAAGTCAGTATTAACACATAATCCAGGGTAGTGGTGCCTGCAAGGAAGGGAGGGAAATGTAATCAGGAAAACACAGAAGGGGTCTCTCAGGCATAGGATATACTCTTATTTTTTTACTTACAGGTGGTAGATATATAGTGTTTGCTCCATTACCTACAACTTACCTTAAATACTCTTATGCACACCGAAAAGTTCCTAACTAAGAAACAAACCATAAAATGCAGTACCTTTTCATAAGGATATCTTACTAAGGCACTGTTTATTTTATTGTTGATTTTTCTTTCCTTTCCTTTTTTTTTTTTTTCTTGAGACAGAGTCTCACCCTGTCACCCAGAGTGGAGTGCAATGGCGAGATCTCGGCTCACTGCAACCTCCGCCTCCCGGGTTCAAACGGTTCCCCTGCCTCAGCCTCCCAAGTGGCTGGGATTACAGGTGCCCGCCACCACACCCAGCTTAGTTTTGTATTTTTAGTAGAGATGGGGTTTCACCATGATGGCCAGGCTGGTCTCGAACTGCTGACCTCGTGATCTGCCCACCTCGGCCTCCGAAAGTGCTGGGATTACAGACATGAGCCACCACGCACAGACACCTTTCCTTTTTTTTAAAGTAAAAAGCAGGAAGCAGGAAAATAATAAAATCCAGTAGAATGAAAGACTCACCAAATGTTAAAGAATATGGATGACTCAAATTCATACACATGTGCTTGTTGGCTGGTGATACACTAGAGGAATAAGTCTGGTTCTGTATGGAATCATTTACATCAAGGTTACCAATAGGTAGTTCTTCCCCCGCCGCCCCTACCCCTTGAGAGGGTCTCACTCCAATGTCCAGGCGGGAGTGCAGTGGTACGATCACAGTTCACTGCAGCCTCAACCTCCAGGGCTCAGGTGATTCTTTCACCTCAGCCTCCCAAGTAGCTAGGACTACAGGCACACGCCACCATGCTCGGCTAATTTTCTGTATTTTTTTGTAGAGTCAGGATTTTGCTATGTTGCCCAGGCTGGTTTTAAACTCCTGGGCTCAAGCAATCCACCCACCTTGGCTCCCAAAGTGCTAGGACTACAGGCGTGAGCCCCCTTGCCCGGCATCAACAGGTAGTCCTAACAGCTGGGCTGGTTCAGCCACAAACTACTGCTAGTCCTTACAGCACACAGTGCTGGTATAAGACAGTTAAGAACACCACTCTATTATTTATTCCTGCATTCTACATAATTTCCATTTGCAGGATGATACACACAAAACACTTCTCAACTGCACAGGCTCACATCTATCCATTTTACTTGATATGTACAACTTGATATCTCCTACATGACATCTACATGAAGTTTGTACTTGATCCCCTCAAGATTGTACTACTTGATGTCTACATCCATGTATTTCACAAATATTTATCAAGAGTGCTCTGGTGACAAGAACCATCAGCACTAAAGGCACAGGAGAGAGGGGCACAGACCTATGACCTCCCTCCTGGAGCTCAGGATCTGGTTCACCCTAAACAGACAAACCCTCAAAGAGCCTCTTCATGACTACAGTGGTGGGAGTAGGGGAAGGGTCAGGTACATCTCCAGGAAGTGGAGCTCAGGCGGAGCCCCAAAGGTTCACAAGAATTAGCCAGATGCTTGGGGGTGGGGGAGGAGACAGCCATGAGGGGCCTGGGAGAGAAAAGTGCCAACATGCTGCAGGGTCTGTGCTTAAGAGCAGAAGGGGGAAGAGAGGCAACCCAAGAGGTGGTTCAGGGGCAGCGCCTGCAACCCCCAACAGTGATTAAAATAGGCTCACGGCTGCTTTTTAATACCATTGATGTAAGTTTTTAAAATAGGGGGAAAAAATCCATGCTGAAAGAATTACCAGATTTACTTTCATTTTAAATAAATTCCTCTTGGCCGGGCGCGGTGGCTCACGCCTGTAATCCTAGCACTTTGGAAGGCCTAGGCGGGCAGATTGCCTGAGCTCAGGAGTTCGAGACAAGCCTGGGCAACAATGGTGAAACCCTGTCTCTACTAAAATACAAAAAATTAGCCGGGTGTGGTGGTGCGTGCCTGTAGTCCCAGCTACTCAGGAGGCTGAGGCAGAAGAATCGCTTGAACCCAGGAGGTGGAGGTTGCAGTGAGCCAAGATCACGCCACTGCACTCCAGCCTGGGCAACAGAGCGAGACTCTGTCTCCAAAAATAAAAATAAAAATAAATAAATTCCTCCTTTATCCAGTGCCACCTAAAATGTGGAGTCAAGATCATAAAATCCTTCTGCCTTCACTTCTAGTAAATGAATTCTTTACAAGCTACCAGCCTCTCAATAATTGTCAGCTCTTCCTAAGGAGTTCCAATTAGGTGGAAAAGGCCACCCTCCAGTATCCCACCACCTGCACAATTTGTACCTTATATTATCTCCTGGAGTGACACAGTCCGTGCCTTGTTTGATTATCTCATTACAAATACATTGCCCTTATTATGCTCTCACTAAATGCAACTCTTGGAAACCTCAAGGCTTTTATTAATAGATTATCAGCCCCTAAAGATATATCAGTTATTTAACTTAATTTTTCAGATGTATGATCCTAAAATCAAACTACTTCCTTTACTTGTGGTTTCTTCCCTATTATGCTTTTAAGAAAAAATACCAAAGCATGTAAGACTCTGGAGCCAACATCTGGGACTTCTATAGAATGCAACAGGCTGCCCTGTTAAGTCAAAGACTTTCACTGTTGGAGGAGACAAAATTCACCAACAAACTCAGCTATATGAGCAGGACTCCAGCCAACCTCAGACAGACTAGCCAAGAAATGCAACATCCATGCTGGACTTCATCAGTTTCCAACCTTCTGATAAGAGTCCTTCTGAGCAAGCCTTGTAACCCCACATGAATCCTTAGCCTGTCAGTTTCACCTCCCCCAGTCATTAGGACACTCTTCCAAAGGCAGTAGGTGATTCACTGGAGGCACAGCATGAGCACTCACACTCAACATTTGAAACAAGGTGAAGCTCCCTTTACTCACTACGATTTAATGTGGTGAGAGGAGCCGTGTGCCCAAATCCTATAAAAACACCTTTCTCCTGAGCAATTCTTAACCCAAGCTGTTGTTTAAATATTTCATCTTTTAATTACACATATTAAATACTGCACTAATAGATAAGTGAATGTTTCTTATGTCCTTCACTACAATGCAAATGTTTTTACACCTTTATTCTCAGAAGCCATTATTCAGTTTTTTTAAATTGTACTTTGCTTTTCTTCTGTCAAACCTACCAGGTGCCAAGCACAATTAAGCCCTTGATGTATACTGTTTATTAATTCTAAGCCTTATTTTAATCATAACCATTATGCATTGCTGATGGGAATGAAAAATGGTACCGCTGCTGTAGAAAACAGTCTCTAACCCTCCGAAGTAAGATTCATTATTGTCCCTTTCTTAAGGCTGAGTTATAACTAAGGCTCAAAGAAACTGGATAAACTAACTCAAAGCCTCTCAGTCCAGATTCTTAATGAACAGACTTACTTACCTTGACTCCAAAGGTTGTATTTTACACTATTTTTCACTATACCATACTTCCTCCCTTCACCCTAACTGTTTAGGTAATCAGCCCATCACTACTACAAATGCAATGACAGGAACAGGGACTTAAGGTAACCATGTTGCAAAGCAGAAAACATCAATTCAAATTACAACTTTTAAATTGTCAGCCAATTTAAGAGAAGAATTGCAAGATTATACAGGAATACACGCAATAAAACCCTGAAAAATCAAATCCTTCAGAGGACACAGCTGGGTGGTGATATTTGTTATTTAGAGTAATGTTTATTCCACTCACTATTTTTTAATTATCACACTGTAATTGTACATATTTATGGGATACAATTTGATGTTTCAATACTCATATATGTTACATAATTATCCAATTCGGGTAGTTAGCATATCCATTACCTCATGCAATTATCATTTCTTTGTGGTGAGAACATTCAAAGGCTTCTCATTCTCATAGCTATTCTGTAATACACGGTACCACCACAGTCACCCTACTGTGCAAGAAAACAGCAGAACTTACTTCTCCTATCTAACTGTAACTCTGTACCTGTTGACCAACCTCTCCCTATCCATCTTCTCCCATCCTGGTAACCACTGTTCTACTCTCTGCTTTTATAATACCAACTTTTTAAGATTACACATATAAGTGGGATCATGCAGTATTTGTCTTTCTGTGCCTGGCTTATTTCACTTAACACGATGTCCTCTTCCAGGTTCATCCATGTTGTTGCAAATGCGCCAGGCACGGTGGCTCACACCTGTAATCCCAGTGCTTTGAGAGGCCGAGGCCGAGGCCGAGGCAGGAGGATGGCTTGAGGTCAAGAGTTCAAGACCATGTTGTCGCAAATGATAGGATTTCATTCTTTCGTATAGTTGAATAGTGTTCTGTTGTATATATCTCACATTTTCCTTATTTATCTCTTGTTGGACACTTAGGTCGATTCCGTATCTTGGCTATTGTAAATAGTGATGCAATAAATACAGGAACGCAGGTATCTCTTCAACATACTGATTTCATTTCCTTCGAATATATACCCAGTAGCGGGACGGCAGGATCATGCAGCAGCTACATTTTCAGTTTTTTGAAGACCCTCCATACTGTCCTCCATAGTGGCAATATTAACTTACAATCCTACCAAGTGTGAGTGTTCCCTTTTCTGCATATCCTCACCAACACGTTTTTCCTTTGTCTTTTCAATAATAGCCATTCTAAGAAAAACATTAATTAAATAAACAAGTAATAGCCATTCTAACTGGAGTGCGGTATTTCCTTGTGGTTTTGATGTGCCTTTCCCTGATGATTAGTGATGCTGGGCATGTTTGATGTACCTGTTAGCCATCTGTATGTCTTCTTCTGAAAAATGCCTATTAATGTCTTTTGCTCATTTTTCAATCCAGTTATTAGATTTTTTTGCTCTTGAGCTATTTAAGTTCCTTATTATCCCACTCACTTGAAGTGCTTCAGAGACCCTGGGAGAGAGGGCAGCAATGTTGTGTGTTCTTTCTCTGCACAGTCTCTTTCCCACATGCTAACATCTCCGGGCTCTTTGTTCTCCCAGAGCTGGCTGAACTTGTTACAAGAGGTTGGAGACTGTATCAAAGTGAACACTGTATAACTTTATTTCCTTTCCAGAGTAGCAATATCACTTCCGCAAGCAGAAGTTTGGAAACATCTCATAATCCTGAATTCTGCCATGCTATGCTCTAACCTGAGGAAAAGATGGGCACCTCCCTAGTAGTGCTCAGAGCCCAGGAGCTAACAATGGCAGCCACATCTGTGCCCGCCCTTTCTGGCCACCAGAGAAGTTAGTGTGATGATCCATCCCCCTCAAAAGAGGGAGCTACAAAAAAAGACTGGAGGAAACAATTGTGTTTCCCACCCACACCCCTCCAGCTTTCCATAATGGTCAGACTGCCAGGTAAACAGGAAGCTGAGAAGAGACAGGGGTTGTTCCTGTTCCAGGCAATCAGTCCGAAATGCTGGGCCTCTACTCCCACCCAACTTTTAAGAAAAAAGTGGGATCCATCATCCATGCATACAGTCACCCATCCATTCATCCTACAAATGTTTCCTGAACAAATATGCTGGGTACTATCACAGGTAAATACCTGCCCTCATAGAACAGGCAATTTAGCAATGAAAAAAATAAATTGGTATATTGTAAGAGAAAGTGAGAAGGAACTATGGAGAGAAATAAACCTGGAGATGTGAAGAGAGGGAGAGAAAAAGAGAGAGAGAGCATGTATATGCATGTATGTAAGCAGGAGGGCCGATTTTAATCCTCAAGGAAACAAAAGCTGATAGTATTTCTGAAGTTAGGCAATTAAGATTACTTCAACCACCAGATCTCCTCTGTCTAAACTCCTACTAATACAAATTCAGCATCACAATAAAGGAAAAGAGATGTTTATTGATTACTGCTCTCTTACATTTTACTTCCAATCCCCCTTAGGCCACCACTGCTTGCTTCCCTCCAAACAAAAGTCTACAACCTGCCAGAATGTGTATCACTGTAGCCCTCATTCTTTTCATAAACTCAATCTAGGTTTTAAACTCTTAAATTGCTAACAATCTGCCACATTAGAATTGCACATTTTCCAAAAACCGCCACCACCACAGAGCTGCCCTGTGTCCCATGGGTCTTGACTTTACCACAATCCTAAGTGGTCCCATGAAGACCAGCCCCCCACAGCACACGTGGCAGGTCAGCGCTGCTTCATCGGCATTGGCTTCCCAGCTAAATGCTCAAAGGTAAAGTGTCTGGCTGCACATGTCATCCTTTTCAAAATCAACAGGGTCTCCAAGAAATACATCAAGTGTCCTCTTTTTGTAGACTTTTCCCTCTTTATGGTCGATCTTGTTGCATTTAAGCATAAGAAAATTCTGCACATTCACAGTAAGTCCAAACCGAAGTAAATATCAAGGAATGCCAGAGCCACAGGTATAATAATAATATGGGACCTGCTTGATTTTGGAATGAAACAGGGAGGGAATTCACTGAGTTCATCACAGAGACTCTGGACAACAGAGTCAGAAACCCTCTGGACAGGAAGCGGGCTTGAAGCCAGGCATCCTATGGCCAGCTCTGCCCTCCGTGTCTGGAACCATCTCACCCACTAACTAGATGGTGAATCGGCTGAAGGTAGCCGGCCCTCACCGCCTGCTCTCGGGCCTCTTTCCAGAGCAGCGAGCAGAGTATCCTACATATGTGCACGGAACTCAGTGAATGAATGAGCGTTTACGGGACAAACTGTCCTTATGTTTCTCACTTCACAAATCTTCAGGCCTTGTCCTCACTCTCTACTAAATGAAACATTTATAGACCAGGAACCCTGCTAAATGCACCATAAATAAAGATACACTGCCCTCAAAGAAAGGGAGGGACGACAAATTCCTGCCTCTTCGCCTCTTCCCAGGGCACCACCCACCTCCATTTCCTGAGAGCCTGGGCACTAAGCACCAGGGTGCGTCACGGGGCCCAACAAGGCCACTGTGGCCCCTGCCTCCTGCACAACTCCCTCCCCCAAAGCTCAAAACAGCTCCTGGAGCAGGCCCACGTGCTGCCCAAGTTGCCCAAGTTGAGTCCTTGTTGCCACTCAACAGGACCACTGGTTACCAAAGCACCGCCTCCGTCCAGAATCCTAACTACACTCTGCCCCTTCCATGGGGAACCCTCAGCTGCCTACAGCTCCCTCCATGCAGCAACCTGCCAACTCCCACCCACTCACCCGGTCTCAGTGTAAGTCTGCACTCCTCTAACAAACCCAACCGCCAGCTTTCTCAGAAGCTAAAGTCCAGCAAAATCCAGTTCCTTTGCACTTGGTTCTGCGGTTTCCAGGCGTGTTAGTACATCTCCTACCAGACTCAACCTCAAAAAGGCCTTCCCTAGACTGGTCTGAGAGCAGAAAGAGCCGCCAACCACTAACCCGGGGACCTAACCTAGGTCCTTTGACCTCTCTCTGGCCTCTGTCTTCTCCTCAGTAGAACAGGAACAAGACAGGAGATCTAAGCTCTCTTTTATTCCGATTCCAAAATTGGAAAGAAAAATATAGGCCCCCTAGATACAAATGAAAAAGTCTAATTGTTCCTTCACTGACCTTTAAACAGGTGTCCTAGCTACTGCAAGTTGGCGTCAATTTCAAAGAGCTTTGGAACAAAACTTTTAGAAAAAAAATGCTTTGTTTTATCATCAACTTTACGAGCCTGGGTTTTTTTTCCTATCATTCCTTGTAAGACACTGAAAGAGAGGAAAAAACTGATCTGTTCAATTTCTCTACTGAGATCACGAGCTTGGGATTCGCCCACCCTCAGTTTCCCCTCCGGGCGTGGAGACAGTTCCCGCTCACCGCGGCCTCCAAGAGCTGCGCCCCGCGCGCATCGCCGCGCGCCCCCAGCCACGACACCACCTGGAGCCTCCGGCGCCTCCAGATGGCCGAGTCCGGGCTGGCTCGGCGCACCCCGCTGTCACCTGGCCCCACACAGCAGCCTCGCTGCTCCAGGGCGGCCCCGAGCCCTCCGGCCCCGCTCCACCCGGCGTTTCTCCTTCGATTCCCAAGTCGAGTCCGGCCTCCAGCTCACCGGGCCAGGCGGCGAAGACACCTGCCTCGCCCGGAAAACGCACGCGCCCGGGAGCCCCCTCTACCACCACCTCGACGGGAGCCCGCGGGAGAAACGCAGAAAAAAGGAAAACAAGCCCGCGGCAGGGCCGTCCGGGCCCCGCGTCTCCCAAGAAATCGCCTCTGGCGACGCAGCCCGGGACTGGGGGCCGCGGGCCCGGCGGGGTGCGAGGCCCCGGGCCCGGCCGCCGCGCCCGCCCCGGCGAGCCCCTTACCGGTGAGGCGGCCGCCCCCCTCGCCGTGCCCGCGGCGCCGCTGCAGGATGAAGTAGCAGCTGCTCTTCTGGGTCACCCAGAGCTTCAGCGCGTTCTTCAGCAGCACCTCCTCGGGCTTGAGCCACATCGCGGCGGTCCGGCCGCGCCCGCCGGCCCCAGCTCACATCTCCCCGGCCGCCGGTCGCTGTGAGCCGAGCCCGCTCGAGAGGCGACGGCGGCGCGCGGGGACCACAGCCCGGCCGGTGCCCAGCGCTCTGAGAGCCCGCGGAGCGCAGCAGGCGCAGCTAGCCCCGCGCACCCAGCGCGGCCCTCACGTGGCCCCGCCCCGCACCCGCCCCTGGCCCCGCCCCGCACCCGCCCCTGGCCCCTCTCCAGCCGCCGGCCCCGCCCCCGACCGCCCCTACCCCGCGGCTCCCGCGGCGCCTCCCGGGTTTCCGCGTCCAAGGCGCTCCGGCGCGCAGTTCCGGAGTGGAGGGAGGAAGTCCAATCCTGCGCCAGGCTCCCTCCCTCCCGCCTCTCCGCGCTCTCAGGGGGAACTCGGGAGAGCTGCCGTCCCTGACCTCGACCTGAGACGTGGAGGAGGGACAGGGAAAAAGCCTTCTTCTCGCAGCTGCAGGTTGCCCCACCGAGGGCATTTTTCCGCACCGAGGGGGCGGGGGGCAGAATGCACGCCAGAAAACCTAAGTGCGCTGGGTTTAAAATAGCAACAACAACAAAAATTACAAATAACCAAAAAACAGCATAAGAATTAAAAACAGTTATATTCCAATGTTTTTAATACTTGGTTCACATTTTGGATGCTCTCCCCAGGGATCCGACGGCGCTGCGGAGGCGGCAGCGATGTTTGGGATCCTAAAGAAAGCATCAGACCAGACTCAGGTCTGGACGTCCCTCAAGTGGCCCGGAGGTACCGATATTAGTGTCACCGCCGTCAGTGCCCTGCCCAGAAATAAAACCTTTGTTCTGAGAGAAATTGAAAAGCTGGAAAATATGGAGTAGGCGATGTGAAGAGAAACTACAGGGAATGTAGAGGTCGGGTTTTAAATGCGTATTTCCTCAAGGATGTTGTGGAAGCAGAGACAAGGTGGCTGGCCTGGAGCAGGCTGGAGGACCTCCAAGGATCTCCACAGGGAGGCAGTTACATTTAACACCCTACCTAGCAAAAGAAGAAAAGAACAACCCCATGAAAACATCCCTGGGGTTTTAACAAAGGAATCCCTGACAAAACGTGACTGATAACTAGGACAGAACTGAAAAGTGGAAGTAAAGTCAATCCCGACCCCCCAGGACGCCTGGGAACTCAGGGAAGCGCCTCCAGAAGGGAACAGCTCAGAAACCCTGACCAGACCTGGCGGACAAGAACCGTGTGGGCGGGGGACAGGAACGCCCACCCAGAGGCCGGGAGAGCATGGTCCAGGACTGGCAGCCACTAACAGCCTCTGAATGAAACTGAGGAAGGAAGTCAATGGTAATCGGGACCATTAGGGTGCACCAGGGCATATAGAACAGTCGGGGACGGTAAGAAAACATTCCTTCCAGAGACATTCACTGGCACCTCCCGCGCAGACACACTGCCAGGCCCGGGAATCGCAGAGATGAACTGGGAGACTTGTCTGCCCTGGAGAACTCACAGGTAGGAAAATGAGGCAGAAAAGAGCCGTAGGCTTCCTAACAGGAGCCCACGCAGGGGGGCAGTGAGCAGAGAGCAATGCGCAGACCGCGTGGTCAGTTCTTGGGGGGAGGGAATTGAGAAAGTCCCACAGAACAGCTGTTGCTAGATCAGTACTTGAATATGAGTTTGACAGGAGGTCAAGTAGGGGAGGTCATGTCTGGTAAATGGATGAGCACAGATGACCTTGTGGTTTAGAGCAGCCTCTGGTGGCTGACAGCCCCAAATGGAATCCTGCAACTGCTGCTAATTAGCTGTGTGATCTTGACCTTGGGCAAGATACCAATCTCAATGAGCCTCAGTTTACTCAACTATAAAATTAGGATAATCGTAGTGCCTCCCTTGTAGGAACTATCAAGAGCATACTGTAGTAAGTACTTAGAACACAAAGTAAGTACTCAGTGAACATCAGCCATTATTATTAAATGTTCAAAAACTTCTGAAAGGGTTCACACACGCTCACCCATGTTTTAAACATTATTCAGCTCTGATCTGCCAAATATTAAATATGAAAGAAGCACGGAGAGGGATATGAAAGTCATTGGGAAGGCATGGGAGGGTACTATGAGGTACTGTGTTTCTATTATCTCTCTCCCACCTCCGAAGCTCCTGCCTGTGCCATTACCCAAGTCAAACAGAAGCCAATAGGAGGCAAGGGGTCACAGGCTGCAGTCTGCGGCAGTCAGCCTCCCAGACACACAACAAGGTGGAGGAGGGTGAAGAGGGGATCTGGAGGAGCGGGTGGAGAAAATCCGGCAGAGCCCTACCCACTTCCCGCTGTTGCTCATCTCTACGTTCTCATCACCCTTGATGGTGTTACAGGTTGACTTATGTCTCCCCAAATTCATATGTTGAGGTCCTAACTCCCAGCAACTCAGAATGTGACCTTATCTGAAAAAAGGATGATTACAGATGTAATTAGTTAAGATCAGGTTATTAGGGTGGCCCCTAATCCATAATGACTGGTGTCCTTATAAAAAGAGGAAATTTGGGAAGACAAATCCACAGGGAGAACACCATGAGAAGATTAGAGTTGTGCTGCTACAAGCCAAAGAACTGCCAGAAGCCGGGAGAGGGGCCTGAAATAGATCCTTCCCTGCCGACAACCTTGATCTCAGATGTCTAGCTCCCAGAACTGGGAGATAATACATTTCTGTTGTTTAAGCTACCTCCCTTCTCGTACTTTGTTACAGCTGTCCTAGCAAATTAATCCAGTTGCCTCTGTAATCCTGCCCACAGCTGTTGAGCAGCAAATCTCTTCAACCTTTCGGAGATGGACTGCATTTCCTACCAAGACCCTGGCTGATAGCAGAGTGACCCCAGGAAACACAGTTCCTCAATTGTGGGATTCTGGCTGGGTTACCCACAGATTCGTGCGTGCATAGCGAACAAAAGGGATGCTAGTAACCCGTGGCATGGAGGGGCAGCAGGATTACTCCAGTTAGCACTGGGAATAGTGTGAGGGGCATATGGACCACAAAGCTTTGGGGGCTTTTGCTGCTGTTGCTCTTGATTGCTATGGCAACAGTAATAATTATAAAGATTGTAGAGTGAAATGGATGTTTCTGACTGCCCTGGAGAGTTTTTAAACAATGGAAGAGATAAACATGAAGTATTAAATTCTTATTTTAAGGTACAGATATGCTGAAATCCAAAGAACCATTTATCTGGGATAGGCACAGGACAGAATAAGTTCATCTTCAGATACTAAATATAATTGTACAGATTACAGAATTGTGGCAAAGGTTAAGTGCTCAACCTCAGCAAGTTCTCTTGCTAAGATTAGGACACTGATTGGGAAGGAGTAGGACCATAGACTTGTGATAGGAACATTTGGACAGACACAGACAAAGCCGAATTCCCAAATCTCAAGGCTCCCTTGTATACAGAAGCAGCCCCGCCTCCCCTGTGCAAGGAAATTAGCCTTCACATACACTAAGAGCTTTCAAGACTTCACTGGGGCCTCTGCCTCCCACATGGATGCCTGTTCTCCTCCAAACTTGCCCCTGATGCACCTCATTGACTCCAGGAGCATAACAAGAATAAACTCTCTACAGAGCCCAGAAGGAGAAATGCAAGGTCAGCCAGAGAAGAGGAGGATGGAAATAGATTATATACCACGAAAGCTGGAAAATCTTGCCAATATGTGTTGCAGAGAAGCTGAGAACTGTGTATGGGAATGGATTCTAAAGTGTTAGACTAAGGAGGATGAAATACTAGGTTAGGCCAGGCATGGTGGCTCACACCTATATTCCCAGCACTTTGGAAGGCAGAGACAGGAGGATAGCTTGAGGCCAGGAGTTCAGGACCAGCCTCGGCAACGCGGTGAGACACCGTCTCTACAAAAAATGTAAAAATTAGCCACGTGTGGTGGTGCACGCGTGCCTCTGGTCCCAGCTGCTCAAAGGCTGAGGTGGGAGGATCATTTGAACCTAGGAGGTCAAGGCTGCAGAGACCTATAATGGCACCATTGCACTTCAGCCTGGTGACAGAGCAAGACCCTGTCTCGAATAAAATATAAAGTAAGATTCAGCAAAATTTATGAATATGCATACATTCCCCTGGGATTTATGATTTAGTGTGTTATATATTGGAGTGATTAAAATGTTTTAGACAACGTGGTGATGTTTCTTTTCTTTTTTTTTTTTAATTGCGATGGAGTCTCGTTCTGTTGCCCAGGCTGGAGTGTGGTGGCATGATCTCTGCTCACTGCAACCTCCACCTCCCAGGTTCTCGTGCCTCAGCCTCCTGAGTAGCTGAGACTACAGGCGCACTGCACCACGCCCGGCTAATTTTTTTGTATTTTTAGTAGAGATGGAGTTTTGCCATGTTGGTGAGAATGGTCTCAAACTCCTAACCTCAGGTGATCCACCTGCCTCCGCCTCCCAAAGTTCTGGGATTACAGGTGTGAGCCACTGCACCCAGCGATGTTTCTTAATATACTATGAATATACAGAAAACGCTGAATACTTTATTTTTTTTTTATTTATTTTTTGTGAGATGGAGTCTCGCTCTTGTCGCCCAGGCTGGAGTGCAGTGGCGCGATCTCAGCTCACTGCAACCTCCACCTCCCGGGTTCAAGTGATTCTCCTGTCTCAGCCTCCTGAGTAGCTGGGATTACAGGCATATGCCACCATGCCCGGCTAATTTTTGTATTTTTAGTAGAGATGGGGTTTCGCCATGTTGACCAGGCTGGTCTTGAACTCCTGACCTCAGGTGATCTGCCCACTTTGGCCTCCCAAAGCGCTGGGATTACAGGCTTGAGCCACCGCACCCGCCCCACGCTGAATAGTTTAAAAGGTAATTTGTGGAAAACAGATCATAATGCACATGACTCTTGTCCAAAGCAATGCAAATAAACTTTGGTCCATAAAGACATCCTATAGAATATTAATTAGTTTTGCATCCACTAGCAAATTTACTGGGCATTCCTCACTAATATCCATGTCTATACCTATATATCTGTTCTTTGAATTCTCCTTTGAACTAATCTTAACGTCTTACTGATTCCCTCATTAATGAATGAGTCGAATAAAATCTTTGATCCATGTTCATTTTATATTTACAATGAGAATCATGCTTTTAACTTTTTGGAAATTATTCTTTAGCAGTAGAAGACAGGGAACAGGACTGGTAGGGTGTTGAAAATATTTTGTTAGCCAGGCACGGTGGCTCACGCCTGTAATCCCAGCACTTTGGGAGGCCAAGGCAGGCAGATCACGAGGTCAGGAGATCAAGACCATCCTGGCTAACACAGTGAAACCCTGTCTCTACTAAAAATACAAAAATTAGCCGTGCATGGTGGTAGACGCCTGTAGTCCCAGCTACACGGGAGGCTGAGACAGGAGAATGGCGTGAACCCGGAAGGCGGAGCTTGCAGTGAGCCGAGTTTGCGCCACTGCACTCCGGCCTGGGCGATGGAGCAAGACTCCATCTCAAAAAAATAAAAATAAAATAAAATAAATATTTTGTTGTAGTTGAAAGATGGAAAAAAGAGAAGCCAGGGACAGTGGCTCACACCTGCAACCCCAGCACTTTGGGAGGCTGAGACAGGAGGATCACTTGAGGCCAGGAGTTTGAGACCAGCCTGGGCAACATAGTGAGACCCCATCTCTACCAAACCAAAAAAAAAAAAAGGAGAGATAAGAGAAAAGGACCCTCAAGGCGGGGTATGGTGACTCACGCCTGTAATTCCAGCACTTTGGGAGGACAGCAGGCAGATCATGAAGTCAGGAGTTCGAGACAAGCCTGGCCAACATAGTGATACCTCGTCTCTACAAAAATACAAAAATTAGCTGGGCATGGTGGCGCACGTCTGTAGTCCCAGCTACTAGGGAGGCTGAAGCGGGAGAATCGCTTAAACCTGGGAGGCGGAGCTTGCAGTGAGCCGAGATCACGCCACTGCACTCCAGCCCAGGCAACAGAGTGAGACTCCATCTCAAAAAATAAATAAATAAAATAAAGAGAAAATGACCTTCAAAGATACTTTTGCTCTCCTATCCAGGATACAAATACCCCACTAAACATACTCTCTGGCCCCAAGAAAAGATACTAGGCCCTTAGACCTTGGCAAAACCTTGAGAAATAGACCCAACCTCTAGGACACCTCTCTCCTCTGAGAGCACCCAAAGCGCAGTGACATCTCCCTGATGTGGTCCCCCTCACGTGCTGACTGGCAGTCTGAGAAAGGTCACAGAAAGATGAGCACACCGCATGTCCTGCCGTGGGATGGCAAGCATTCAGAGATGAAAGCACACCACTCATTCAACACTTCACTGCCAGCATTTGCTTGTAGTTAATCTGAACTCAGCTGGCAGGTGACTGGCCGAACTCATCATTGGTTTGGCGAGAAGTACCAAAAATCCCTTGTTGTACAGGTGAAGGAAACTGCACACACAAAGCCTATCCATGTGACGATTACTTCCACTTGGGGGTGAGAGGTGGTGCTGGGCCGGGACTTCTTTTCCTAGATCCAGGACCTGGCTCCTAGGTCTCTGTCCTAGCAGCCCAGCCTGCCCATGTCAGCCGTTCCAGACAGCAATCACCAGCCCCTTGCCCTTCCCTTCATACACGCAGAGGAGGAAGAAGGAAAAGGAGAGAGAAATGGGGAAGAAAAACTGAATATTCTGAAATGTTAGACCCAATATAAAAAAGCAACGGTAAGGCATTTCTGGTTTTCCTTCATAATTAATACTCTTTTTATTTTATTTTATTTTTATTTTCTTGAGACTCTGTTGCTCTGTTGCCCAGGCTGTAGTACAGTGGCACCATGTCAGCTCACTGCAACCTCTGCCTCCCGGGTTCAAGTGATTCTCCCCCCTCAGCCTCCCAAGTAGCTGGGACCACAGGCATGCACCACCACACCCAGCTAATTTTTGTATTTTTAGTAGAGATGGGGTTTCACCATGTTGGCCAGGCTGGTCTCAAAACTCCTGACCTCAGGTGATCTCCTGCCTCGACCTTCCAAAGTGCTGAGATTACAGGCGTGAGCCACCACACCCGGCTCATAATACTCTTTAGTTCTTAATAGAATTGTCACTTATGTTACCTACAAGCTTCTGTTAGTGTCCAGATACCTACTAAATGTAGTTGTTTTTTGGTTTTTCATTGATTTAGTTTTTTAATCTTTAAAATAATTTTTAAAATGTATGCTTTTGATATTATTGATTTCCTTTTGAAAACTGCTATCACATTTTCCTCGTTGACTTTTGGCTCACATTTCTAGCTCGATTCCTTGTCTGAAGCATGATTTTGTATTTCCTCTTATAACATGAATGCTGTGAAGGACAGATCATTGGCCCAGGCTGCAGCTTCTCTCCCACTTCTGACAGCTCAGTTGTAAGGTAACAGGCAATGAAGGAGCCCTCTGTGTGTGCTCACACCTTTTGCCACAGTGCCTTCCACCCAATGGGCGCAAAGCACACTCAAAATCAGTCACAAGAAGCCCAGAAATAAGCTAACAAGTTTCAAGGGATTTGCAAAGTCAAGAAACAGCCATTGAATATGTTCAACAGACTAGCACTGTGAGAAATTCCTGGGATTCAAAAAAAATTGTAGGCCCGGTGCAGTTGCTCATGCCTGTAAACCCAGCACTTTAGAAGGCCGAATGGGGCGGATCACCTGAGGTCATGAATTTGAGACCAGCCTGGCCAACACAGTGAAACTCTGTCTCTACTGAAAATACAAAAATTAGCCGGGCATGGTGGCAGGCGCCTGTAATCCCAGCTACTCGAGAGGCTGAGGCATGAGAATTGCTTGAACTCAGGAGGTGGAGGTTGCAGTGAGCTGAGATCACACCATTGCTCTCCAGCCTGGGCAACAGAACGAGACTGTCTCAAAATAAATAAATAAATGCTGGTTCCTGGCTTTATATCATGGTAGGAGGAGTTTCCTCCAAGGGAAAAGAACACTGTTGGAGGACTACTATATACTAAGCTCTGTGCTTGTACTTTCAACAGGTATCTCACTTATTTCTCACAATAAATCTAAAAGAAAATTAAAATTAGTCCCATTTTACAGATGAGAAAACTCAGCCCACAGAAAAGTTTAGAAACTTGCCAATATCACATACCTGCTACATGGCAGAACCAGGATTTGCTCCCAGGCTTTTCTGAATCTCAGCCCCCAATGCTCTTTCCATTAATGAACAGTTTAAGTTGGTTTCAGTCTTATTAATGGAAGGAGAGTGGCATCTATTTTTTTCCTTAGCATTACTTTCAATAAAGATTAGAGCCATCATCCAAATAACATGCGCTTCGAAGGAGGCAGATATGGATTCAGAAATCTTTCCCTAGCTCCTAGCTTTGCAACCACAGGCAAGTTCCTTAATCTCTTACAATTTCAGTTTCTTCACAGGGATACCTATGTCTCTCTAAGATATTATAAGGCTTAAGTGAAGTAACCTAAGTCATACACCTACCTCAGGCTTGTCCTGGGCATGTCTTCTAAATAGCAACTGTTATAATCACCTCTGGGTTATTCTAACCCTGGCCCTGGGTATAACTGTGACATATCTCACCTCTGTCTGCAATTCTGAAATTGCTTTTGTATCCTGCAGACTGAAGGACCTTCCCCAGCATTCTTCCAAGCACAGTGAGAGGCAAGCACCCCAGGAAAGGATGATAGCAACTCAGAAATAATGACCTCTCCACATTGAATCTCTATTGCAAACAAATATTAGTTAGTTTGGTTATGTGTAACCACTAGATTCTTTTTGCTAAATGTCGGTAGCTACTAGTGGTTTGAAATAAGCGAGGGTGTAGATATGCCTTTCATCACCACCGTGTACTCAAAAGAGTTAATTTGTTAAAATGGAAGCAAGTCTCTTAAATTTTGCAGCACACTCAAGCATGTATTAAACATTTATTAGAGACCAGGAACAGTGGCTCACACCTGTAATCCCAGCACTTTGGGAAGTCGAGGCAGGAGGATTATGTGAGCCCAAGAGTTTGAGGCCAGCCTGGGCAACATGGCAAGACCCTTTCTCTTAAAAAAAAAAAAAAAATTTTAATTAGCTGGGCATGGTGGCATGTACCTGTAGTCCCAGCTACTCAGGAGACTGAGGCCAGAGGGTCACTTGAGCATAGGAAGTCAAGGCTTCAGTGATACATGTTCATGCCACTGTATTCTAGCCAGGGTGACAGAGCAAGTCCCTGTCCCAAAAAAATGTACCCCATAAATATATACACCTACTATGTACCCATAAAAATTTAAAAAAATTAAAACTCATTTATTAGAAAGAGAGCCCAAGATAACCCTATATCCTGTTCTGTAAGCTCCTGAAGTCTCAAGTCTTTGACCACAACTTGCATTAAATGTTTACTCAAAGTAAAAATGTGACTATATCCTAGAAGTAACTTCATAGTTGGCACCAGGCAACCAGAATGCTTTGAGTCAGAAGCTGGACATGGGCCCATTTAGGTCAAGCCTCAAATGCCATTCTAGGAGGGGGAGGGACAAACGCCTTGCTACCAACCAATGTTTTGGGTTTTTGTTTTGTTTTGTTTGTTTGTTTGTTTGTTTGTTTAAATGAGACGGAGTCTCGCTCTGTCACCCAGGCTGGAGGGCAGTGGCATGATCTCGGCTCACTGCAAACTCTGCCTCCCGAGTTCAAGCAATTCTCTCCCTCAGCCTCCCGAGTAGCTGGAATTACAGGTGCCCACCACCATGCCTGGCTGATTTTTGTATTTTTAGTAGAGACGGGGTTTCACCATCTTGGTCAGGCTGGTCTTGAACTCCTGACCTCATGATCCACCCACCTCTGCCTCCCAAAGTGCTGGGATTACAGGCGTGACCCACTGTACCTGGCCTGTTTTGTTTTGTTTGTTTGTTTGTTTGTTTCTGAGACAGAGTCTTGCTCTGTTGCCCAGGATGGAGTACAGTGGTGGGATCTCAGCTCACTACAACCTCCACCTCCTAGGTTCAAGTGATTCTCCTGCCTCAGCCTCCCAAGTAGCTGGGATTACAGGAGCCTGCCACCACACCCAGCTCATTTTTGTATTTTTAGTAGAGATTACACGTTGGCCAGGCTGATCTCAAACTCCTGACCTCAGGTGATCCACCCACCTCGGCCTCCCAAAGTGCTGGGATTGCAGGCGTGAGCCACCAAGCCCGGCCTACAAACCAATTTTAGCCAACCTACCTTCTTGAATGCAATGAATTTCACCAATAAAATTACTCTTCTAACATCCCTTGGGATAATTAACAAAATCCTTGCCGTTGATTGGAGAGAAAGACAGCTGGAGTGCAGGCATTTTTGCTTTTTTTGAAATAGGGTCTGCTCTGTCGCCCAGGCTGGAGTGCAGCGGCGGGATCTTGGGTCACTGCAACCTCTGCCTCCAGGGTTCAAGTGATTTTCCTGCCTCAGCCTCCTGAGTAGTTGGGATTACAGGCACACACCACCACCACCCCCCGGCTAAAAGTGTAGGCATTTAATTACAGGTGCTCTACCGCTCCTGGAGTGTGCATTTGTTATTGGGATGAGGGTATATGCTGCTGTCTCTGGCATGTGGATTGAAACCAGTGAGCATGCACATATATGTCATTTCATAGCCTGTGCTAATATATTTTAAAGCAAATTACAGCCAACACAACCACCGCCCTCTTCCCTACCCAAGTCAGCCTTAGAAAGCACTTGCTTCAGGGGTTGGTGAGGAGGAGGGTCCCCTGGCATCCCCTTTCATAGGGACAGTGCACTCATCCATCTGTCATCTAGGGCAGTTCACCCAACCTCTGCTTGCATTTCCCTATCTCTGTACTTATATTATGTCAACATATTTGAAAGGCTCCAACAAAAGTCTAGCTAGCATCCAGCTCCTCAGAGTACCCTCCCAAGACTTTCCAGCCTGCACCCAGGCCAGGCACTCCTCTCTGGAGAAACAAGGACAAGGAGAGGCCAAAAGAGATGAGGGAGCAGAACTAGGCAGGGAAAAGCAAATCTTAGGTTTCCTTTTTAGCTCTTTTTGCATCTCAAAACACACACACACACACACACATTAGAATAGAAGAATCATAACAAATGGCAATGATTGTGAGTCTGCACATGTGCCAAGGAAAATTACGGTAGGGAATGTACAAATGGCCCTGTCCTATTCCAGATTCTTTCCCGATTTTACAACCAGTTTGTTTCATTTGTTTATAAGTCAGAGAACCTATATTAAGAACCCCTACACCATAATAGTATTAAATCAAAGGACAAAACCTTGCAATGTTCTCTAATTAGCTCTGAAAGATTACTAATCTTCAGCTGATACAGAATCTGCATTCTATTTCAATCATAAGCTCCTAAGCAGAAAGAAAAGAATTTTGATCGATTAAAAGGACCTTCATAAACTGGAATCTTCCCAAGGTACAAATTACACTGTTCATTCTGAGAACCCAGGATTTGACCTAAAAATGTTTTCTTTGCATGTTCAGCCATCACTGAACCAGTAAGAGCAGGACATCCTCTTATCCTGTCTGATTTCCGATTGTTATTCACCAGACTATACTGCGTCCTTTCCTCTTTCACTTCATCACACCTATTGATGTTAACATATTTTTTCTTCTGGATTTTAAGTATGTGTTTATTACCGTATTATTTAATCTACCCCCTAATTACCGAAATCTGTGTAAAACTATTCATGTCCCAATTATGTTATAACATATGTAGTCTATGGACATGATATAGTTGGGATACTGTTCTCCTCCAAATCTCAGGTTGAAATTTTGTAACCACATCAGAGCAATCTGGTTCAATTATCATGTAATAAAGTTGTGAGTTGTTTATTGGTTGCCATGGACGCCCAGGTTAAAGGTCAGGTAACCTGAGCACGCTCAAAGGAACCAAGCTTTGCAACCCCAGGGGGAACCTAAATGCTCAGACAAAGGAACAGGGACTAAATTAAGAAGCCACGCTGCCTGGCAGAATCCAGGATCCAATCAGATTGAGCTCTGGCATCACCCCATGGCAGGATCCAGTTAGATCATGCCTCCCGGCATCACCTCATTGCAAGATCTAATCAGATCACACTTCATTACCCTATACTTATAAGACCGAACCCAGGCCAGGCGCGGTGGCTCACACCTGTAATCCCAGCACTTTGGGAGGCCGAGGCGGGCAGATCACAAGGTCAGGAGTTCGAGACCAGCCTGACCAACATGGTGAAACCCCCATCTCTACTAAAAATACAAAAATTAGCTGAGCGTGGTGGTATGCCCCTGTAATCCCAGCTACTCAGGAGGCTGAAGCAGGAGAATCACTTGAATATGGGAGGCAGAGGTTGCAGTGAGCTGAGATGGCGCCACTGCATTCCAGCCTGGGTGACAGAGCAAGACTCTATCTCAAAATAAATAAATAATAAAAATAAAACTCAACCCAAACCCCTGCTTGGCAAGACAGATTTGAGCATTTCTCCTGTTTCCTTGCCAGTTGAATTGCAATAAAGTTTTTTTTTTCCCCATACAGAGTCTCATTCTATCGCCCAGACTGGAGTGCAGTGGCACAATCTCAGCTCACTGCAACGTCCACCTCCCTGGTTCAAGCAATTCTCCTGCCTCAGCCTCCCAAGTTGCTGGGATTACAGGCGTGTGCCACCATGCCCGGCTGATTTTTTTCGTATTTTTAGTAGAAATGGTGTTTCACCACGTTGTTCAGGCTGGTCTCAAACTCCTGAACTCAGGCAATCCACACACCTCAGCCTCCCAAAGTGCTGGGATTACAGGCATGAGCCATTGCACCCAGCCAGAGCTTTTCTTTTCTCAGAAGCTAGTGCCATGGTATTGGCCTCAATGCATATTGGGCAGTGAGCCTATTGATTTCTCAGTAACAATATGATCCCTAGTGTTGGAGGTGGGGCCAAGTGGGAGGTGTTTGGGTCATGAAGGCTGATCCCTCATGAATGTCTTGGTGCTGTCCTCATGGTAATGAGTGAATTCTTACTCTAGTAGTTCTCACAAGATCTGATTGTAAAAAAGAGCCTGGCACTTCCTCCTCTCTCTCTTTCCCCCTCACCATGTGACACGCCAGCTCCCTCTTTGCCTTCTGCCATGAGTAGAAGCTTCCTGAGGCCTCACCAGAAGCGGATGCTGGTGCCATGTACAGGCCTGTACAGCCTGCAGAACTGTGAGCCAAATAAACCTCTTTGCCTTATAAATTACCCTGCCTCAAGTATTTCTTTTCTTTTTTTCTTTTTTCTTTGTTTTTTTGAGACAGAGTCTCACTCTGTCATCCAGGCTGGAGTGCGGTGGCATGATCTCAGCTCGCTGCAACCTCCACCTCCCAGGTTCAAGCGATTCTCCTGCCTCAGCCTCCCGAGTAGCTGGGATTACAGGTGCCTGCCACCACACCCAGCTAATTTTCTGTATTTTTAGTAGAGATGGGATTTCGCCATGTTGCCCAGGCTGGTTTTGAACTCCTGAGCTCAGGTGATCCGCCTGCCTTGGCCTCCCAAAGTGCTGGGATTACAGGTGTGAGCCACTGCACTCAGTCTACCCTGCCTCAAGTATTTCTTTATAGCAACACTAGTGGACTAAGATGACACATGAGTGCATAGCTTCAGTGAAAGCAAGCTCAAATGTTTAATTCCCCTCATGTTACAGAAAATGCTATGAAATGAAAAAAAGGAAAATTTCTGTGAGACTCTAGAGCTCTGCTGTCCAATATGGTCACCACTAGCCATGTGTGGCTATTTAAATTTAAATGTATTTATTTATCTATTATTTTTATTTATTTATTTTGAGAAGGAGTCTTTCTCTGTCACCCAGGCTGGAGTACAATGGCACCATCTTGGCTCACTGCAGCCTCTGCCTCCCGGGTCCAAGCGATTCTCGTACCTCAGCCTCCTGAATAGCTGGGATTACAGGTACACACAACCACACCCGGATGATTTTTGTATTTTTAGTAGAGATTGGGTTTCACCATGTTGGCTAGGCTGGTCTCGAATTCCTGACCTCAGGTGATCTGCCCGCCTCAGCCTCCCAAAGTGCTGGGATTATAGGTGTGAGCCACTGTGCTTGGCTCTAGATTTAAATGTAAAGTAATGAAGTGTTTTTTAAAATAAAATTTCATTTTTCATTCACACTGGACACATTTTAATTGCTTAATCACCACATGTGGCTGGTGGCAACCCTAGAGTCTCAAAGCTGGAACTCACCAATTATAACTCGGTGATAAATAGAATTGTGTCTGTTAAATATTTATTTCTCCTCTTAAGTTTCCTTTGACAAACAAATACCTCACTGAGTTATATGGCTCTCGTTAGTGTGAACATCTATAAAGAAGATACAGGCTGGGCACGGTGGCTCACGCCTATAATCCCAGCACTTTGGGAGGCCAAGGCGGGCGGATCCACCTGAGGTCAGGAGTTCGAGACCAGCCTGACCAACATGGAGAAACTCCATCTCTACTAAAAATACAAAATTAGCTGGGCGTGGTGGTGCATGCCTGTAATCCCAGCTACGTGCGAGGCTGAGGCAGGAGAATTGCTTTAACCTGGGAGGCAGAGGTTTCAGTGAGCCGAGATCATGCCATTGCACTCCAGCCTGGGCAACAAGAGCAAAACTCATCTCAAAAAAAAAAAAAAAAAAAAGAAGATACAAATTAGAACATTTTTAGCTAATTATTTGCATTGTAAAAGAGCCCTAAACCCAGATTATAAGCCTGAAAAGAAAGGCCCAGGAAGTTCTATCTATGAGTTAATTGTTTCTTTTTTTCTTTTCTTTTTTTTTTTTTTTTTTTTTTTGAGACAGAATCTTGCTCTGTCGCCCAGGCTGGAGTGCAGTGGCACAATCCTGGCTCACTGCAAGCTCTGCCTCCTGGGTTCACACCATTATCCTGCCTCAGCCTCCCAAGTAGCTGGGACTACAGGTGCCCGCCACCACACCCGGCTAATTTTTTTGTTGTATCTTTTTAGTAGAGATGGGGTTTCACCATGTTAGCCAGGATGGTCTCGATCTCCTGACCTCATGATCCACCCACCTCAGCCTCCCAAAGTGCTGAGATTACAGGCATGAGCCACCGCACCTGGCCAATTGTTTCTTTTTAATGATGGTGGGGGAAAATAAATGTTAGGGGTGGGTGGTGGTCCATATGGAGAAAACATCATCTTGATGCCTTGCAGAACTTATAAGGAGGAGCATTTGAGACTGAATTATCTAGAATTTAATTTAGTAATTGAAAAGTTGGGAGGAAGATTTTACATTAAATGAAGCTGAATGAACACAGGCATTTATCTTTTCTCTCCTCCAAAGCTCCATTAAAATTATAGTAAATGGGATTAAAAGGAAATAAACTCGCAAGGATAAAAATAATAGGAGGGTAGAAAACAGCAGACTAGATAGCAATAACACTTTGGAAGTTGGAATGGAATGGAAAATGGTCTAAAAGATGGAAAAAGCACAAATCTAAAGAGACTCGGGAGAGCCCTGGTTGCACAGAGCTGAGCAATGTCTAGACAATTAGCTCTGAATTTCCCCAGGTTTCTGAGGGCTGGTTGAAACATGTGGATGAAAATAAGAAGTGTTGGTTGGGCCAGGCACGATGGCTCACGCCTGTAATCCAAACACTTTGGGAGGCCAAGGAGGGAGGATCACTTGAGTCCAGGAATTTGAGACTAGCCTGGGCAACATAGCAAAAACCTTGACTCTACAAAAAAAAAATAAAAGAAAAAAAAGAAGCATTGGTTGAAAGTTTATGGAACACTTTCAGTTTCTTTTCCCACATGCATAATCAGGAAAGTAGGTGATATAGTTTGAATGTATGTCCCTGCCCAAATCTCATGTTGAAATGTAATCCCCAGTGTTGGAGGTGGGGCCTGGTGGAAGGTGATTGGCTCATGCGGGTGGATCTCTCATGAATGGTTTAGCACCACCTGCTTGGTACTGTCCTCACTATAGCAAGTGAGTTCCTGTGAGATCTGGTCATTTAAAGGTGTGTGGCACCTCCCCCATCTCACTCTTGCTCCTGCTCCTGCTGTGTGAGACGCCTGATCCCCCTTCACCTTCTGCCGTGATTGGAAGCTTCCTGAGGCCTCTCCTGAAGCAGATGCTGTCATGCTTCCTGTAAAGCCTGAAGAACCATGAGCCAATTAAACCTCTTTTCTTTATAAATTACCCAGTCTCATATTTCTTTATAGCACATGAGAATAGACTAACACAGAAAATTTGTACCAAGGAGTGGGACATTACTATAAAGATACCTGAAAATGTACAAGCAGCTATGGAACTGGGTAACAGGCAGAGGTTGGAACAGTTTGGAGGGCTCAGAAGAAGACAGGACGATGAGGGAAAGTTTGGAATGGCTTAGAGACTGGTTAAATGGTTGTGACCAAAATGCTGATAGTGATATTGACAGTGAAGTCCAGGCTGAAGAGGTCTCAGATGGAAATGAGGAACTTACTGAGAACTGGAGCAAAGGACACTTTTGTTATGACTTAGCAAAGAACTTGGCTGCATTGCGCCCTTGCCCTAGGATCTGTGGAACTTTGAGCTTGAGAGTGATGACATAGGGTACCTGGTGGAAGAAATTTCTAAGCAGCAAAGCATTCAAGATGTTGCCTGGCTGCTTCTAACAGCCTGTGCTCATGTGTGTGAGCAAAGAAATGACCTAAAGTTGGAACTTATATTTAAAAGAGAAGCAGAGAGATTTGTATAATTAAAAAGAAGCCAAGTGCTCATAGCCAAGATGAAGGGGGAAAGGCCTCAAGGCATTTCAGAGACCTTTGAGCAGTCCCTCCCATCACAGAACCAGAGGCCTAGGAGGGAAGAATGGTTTTGTGAACCAAGCCCAAGGTCCCACTGCCCTGAGCAGCCTTGAGACATTGCTCCCTACAGCTCCAGCTCCTACCACGGCTCAGAGGGCTGCATGTACAGCTCAGACCATTGCTTCAGAGAGTACAAGCCATAAATTCTGGTGGCTTCCATGTGGTGTTAAGCCTGTGGTGTACAGAGTGCAATAGTTGAGGCTTGGGAGTTTCCACCTAGATTTCAGGTAATGTATGGAGCCTGGGTGTCCATGCAGAAGCCTGGTGCAGGAGTGGAGCCCCTGTGGAGAACCTCGAGTAGGGCAGAGGAGAGGGGAAACATGAGGTTGGAGCCCCCACACAGAGTCTCTAGCAGGGCACTGCATAGAGAAGCTGTGAAAAGAAGGTTGCCATCCTCCAGGTGCCAGAATGGTAAATCCACCAACAGCTTACAACATGTACTGAAAAAGCTGCAGGCACTCAACACCAGCCCAGGAGAGCAACTCTTGGGGCTGAACCCTGCAAAGCCATAGAAGCAGAGGTGTCCAAGGTTTTGGGATCCCACCCCTTGCACTAGTGTGTCCTGGTTGTGGAACATGGAGTCAAAGGAGATTATTTTGGAGCTTTAAGATTTAATGACTGCCCTCCTGGGTTTTGAACTTGCATGGGGCCTCTAGTCCCTTTCTTTTGGCCAATTTCTCCCTTTTGGAATGGGAAGGTTTACTCAATGCCTATAGCCCATTGTATCTTGGAAGTAACTAACTTTAAAAAATATTTTACAGGCTCACAGGTGGAAGGGTTTTGCCTTGTCTCTCATGAGACATTGGACTTTGAACTTTAGAGTTAATGCTGGAATGAGTTAAGACTTTGGGGAACTGTTTGAAAGGCAGAATGTATGTTGCAATGTGAGAAGGACATGAGATTTGGGAGAAGCCAGGGGAAGAATGATATAGTTTGGATGTATGATCCCACCCAAATCTCATGTTGAAATGTAATCCCCAGTTTTGGAGGTGCGGCCTGGTGGGAGGTGACTGGATCATGGGAGTGGATAGCTCATGAATGATTTAGTACTATCCACTTGGTATTGTCCTCATAATAGTGAGTTCTCACGGGATCTGTTCATTAAAAGTGTGTGAACCAAGCCAGACTGGAGTGCAGTGGTGTGATAGCAGCTCACTGCAACCTCCGTCTCCCAGGTTCAAGCGATTCTCCCGCCTCAGCCTCCTGAGTAGCTGGGACTGTAGGTGCGTGCCACCATGCCTAGCTAATTTTTGTATTTTTAGTAGAGACGGGGTTTCACCATGTTGGCCAGGCTGGTCTCAAACTCCTGACCTCAGGTGATCCGCCCACCTCGGCCTCCCAAAGTGCCAGGATTACAGGTGTGAGCCACTGTGCCCGGCCCCAGATCGCATCTGAATTGTAACTCCCACAATTCCCATGTGTTGTGAGAGGAACCCGGTGGGAGGTGATTGAATTATGGGGGGCAGGTCTTTCCTGTGCTGTTCTTGTGATAGTGAATGAGTCTCACAAGATCTGTTGGTTTTATAAAGAGGAGTTCCCCTGCACAATCTTTCTTTGCCTGCTGCCATCCACGTAAGATGTGACTTGTTCCTCCTTGCCTTCTGCCATGATTGTGAGGCCTCCCCAGCCACGTGGAACCGTGAGTCCAATTAAACCTCTTTCTTTTATAAATTGCCCAGTCTTGGGTATGTCTTTATCAGTGGCATGAACACAGATTAATACAGTAAATTGGTATTACTAGAGTGGGGTGTTGTTAAAAAGATACCCAAAAATGTGAAATCAACTTTGGAACTGGGTAACAGGCAGAGGTTAGAAGAGTTTGGAGGGCTCAGCAGAAGACAGGAAAATGTGGGAAAGTTTGGAACTTCCTAGAGACTTGTTGAATGGCTCTGACAAAAATAATGATAGTGATATGAACAATAAGCTCCAGGCTGAGCTGGTCTCAGATGGAGAAGAGGAACTCGTTGGGAGCTGGAGCAAAGGTGACTCTTGTTATGTTTTAGCAAAGAGCTGGCAGCATTTTGCCTCTGCCCTAGAGATTTGTGGAACTTTGAACTTTAGAGAGATGATTTAGGGTATCTGGCAGAAGGAATTTTTAAGCAGCAAAGCATTCAAGAGGTGACTTCGGTGCTGTTAAAGGCATTCAGTTTTATAAGGGAAGCAGAGCATGAAAGTTCAGAAAATTTGCAGCTTGACAATGCAATAGAAAAGACAATCCAATATTCTGAGGAGAAATTCAAGCTGGCTGCAGAAATTTGCATAAGTAACAAGAAGCCAAATGCTGATCCCCAAAACAATGGGGAAAATATCTCCAGGGTATGTCAGAGGTCTTCATGGCAGCCCCTCCCATCACAGGCCCTGAGGCCTAGGAGAAAAAAATGGTTTTGTGGACCAGGCCCAGGGACCCTGTGCTTGTACAGTCTAGGGAATTGGTGCTCTGCTTCCCAGCTGCTGTAGCCATGACTAAAAGGGGCCAAGGGACAGCTCCGCCTGTGGCTTCAGAGGGTGCAAGCCCCAAGCCTTGGCAGCTTCCATGTGGTTTTGAGCCTGAGGGTGCAAAGAAGTCAAGAATTGAGGTTTGGGAACCTCTGGCTATATTTCAGAGGATGTATGGAAATGCCTGGATGTCCAGGCAAAAGTTTGCTGCACAGGCGGGGCTCTCATGAAGAACCTCTACTAGGGCAGTGTGGAAGGGAAATGTGGGGTTGGAGCCCCCCCCCACAGAATCCCTACTGGGGCACTGCCTACTGGAGCTGTAAGAGGGCCACCATCCTCCAGACCCCAGAATGGTAGATCCACTAACAGCTTGCACCATTTGCCTGGAAAAGCCACAGACACTCAACAAAAGCCCATGAAAGCAGCTGGGAGGGAGTCTGTACCCTGCAGAGCCACAAGGCCAGATCTGCCCAAGACCATGGGAACCCACTTCTTGGATCAGCGTAACCTGGATGTGAGACACGGAGTCAAAGGAAATCATTTTGGAGCTTTAAGACTTGACTGCTCCTTTGGATTTTGGACTTGTATGGGGTCTGTAGCCTCTTTGTTTTGGCCAATTTCTCCTATTTGGAATGGCTGTATTTACCCAATGCCTGTACCCCATGGTATCTAGGAAATAACTAACTTGCTTTTGATTTTACAGGCTCATAGGCAGAAGGGATTTGCCTTGTCTCAGATGAAATGTTGGACTGTGGATTTTTGAGTTAACGCTGAAATGAGTTAAGACTTTGAGGGGCTGTTGGGAAGGCATGATTGGTTTTAAAATGTGAGGACATGAGATTTGGGAGGGGCCAGAGGTGGAATGCTATGGTTTGGCTGTGTCCCCACCCGAATCTCATCTTGAATTTAACTCCCACAATCCCCATGTGTTATAGGAGGAACCCAGTGAGAGGTGATTGAATTATGGGGGCAGGTCTTTCCTGCACTGTTCTCCCGATAGTGAATGAGTCTCACAAGATCTGATGGTTTAAAAAGAGGAGTTCCCTTGCACAAACTCTCTTTGCCTGTTGTCATCCACATAAAATGTGACTTGCTCCTCCTGGCATTCTGCCATGATTGTGAGGCCCTCCCACCACCACCCCCGCCCCCCCACCACCACCCCTGCCCCCCCCAGCCACATGGAACTGTGAGTCCAATTAAACCTCTTTCTTTCGTAAGTTGCCCAGTCTCAGGTATGTCTTTATCAGCAGCGTGTAAATGCACTAATACAAAAGCCTAAAGAACTGTGAGCTAACTAAACCTCTTTTGTTTATTAATTACCTAGTCTCAAGTATTTCTTTATAGCAATGTGAGAACAAGCTAACACAATGTGGAAAGTGCCTAGTTCAAGAAAAATGACCTACATATGTTGACATTTGGGGCTCCCTCCATGAAAAATACCAGCTAAGTACCTTGTCCCCACTATGAGAACCTCCCATCAACAAGCACAGTGCATGCCCACACAACTTCCATCCACTTTTTAGAGGTTCATTTTGAAATATGAATGGACCACATTGTATCTCAGGACACTTAGAGAATGCCTTTTTAGGAAAGACAGAGACCAAAACAAACAACCAGAAGACAATGGAAAAATAAAACAAAAACAGAGACAATGCAGGAAGTAGAAGAAAACTTTTCCAAAATCTATAATAAAAATCCCCAGAGAACTAAGAGCAAAATATTCACCATAACACTGGAGCAGGAGACTATAAAAAAGGAATGGAGAACAAGGAAAACTCTACAAAATTTAAAAATATAATTGCAAAAATGAAAATTTTAATAGAAGAACTGGAAAATGAGGTTGAGGACAATTTCCCAGGAAGTACAACAAAAACAAAAAAAGGAAAGCAAAACAGTGAGCTGAGATCACACCACTGCACTCCAGCCTGGGTGACAGAGCAAGACTCTGCCAAAAAAAAAAAAAAAAAAAGATACAGAAAGAAGGAGAAAAGAGATAGAGTCAATCTAAATGGGTATCTGACAAATTGAAGTACATAAAGAAAGAATAGACAAAAGGAGGGAGAACATTATTTATAACAAACAAAAATCATGAGATAATTTCCCAGAACTAGAGGAAATGAGTCTCTATATTGCAAGGGCCCATTTTCAATGAACGATAAAATTTAAGGACCCAGTTTGAAGGATATGTAGCTCAATGAACAAGAAAAGACCTGTACTGGCTGGGTGTAGTGGCTCCCACCTATAATCCCAGCACTTTGGGAGGCTGAGGTAGCAGGATCACTTGAGCCTAGGCGTTCAATATCAGCCTGGGCAACATGGCAAGACCCTGTCTCTACAAAAATAATTTTTTAAAAATTAAAAATTTTTAATTAAAAAATTTAATTAGGCTAGGTGCAGTGGCTCATGCCTGTAATCCCAGCCCTTTGGGAGGCCAAGGCGGGTGGATCACAAGGTCAAGAGATCGAGACCATCCTGGCCAACATGGTGAAACCTCGTCTCTACTAAAAATATAAAAATTAGCTGGGCGTGGTGGCTGGCACCTGTAGTCCCAGCTACTCAGGAGGGTGAGGCAGGAGAATCACTTGAACCCGAGAGGTGGAGGGTGCAGTGAGCTGAGATTGTACCACTGCACTCCAGCCTGGCAACAGAGTGAGACTCCATCTCAAAAAAAAAAAAATTAATTAATGGTACTCAATCATGGTCCCAGCTACTTAGGAGGCTGAAGTGAGAGGATCTCCTGAGCAGGGAGGTTAAGGCTGCAGTGAGCCTGATTGCACCACTGCACTCCAGCCTGGGTGACAGCAAGACCCTGTCAAATCAAAAAAACAAAACAAAAAAACCCTTGCCAAGATTATTTCATAGCATCCAGGATAAAAAGATCCTAAACTCTTCCAAAAAGAAGGAAAAGATCACAAACAGATGATTAGGAATCAAATCAATATTGCAATTCTCAGTAAAGCACTGAAGCTATTAGACAGTGGAATAAAATTTTCAAAACTCTGAGGGTGGCCAAGCTCAGTGGCTCACACCTATAATCCCAGTATTTCGGGAGGCTGAGGTGAGAGGATCACTTGAGCCCAGAAGTTCAAGATGAGCCTGGGCAACTTAGCAAGACCCTATCTCTACAAAATAATTAAAAAATTAGCTGAGTGTGGTGGCATATACCTGCAGTCCCAACTACTTGAGGGGCGGAGGTGGGAGGAACTTTTGAGTCCAGGAGTTTGATGCTGCAATGAGCTTTGATTGTGCCTCTGCACTTCAGCCTAGGCAACAGAGCAAGACTGTGTCTCAAAAAAAAAAGAAAATTCTGAGGGAGAGTGATTTTAAACTAGGAATTCTATACCCAACTAAACTGTTAATCAAATATGAGAGTAAAATAAGACAATTCCAGACAACTTAAAAACTTTACTTGCCAAATGTACTTTCTCAAGAAATACTGAAGAAAATAAAACAAGAGAGTTAGTCAAGAAAAAGGGAAGGAAATGGGAGCCAGAAAGTAAAGGACTCAACACAGTACACAGTCAAAGGGAATTCCCCCAACAAAGGTCAAGGCGAGTGAATCTCAGCACAACAGCCTTGCAAAAGGTCAGAAAGCGCCAGATCTGGTGTGAAGCAGGAAGTCCCAGGGCACCAGGGGAGCTAGTAACTTGAGAGATTTTCTGATGGAGAGGAACTGGGTTCAGAAGAACTTGAAGTTCTGACAGAGTGTTTGAGAAAAAAGTTGAAAGAGGTTGTCTGTAGGGCATAGGCATGAGATGGGAGGAAATGAAGCAGAAGGCTGTTGTTTTTCATTATACATTTAAAGAACAATATGTCATAAAATTATGTACTGTAAGAAATATAAATTTTTTTTGAGACAGGCTCTCACTCTGTGACCCAGGCTGGAGTGCAGTGGCATGATCACAGCTCACTGCAGCCTCAAACTCCCAGGCTCAAGGAATCCTCCCACCTCAGCCTCCCGAGTAGCTGGGACTATAGGCATGTGCCACCACACCTGGCTAATTTTTGTATTTTTTTGTAGAGACAGGGTTTCACCATGTTGCCCAGGCTGATCTCAAACTCCTGGGCTCAAGTGATCTACTTGTCTTGGCCTCCCAAATTTTTGGGATTACAGGCATGAGCCACCACACTGGGCCAAGAAATGTAAAATTGTTAAATAATTTTAAATCATGAGAGGAACTTTAGAAATAGACAGTATACATTTAGGGAAAAAATAATGTTTAGAAGTAGGAGTGCTTAGAGGTAGGAATGCTTTATTTTATTTCAGAGGACCTGCCGAGACCAGCTCAGTCGGGGAGACCCTAACCAGCAGCGCTAGAGGAATTAAAGACACACGCACAGAAATATAGAGGTGTGAAGTGGGAAATCAGGGGTCTCACAGCCTTCAGAGCTGAGAGCTCCGAACAGAGATTTACCCACGTATTTATTAACAGCAAGCCAGTCATTAGCATTGTTTCTATAGATATTCAATTAACCAAAAGTATCCCTTATGGGAAACGAAGGGATGGGCCGAAATAAAGGGGTGGGTCTGCCTAGTTATCTGCAGCAGGAACATGTACTTAAGGCACAGATCGCTCATGCTCTTGTTTGTGGTTTAAGAATGCCTTTAAGCGGCTTTCCACCCTGGGTGGGCCAGGTGTTCCTTGCCCTCATTCCGGTAAACCCACAACCTTCCAGCGTGCGCGTTATGGCCATCATGAACATGTCACAGTGCTGCAGAGATTTTGTTTATGGCCAGTTGTGGGACCAGTTTATGGCCAGATTTTAGGAGGCCTGTTCCCAACAAAGACCATGGCCTATAATTTCCTCACTTTACTCCTAGGAAGACAGATGGCCAACACTGAATTTTCTATTTCAGTTACTGCTGGCATGGGAAAATGAGTCACCAAAATTCACAGATTCCTCCTCATTGCGTAATAACTAAAACGAATGTTTGGGTTTCCGGTGGCACCAGCTCTTATTTCTCAGTTCAGCACACCCTTAAACCTCCGTCCTAAAGGATTGAGCATTGTTTTAGATGCTTGGGAATGGGCAAAAGAGATCACAATTTGAGTGTGTGTGACCCCCCCAAAATTCATATGTTGAAACCTAATCCCCAATGAGATGGTATTAGAAGGTGGGGCCTTTGGGAGGTAATTAAGTCATGAAAGTGGCCCCTTGGGAATGGGAGTAGTGCCCTTTTATTTATTTTATTATTATTATTATTTTTTTTTTTTGAGATGGAGTCTCTCTCTGTTGCCCAGGCTGGAGTGCAGTGGTGCGATCTCCACTGCAACCTCTGCTTCCCAGGTTCAAGCAATTCTCGTGTCTCCGCCTCCCAAGTAGCTGGAATTACAGGTGCCTGCCACCACACCTGGCTAATTTTTGTATTTTAGGTAGAGATGGGGTTTCACTATGTTGGCCAGGCTAGTCTCAAACCCCTGACCTCAAGTGATCCACCCGCCTCAACCTCCCAAAGTGCTGGGATTACAGGCATGAGCCACCGCGCCTGGCCTTAGTGCCCTTTTAAAAGGAGCCTCAGAGAGATCCCTGGCCCCTTCCACGCTGTGAGGACAGAGGGAGAAGATGGGCATCCATGAATCAGGAAGCAGGCCCTCAGCAAACGTGGACTCTGCTGGCACCTTGACCACCGGCTTTCCAGTTTCCAGAACTGTGAGAAATAAATATCAGTTGTTTATTAGCTACCTAGTCTAAGCTATGTTGTTATAGTAGTCTGAACAGACTAAAATGCCAGGCATTCACTCATTGCAGCAGGTTGGGCTTAACATTTCATTGTCAGAGCTATTTTGCAAGTCTGTAGGAACAATGATTAACTTGTAGAATTTTGTCTCATGGGAATGCAAACTAGTTTCTGTCCAGTGGAACAGATAATCCCACAGGTTATAGTTTTTGGCCCTGTTGGACATTAATCAGTTCCATTCCTGAACCAGCAATGTATAAAATTGCCAATCTATAACTAGTTTCTTAAATGCTTATACTATCTTATTAATTACCACATTTTACTTGTGCCCTTATAATTAATGAGTTAACTAAATCTTTGACATATTTTCAGTTTATATTTGCATAAGATTCATGATTTTACCTTTCTGAAAATTATACCTTAACAATGACTAAGATTAAATCGATAAAAACATTTTTGAAATTCTAATTATTGGAACCAGTCTTTCAAACCCACAGTTACAGAAATTGACTTTCTTTTTCTAACCAAAGCAACTAAGTAGAAGAAACAGATTGGGTTTCATCTTCTTTCCTGTTCTGGTTGGAGATGCTAATTATGTTACAGGAAAGGGGTCCCAATCCAGACCCCAAGAGAGGGTTCTTGGATCGTGCACAAGAAAGAATTCGAGGAGAATCCATAAAGTGAAAGCAAGTTTATTAGGGAAGTAAAGAAACAAAAGAATGTCTACTCCCTGGGCAGAGCAGCAGCATGGGCTGCTTGATTGAGTATACTTGTAGTTATTTCTTGATTATATGCTAAATAAGGGCTGGGTTATTCATGAGTTTTTCAGCAAAAAGGTGGACAATTCCCAGAACTGTGGTTTCCTCCCTTTTAGACCAGATACAATAGCTTCTTGACATTGTCATGGCATCTGTAAACTATCATGGTGCTGGTGGGAGTGTCTTTTAGCATGGTAATGCATTATAATTTGCGTATAATGAGCAGTGAGGACGATCAGAGGTCACTTGCATCACCATCTTGGTTTTGGCCAACTTCTTTACCAAAACCCGTTTTATCAGCAAGGTCTCTGTGACCTGTATCTTGTGCCAACCTCCCATCTCATCCTGTGACTAAGAATGCCTAAACCTCCTGGGAATGCAGCCTAGTACGTCTCAGCCTTATTTTACTCAGCCCCTATTCAAAATGGAGTCACTCTGGTTCAAACGCCTCTGACAATTAGACTCAATCACTCAACACAATAACAACAAAAAGATTTCCTGGGAGAGCTGTCTACACTCATGAGATGGTCCCAGTCTTCACAAACTTTACAAAATAAATGAGAAAAAGGAAAGACCCAGTGTCAAAATGAGTCTTGGAAGCAGTGATTTCTCTAAGATTCTGGAGGAAGACAAGACCACCTTCTAGATGGGTGGTGTAACTGTAATAGGTTTGTTGCCCAATGCACACAGCAAGTCAAAATGCTGAGATACCAGATTGCAGCAGAGAAACAGGTTTGATCACAGGGTCACCAAATGAACAGATGGGAGGGAACCTCAAATTCATCTCCCGGAGGAGTTTGGGGCTAGAGTTTTTAAGGGTTTTGGAGTGGTCCAAAGTGTGGAGATTGTTGATTGGTTGAAGAGTACAGGGTGAAGTCATGAGCCAGGGAGAGGAAGAAGCTGTATTCTCAGGCTGATCCTGCTCCTCTAGTGGGGCAGGTGGGGGATCTTCAAACTGGTTGCTAAGATTTGATGTCGAAAAACATCTTAAATGATCCTTAAACAAAAGCCTTATGACTCTGGCCAGGCTAAGTGGCTCATGCGTATAATCTCAGCACTTTGGGAGGCTGAGGTGGGAGGATTGATTGAGGCCAGGAGTTCCAGACCAGCCTGTTCAACATAGCAAGTCCTCATCTCTACAAAAAATTAAAAATTAGCCAAGTATGATAGTGCACACTGTCACATGCGTCCAAGTGAAAAGACCACCAAACAGGCTTTGTGTGAGCAACAAAGTTTTTAATCACCTGAGTGCTGGCAGGCTGAATCCGAAAAGAGAGTCAGAACTGGAATTGGAAGGACAGGGAGATTGAAGGCTAGCGAGAGAGGATAGAGAAGAGAGTGAAAAGACCCCTTAACCGATGTGAAATTGGTGAGATGTTCCTTGGGCTGGTTGGTCTGAGGACCCAAGGTTGTAGGTGGATCTCTTCACGGAGTGAGGGTGAGGACCGGGGACTGGTCTCCCGAAGGAGTCCCTCTGTCCCAGGTCTTTGGCACCAAAAGTCACGCGCGTCCGAGTGAAGAGACCACCAAACAGGCTTTGTGTGAGCAATAAAGCTTTTTAATCACCTGGGTGCAGGTGGGCTGAGTCCGAAAATAGAGTCAGCAAAGGATGGTGGGATTATCATTAGTTCTTATAGGTTTTGGGGTAGGCGGTGGAGTTAGGAGCAATGTTTTGTGGGCCGGGGGTGGATCTCACAAAGTACTTTCTTAAGGGTGGAGAGAATTACGAAGAACCTTCTTAAGGGTGGGGGAGATTACAAAGAACCTTCTTAAAGGTGGGGGAGATTACAAAGTACATTGATCAGTTAGGGTGGGGCAGAAACAAATCACAATGGATGGTGGAATGTCATCAGTTAAGGCTATTTTCATTTCTTTTGTGGATCTTCAGTTGCTTCAGGCCATCTGGATGTATACATGAAGGTCACAGGGGATGTGTTGGCTTAGCTTGGGCTCAGAGGCCTGACACACACCTGTAGTCCCAGCTGCTCAGGAGGCTGAGGCAGGAGGATAGCTTGAGCCTGGGGGGGTTAAGGCTGCCGCAAGCTATGATTGTGCCATTGCACTCTAGCCTGGCAACAGAGCAGACCTTGTCTCAAAAGAAAAAAGCCTATGATTCTAACGGCAGAGATCCTATCTATAGGAACAATAGAAATGCAAATCAGTTCTGTTTTTTGTTTGTTTGTTTGTTTGTTTGTTTGTTTGTTTTTGAGAAGGAGTTTTGCTCTTGTTTCCCAGGCTGGAGTGCAGTGGCTCCACCTCAGCTCACTGCAACCTCCGCCTCCCAGGTTCAAGCAATTCTCCTGCCTCAGCCTCCCAAGTATCTAGGATCACAGGCATGCGCCACCACACCTGGCTAATTTTTTTTGTAGTTTTAGTAGAGATGGGGTTTCTCTATGTTGGTCAGGCTGGTCTCTAACTCCTGACTTCAGATGATCTGCCCACCTCAGCCTCCCAAAGTGCTGGGATTACAGGCATGAGCCACCGCGCCCGGCCTCTGTCTCTTTTCTTATAAGGATGCCAGTCTTATTGGATCAAGGCCCACCTGTATTTAACCTTAATCACCTCCTCAAAGGCCCTATCTCCAAATATTTGGAATGGTACCGGAGATTAAGACTTAAATGAATTTGGTGGCCAGGTACGATGGCTCACACCTGCAATCCTAGCACTTTGGGAGGCTGAGGCAGGCAGATTGCTGGAGCTCAGGAGTTCAAGACCAACCTGGGCAACAGAGTGAGACCCCCACATCTCTACAAAATAAAAAAATTAGCTGGGTATGGTGGTGCCACCTATAGTGCCACCTACTCAGAGAAGGCTGAGGCAGGAGGATCACTTGAGCCCAGGAGGTAGAGGCTGCAGTGAGCAGTGATTGTGCCACTGCACTCCAGCCTGGGTGACAGAGTGAGACACTGTCTCAAACAAACAAACAAAACCCCCAAAAATACAAATGTGGGGCAGTGGGTGAGGTTGGTGGGGGGAGCAGCACAATTCTATCCATAACACATGGTAAAAATGCAAGCAATACACAATGATTCACACTGAAAAATCTATCTCCCACCTACAGCTCCTCCAGTCCTACTGTATGAAATACATGTTATCATTCACATTCTACATGTCTGGGAATGTAAGTACTTTGAGGCTGAGACCATGTGGTATAATCGTTGCAAAAAAAAAAAAAAAAAAAAAAAAAAAAAAGAAAGCAGTGTGTCTTGCGCAGGCCTGCAGAGGGAAGTGAGCCCTGGACTTTACAGACCAATATTCCCCTTGACCTCTGCCATCCTCAGAACAGAATGAGGGAGTGGTAAGAGGAGAGCCTGCTGTTTGCTGAGAACACACTTCCTGGGTGGGTACAGCTCTAGGCAGAGGAGAAAAATGGGAAGGAACCATCATCAGGCATAATTCGTCACTTTTTAAAGAGGAAAAGACCAGGGAAGAAAAACTAACAAACAAATTAAGTGGCCTGGAGACTTTCTAAAGTCTTTTAACCTAGTGGGCAAAATAATATATTGGTTACTGTATCTACATTTTGAAAATACTATTGGCCGGGCGCAGTGGCTCACGCCTGTAATCCCAGCACTTCGGGAGGCCAAGACAGATGGATCACAAGATCAGGAGTTCAAGACCAGTCTGGCCAACATAGTGAAACCCCATCTCTACTGAAAATACAAAAATTAGCCAGGCTTGGTGGCACGTTCCTGTAATCCCAGCTACTTAGGAGGCTGAGGCGGGAGAATTGCTTGAACCTAGGAGGTGGAGGTTGCAGTGAGCCGAGATCACGCCACTGCACTCCAGCCTAGGTAACAGAACAAGACTCGGTCTCAAAAAAAAAAAAAAAGAAAGAAAAGAAAAGAAAAGGAAATACTGTTAATTTTACGTTTGCATACACTTTTTTGAAGATTTAAAAAAATAAGAGCTTTACTGAGACAACTCACAATCATAAAATTCACCCTTTTAAACTATACAACCCAGTGGTTTTTAGTATATTCACAAAGTTGTACAACCATCACCACTATCTAATTCCAGAACATTTTCATCAAATATTCTAAAAGAAACTCTACCCATTAATAGTCACTCCTATTCCCCATTGGCCCCAGCCTCTGGCAACCTCCATTCTGCTTTCTATAGATTTGTCCATTCTGGACATTTCGTATAAATGAAATCATACAATATGTTGCCTTTTCTGTCTGACTTCTTTCACTTAGTTTAAAGTTTTCAAGGTTTATCAATGTTGTAGCATGTAGTACTCTATTCCTTTTTGTGGCTGAGTAACATTCCATTGTATGCATATGTCATATTTTGTTTGTCCATTCATCAGTTGATGGGCATTTGGATGGTGTAGTTGGCCATTCTTGCATTGCTATAAAGAGATACCTAAGACTACGTAATTTATAAAGCAAAGAGGTTTAATTGGCTCACAGTTCTGCAAGCTGTACCAGCATGGTACTGGCATCTTCTTGGCTTCTGAGGAGGCCTCAGGAAGGTTTTACTCAAGGTGGAAGGCACAGAGGGAGCAGGTGTATCACATCGTGAAAGCAGGAGCAAGAAAGAGAGTGTAGGGGGAGATGCCACAAACTTTTAAATGAACAGATCTCTCAAGAACTCACTCACTATCATGAGGACAACACCAAGAGGATGGTGCTAAACCATTCATGAGAATTCTACCGCCATGATCCCATCACCTCCTACCAGGTTATATCTTCAACACAGGGGATTACAATGCAACATAAGAATTGGCAGGGACATATATTCAAACTCTATCAGATTGTTTCCATTTTGTGGCTATTATGCATAATATTGCTATGAACATTCATGTACAAGATTTTTTGGGAGCATATGTTTTCACTTCTCTAAGGTATATACCTAGGGGTGGAATTGTTAGGTCAAATAGAAACTCTATGTTTAACTTTTTGAAGAGCTACCTACAACACTGTTCTCCACAGTGGTTGCATTATTTTACATCTCTACCAGCAATGTATGAAGCTTCCAATTTCTCCATATCCTTACTAAAATTTGTTATTGCCTTTTTTTTTTTTGGTCACCCAGGCTGGAGTGCAGTAGCGCAATCATGGCTCACCGTAGCCTCGAACTCCTGGGCTCGAATGATACTCCTGCCTCAGCCTCTCAAGTAGCTAGGACTATAGACACACATCATCACACCCATCTAATTTTTAAGTTTTTTGTAGAGGCCAGGTGTGGTGGCCTTTGGGAGATCAAGGCATGCGGGATCACTTGAGGTCAGGTGTTTAAGACCAGCCTGGCCAACATGGTGAAACCTCATCTCTACTAAAAATACAAAAATTAGCCAGGTGTGGTAGTGCATGCCTGTAGTCCCAGCTACTTAGGAGGCTGAGGCAGGAGATTCACTTGAGCCCAGGAGGCGGAGGTTGCAATGAGCTGAGATGATGCCACTGCACTCCAGACTGGGCAAAAGAGCTAGACTTTGTCTATAAATAAATAAATAAGTAACTTTGTTGTAGAGACAAGGTCTCCATATGTTGTCCAGGCTGGTCTTGAACTCCCGGGCTCAAGCAATCCTCCTGCCTCAGCCCCGCAAAATGCTGGGATTATAGGCGTGAGCCACCACGCCTGGTCATTATTGTCTTTTTGATTATAGCCATCATAGTCAATGTGAAGTGGTACCCCATTATGGTTTTCTTAATAGCTAATGTTGTTGAGCATCTTTTCAAGTGTTTATTAGTCATTGGTAGATCTTCTTTGAAGCACTGTCTATTCAGATCCTTTACCCATTTTTAAAATGGGTTTTCATTTTATTATTGAGCTGTAATAGTTCTTTACATATTCTAGATACAAGTCTGTACTCATTTGCTCCGGCTGCCAAAACAAAATACCACAGCTCAAACATAAGAAATTTATTTTCTCACAGCACAGCTCTGGAGTCTGGAAGTCCAAGATCAAGGTGCCAGCGGGGTTTGTTTCTGGTGAGGCTTCTCTCTTTGGTTTGTAGACAATAACCTTTTTCTCTGTGCTCGAGCACCCCTGGTGTCTCTTCCTCTTCTTCTTATTTTTTTTTTTTTTCCGAGATGGAGTCTTGCTCTGTTGCCCAGGCTGGAGTGCAGTGGCATGATCTCAGCTCACTGCAAGCTCCACCTCCCAGGTTCATGGCATTCTCCAGCCTCAGCCTCCCAAGTAGCTGGGACTACAGGCACCTGCCACCACTCCCGGCTAATCTTTTGTATTTTTAGTAGAGATGGGGTTTTGCCGTGTTAGCCAGGATGGTCTCGATCTCCTGACCTCGTGATCCGCCTGCCTCAGCCTCCCAAAGTGCTGGGATTACAGGTGTGAGCCACCACGCCCGGCCTTTTTTTTTTTTTTTTTTTTTTTTGACAGAGTTTCACTCTTGTTGCCCAGGCTAGAGTGCAATGGTGCGATCTCAGCTTACTGCAACCTCTGCTTCCCAGGTTCAAGCAATTCTCCTGCCTCAGCCTCCCAAGTAGCTGGGATTACACGGATGCACCACCACGCCTGGCTTATTTTGTATTTTTAGTAGAGATGGGGTTTCACCATGTTGGTCAGGCTGGTTTTGAACTCCTGACCTCAAGTGATCCACTGGCCTTGCCTCCGAAAGTGCTGGGATTATAGGCATGAGCCACCGCGCCCAGCCTCTTCCTCTTCTCATAAGCACACCAGTCCTATTAAATTAGGACCCAACATTTATGCTGTCATTTAACCTCAATTACCTTGTTAAAGGCCTTAACTCCAGATATTGTCACATTAGGGGTGAGGGCTTCAATTTATGAATTTGTGGAGGGCACAGTTACATTCATAACAAAATCTCTTATTGGATATATGATTTCGAAAAATTGCTTCCCACGTGGATTGTCTTTTCGCTTTCTTGATGCTGTCTTTTGAAGAGCAAATGTTTTTAATTTTTGTAATGTTCAGTTTACCTATTTTTTCTTTTGTTGTTGTTTGTACTTTTGGTGCCATATGTAAGAAACCTAAAGTCATGAAGATGTACACTTATGTATGCTTCTAAGAATTTATAGTTTTAACTTTTAAATTTATGGGTTTTTTTTTTCCATTTTGAGTTAATTTTTCATGTGGTTGAGGTAGGGGTTCAATGTCATTCTTTTACGTGTAAATATCCAATTGTCCCACAACCAATGTGACATGTTAAAAAGATTATTTTCCCATTAAATTGTCTTGGGACATTTGCTGAAAATCAATTGACTATAATGTAAACATTTATTTCTGGATTTTCAAGTCTATTCCATTGATCTACATGTCTACGCCTATGTCAGTATTACATAGTCTTGATTATTGTAGCTATGTTTGTTTTGAAATTAGAAAATGTGAGTCCCGGCTGGGCGCGGTGGCTCACGCCTGTAATCCCAGCACTTTGGGAGGCTGAGGCGGGCGGATCACGAGATCAGGAGACAGAGACCATCCTGGTTATCATGGTGAAACCCCGTCTCTATAAAAATATGAAAAATTAGCCAGGCATGGTGGCGGGCGCCTGTAGTCCCAGCTACTCCGAAGGCTGAGGCAGGAGAATGGCGTGAACCTCGGAGGCAGAGCTTGCAGTGAACCGAGATTGTGCCACTGCACTCCAGCCTGGGGTGACAGAGCGAGACTCCCTCTCAAAAAAAAAAGGAATGTGTGAGTCCTCCAACTTTATTCTTTTTCAAGATTGTTTTCGCTACTCTCAGTTTCTTGCATTTCCACAGGAATTTGAGATCAGCTTGTCAATTTCCATTAAAAAAAAAAAAAAAAAGCCAGGTAGGATTTTGATAGGAATTGCACTGAATCTGTAGATCACTTTGAATAATATTGCCATTTTAATAATATTAACTCTTATAATCTATGATCATATGTATGTTTTTCACTTATTTAGGTCTACTTTAATTTCTTTCAAAAACATTTTGTAGTTTCTAGCATTCAAATCTTATACTTCTTTTGTTAAGCTTATTCCAAAGTATTTGATTATTTTAGATGCTATCCTAAATGGAATTTGCATAAACATTGTTAAATGGAGTTAACTTTGTTTTTTTTTTAAAGTTTTTGTAGAGATGAGGTCTCACTATGTTGCCCAGGCTGGTCTCAAACTCCTGGGCTCAAAGGATCTTCCCACCTTGGCCTTCTAAAGTGCTGGGATTACAGGTACAAGCCACCACACCCAGCCAAAATGGAGTTAACATTTAGTTAAATGTTTATGGGAAAAAGAGTTACAGTTTTAAAAGTTAGAGTTTTACAGGTGATTTTCTTGTAGTGGCAATCATTAAAACTTCCCCACAAAATTTTCCTATTGGTTTTTCATCACTTTGCTCACATTTTCCTTTCCTTTCTACCCATACCTTTGCCTTAATACACTCAAGACATGTATGGACAAGCTCTAAGCGGTCTAAGGTGAACAAAAGAAAAGGGAAGGAGAATAAACAAGACCAACTGTTTCTGTTTGCCTAACAGCTGAGGCCTTTTTTATCTAGCCTCGTACATGCAAACTGCACCATGTAAGATGTTATATCCCAAGCTTCTTCCTCGAAAAAAATTGCCTAAATAGAGAAACATGCCTACGGAAGTCAAGAGCTTTCTGCAATTTGCATTTGTGCTGTATTAATTGTGGCTGAGGCCCACCTCAGCCATAGGCAAAAAAGCTGCCATCCGTAAGATCCATTTTCATGCATTTAAAGAACAAACTACTCAGGAATGATTCCCTTACCTGAGTGAGTTTGGTACTTACAGACCCCAGCTTCCAGAATGGAGGTTGATTCCTTCTGCTTGAGGCATTAGGGATTAAAAGCAGTTGGCTCTGAGAAGGCTTATTTAGTAAACCTTAGAAATCTTTTACACCTGAGTGTTTTTACTTCCCCCATGAGGTCTCCAAAGCATTTTTCAACTGAGAAAAGGGCAGGAGAGTATCTGACCAGGCAGAGCAAACTCGCTCCTGTACCTAAAACACCTGCTCTGACCACAACTGCAACTCACAAGTTAGAGCATGCTCCAGGTGCAGAGGACAGTGCGAGGATGTGATTTAAGCATTAGATCCAGCCTCCTTGTCCTCATATTTCACCACTGATGAGCAACACTTCTAGTTGGAACTGATTTTCCGTAATCTTGCCTTTCCTGGTCTCCATGGGTGTGAAATACACCAAAAAAGCATAAAATGGCCTAACAAGGAAAAAGTAGAGAAATAAAGTGTCGACAAAAAGAATCAAAGTCTGTAAAATATTTGCAGATTTATTCTGAGCCAAATATTACAGCAGGACAAGCTGCAGACAAAACCCCTCAGACACCGAGTTAAAGAAGGAAGGGCTTTATTAGGCCGGGAGCTTTGGCAAGACTCATGTCTCCAACAACTGAGCTCTCCGAGTGAGCAATTCCTGTCCCTTTTAAGGGCTCACAACTCTAAGGGGTCTGCGTGAGAGGGTCATGATCAATTGAGCAAGCAGGGGGTACATGACTGGGGGCTGCATGCACCGGTAATCAGAACAGAACAGGACAGGGATTTTCACAGTGCTTTTCTATATAATGTCTGTAATCTATAGATAACATAACCGATTAGGTCAGGGGTCGATCTTTAACTACCAGGCCCAGGGTGTGGCGCCGGGCTGTCTGCTTGTGGATTTCATTCCTGCCTTTTAGTTTTTACTTCTTTCTTTGGAGGCAGAAATTGGGCATAAGACAATATGAAGGGTGGTCTCCTCCCTTAATATGAGTGACCGATGGCCTGTGACACAGCCCTCAGGAGATCCTGAGGATATGTGCCCAAGGTGGTTGGGCTACAGCTTGGTTTTAAACATTTTAGGAAAACATACGACATCAATCAATACATGTAGGATGTACGCTGATTTGGTCTGGAAAGGCAGGACAACTCAAAGCAAGGTGGGGCTTTCAGGTCACAGGTGGATTCAAAGACTTTCTGATTGGCAATTGGTAGAAAGAGGTTAAGTTATTGTCTAAAGATCTAGAATCAATAGAAGGGAATGTCTGGGTTAAGATAAGGGGTTGTGGAGACCCCTTAATTGTTCCCCTTAAATGAGAACCGAGGTTCCCATTACACAATATAAGCCTCCAGGTAGCAGGCTTCAGAGAGAATAGATTGTAGATGTTTCTTATCAGAGTTGATTCTCTCCTGGATCAAGAAAGAGGCCTCTAAAAGAAAGAGGATTCTCTTCAGAATGTAGATTTTCCCCACAAGAGACAGCTTTGCAGGATTATTTCAAGATATGGCAAAGAAACATAATTTGGGGGCAAAATACTTCAATTTCTTTCAGGGCCTCTTACCTGTGATGTGATGCTATACTAGAGTTAGGCTGGAATTCGATATCTCTTATTGCTACAAAAGGTCTGTTTTGTCAGTCTTGGGATCTGTTTTAATGTTAATGCTGGTCAGCTGTGCCTGAACTTCATAAGGGAGGAGGGTATAATGAGGTATATCTGACTCCTCCTTTCCATCATGGCCTGAACTAGTTTTTCAGGTTAACTCTGGAATGCCCTTGGCTGACAGGAAGGATCCATTCAGATGGCTGGGGACTTAGAATTTTATTTTTAGTTTTCAAAAGTCAGACAGCCCACAACCTAGGCAATCCATCTCCTGATATATGGAGACTGACTAGTTGAAAATCGTCAAGACTGTGGTTTTAATGGAGTTTTATGATAGAAGCCAGGTGCATAGTACTATAAATTGAGCCACTTCTTAACCATATCTTAAGCCAAAATATTAGGGGTCACAAGTCCCCTAAATAATGTGCAATTTGGAAATAACATCTAGATGTAACCCCAGACTTGTCCGAAGGTGTCATTCTTCTGCTATGTCACCAAAATTCCAACACTCAAAATTGATCTCTGATGTGGTTTGGCTGTGTCCCCACCCAGATCTCATCTTGAATTGTAATCCCATAATCCCCACATGTCATGGGAGGGACATGATGGAGGTAATTGAATCATGGGGGTGGTTTCCCCATGCTGTTCTTGTGATACTGAGTTTGTTCTCAGGAGATCTGATGGTTTTATAAGGGGCTTTTTCCTCCTTCACTCAGCACTTCTCCTTCCTGCTGCCATGTGAAGAAGGACGTGTTTGCTTCCCCTTCCACCATGATTGTAAGTTTCCTGAGGCCTCTGCAGCCATGCAGAACTATGAGTCAATTAAGCCTCTTTCCTTTATAAATTACCCAGTCTCGGGTATGTCCTTATAGCAGCATGAGAAGGGACTAATACAATTTCCAGTCACTGATAGAACATCAGGAAAAAGCCAAACCTGTAAATAAGGGAAAAGCAGAAACCCTCTAAAAAATACTCTGAGCTTGAATATTCAATATTTTGTTCTAGCATTATGTAGCTGTGATACACATGAGGGTTTTTGTCTACCTGAATTGTCTGAGGTCTGGTGCCATATACAGGATATTCCTGAGAACTTTCTTTGAAAGAGCATATGTCAGGCTGGGCTTTATCTTCCACAACAACTGTAAAAAAAAATTAACATTATTAATGGAAAATTATTTTTTTTTTCTGCTGGCATGCCGTGGTGTAATCCTAGCTCATTGCAGCCCCAAATTTCTGGGCTCAAGGGATCATCCTGCTTCAGCTTCCTCAGTAGCTGGGACTACAGGTGTGTGCCACCATGCCTGGCTAATATTTTTATTTCTTGTAAAGACGAGGTCTTACTGTGTTGCCCAGGCTGGTCACAAACTCACAGCTTCAAGCTATCCTCCCATCTCAGCCTCCCAAAGTGCTAGGATTACAGGCGCAAGCCACCAAGCCTGGCTGGAAAGCTATTTCTTGAGTGTACTTTCTTTAACTGGATATCTAGCACAATTTACCCCAATACCCGTCCAGAAGAAGAAGTACTTTTCGCTTTAAAAATAGAGCCACAGATGCTCATACTTGATCCAAAGAATAAACCTTGAATGTGGTCCTAGGGCTTCTGATTCCCTGCTCCAGAATCCATGGAAGCTGGGAGAGGGGACGGTTCTCAGAGTGAAAATCTGGCCCCCTACTGGCAGCTTTGGGAAGTCTGAGAGGTCCTGGACATGTGGGAGTTAAACTGGACTCTGAGCTATAGTTTTCCTTTCAAATGTTTCCATTTTGATAAAGCCATCGGGGCAGAGACTGCTGGCTGTCCAACAAAACTGGCCCTCCTTTCTACTTGGACCCAAGGCTGGAGTCTATTTTCCAGCTTCCTTTGTAGTCTGGAGTGGCCATGAGATCAAATGCTTGCCAGTGGAAGTAGAAAAGAAAGATAGGTCCCTATTCCAGGCTTGGCGTGTAAAGCCCCTCATGTGGTCTTCTCCATGCCCTTTGCCTCCTTCCTTCTAGCTGGGATGGTACCAATCAGAGCCCCTCTGGATGCCAAGTAGGAGAGATGGCAGGGCTACCAGGAGCCTGGGCCCCTGAGTGACTGTGTGGAGCAGAGTCCTGCTGACCTAGAACTCCTGCATTGGACTATTAGTGAGAGAAAGAAAGTGTCTGCCTTGAACTATCACATGTTAAGGCCTGTTGGTTGCAGCAGTTTAGCTTTTGACCCAAGTCACTGACATCACATTAATCACTTTTACTGTTTACCCTCTGTGATATTATGACAGAGGGTCATAATTTACTGTTTACCCTCTGTGATATTATTATATATTTGGTCTTCCTACCATTTTCTGGCATATAACTCCTAAAATCCTTGAAATCTCCAGAGTGCTATCTTTTTGTGTGTTAATGATGACTGACAGCTCAACATTAGGGATGGGGCTGGTCACTGGAAAGACCAAGGCAGGATTAGAGAGTTGGGACTTTCAGCCCTACCCCTGCCCTCCAGGAAGGGAAGAGGGGCTGAAGGTTAAGTTGATCATCAATGGCTAATTGTTTAATCAATCATGCCTATGTAATGAAGCCTCCATAAAAACCCAAGAGGACAGGGTTCAGAGTGTTTCCAGAAAGTTGAACACATGAAGGTTCCTGGAGGGTGGTGCCCTGGAGAGGGCATGGAAGCTCCATGCCCCTTCCCTTAAACCTTGTACTACACATCTCTTCATCTGTATCCTTTGTAATATCCTTTATAATAAGCCAGTAAACATAAGTGTTTCCCTGAGTTCTGTGAGCCACTCTATTAAATTAATTGAACTCAAAGACAGGGTTGTAGGAACCCCAACTTGAAGCCAGTTGGTCAGAAGTTCCAGATGCTCGGACTTGCAACTGGTGTCTGAAGGTGAGGGGGCAGTTTTGGGGACTGAGCCCTCAACCTGTGGGATCTGATACTATCTCCCATGTTAAGAGAAAACCAAATCCTGTAAAATATTTTAAAGAGGTTTATTCTGAGCCAATATGAATGACCGCAGCCTGGAGGAAAAATGAACCCAAGAAGCCTTGAATAAGTGGTTCCGAGGTGGTCAGGTTACAGTTTAGTTTTATGTATTTTAGGGAGATGGGAGTTACAGCTTTTAAGTCACTGAAGTTCTGCTATCCAGAGTCACCCTCCCTTCTCCCTCTAGTCGCGGTCCCCTCAGCTTCTCCCATACTTGGAGAAATAGTAGAAGGGGGCTGAGTGTGGTGGCTCATGCCTGTAATCCTGGCACTTTGGGATGCCGAAGTGGGTGGATCACTTGAGGTCAGGAGTTTGAGACCAGTGTGGCCAACATGGCAAAACTCCATCTCTACTAAAAATACAAAAATCAGCCGGGCGTGGTGGTGCACGCCTGTAGTCCCAGCTACTCGGGAGGCTGAGGCAGGAGAATTGCGTGAACCTGGGAAGCAGAGGCTGCAGTGAGCTGAGACTGCACCACTGCAGTCCAGCCTGGGCGACAGAACAACCCTTTTGTCTTAAAAAAAAAAAAATATATATATATATATATATATATATATATATATATGAGGGAGGAAAGGGCAGTCAGACTTCACAGAAGGGCTGGAACACAGGTGTTTTCCAGTGGGGTAGATTCCTGTCAGGGGTAGTGTTTCCCACCGTGGGAAGCTATCAACCCCCAGGTTTTCCCTCCCACTCCCAGTCCCACCCCCGCCCCAGCCCCCACTGAGCCAGCTGGCATGTGAAATAGGAACCTCTTCAGCTCCACTTCCAGCTTCTGCAGAGTTAACAGTAATGCAAGCTAAGGGGGTTGCCAAGGTGACTTGGTGGGTCTGCGGTGAACAGAGAGTGGAACCGAAGGCTCCTGTTCCCAAGGTGTCCTTGTCACCACACACGCAGCCCTTTCACTCCATAAAAGAGAGGAGGGCATGCTGCCACATGCTCAGAGCACGGGGAAGGACAAGAACAGCCTTATTCTGACACCTCCCATGTCAAGCTGAGACATTCCTGACCCCTAGAGCTTCTCCTCTCATGGGAGGACAATTAGCATGGCTCACCTAGGAGGAGAGGCACACACAGTCAGAACTGCCCAGGGAAAGAGCTGAAGAGAAACAGAGGAAGCAAACATTTCATATGGCTATGACCTACCCATTGCAAAACGCCTCCAACCTCATGAACAGCACTCACTTGCTTTGAGCTCACAAGCGTTTTTTTTCTGTTTAATAATAGCAAGAAGATTTTATGATGTGAAACTGCCCATAAGCCATTTTTCCCAGATCCAGTGGTGACGTTAATCAACTGTGGGTCTGTGACAAATAACCAGAGAGAAGTAGGTCAACAAGCAAAACCCACTGAGCATAAACTGTACCTCTATGGAAAAGAAAAGCAGCTAACTTTAAGTACTATGTTTCTAAGCTAGTATTTGTGTTAGCAAATTAATTAATTGTAGAAATATTATTCAGAATTTAGAAGTGACTTCTAGGTTGGGCAAGGTGGCTCACCTGTAGTTCCAGCACTTTTGGGAGGCCAAGGAAGGAGGATTGTTTGAGATTAGGAGTTAGAGACGAGCCTGGGCAACATAGTGAGACCTCCATCTCTTAAAAAAAAAAAAAAGTTAGCTGGGCATGGTGGTGCATACCTGTTGTCCTAGCTACTCAGGGAGACTAAGGCAGGAGGATGGCTTGAACCCAGGTGTTCAACGCTGCGATACTGTGATTGCATCACTGCACTCTAGCCTGGGAGACAGAGCATGACCCCATCAAAAAAGGAAGAAAGGAAAGAAAGAAAGAGAAGAAGGAAAGAAAGAAAAAAAGGAAGGAAAGAAAAGAAGGAAAGAAAGGACTATGGTTTTTCTTTTCTTTTTTTTTTTTCTTTGAGACAAGGTCTTGCTCTGTCACCCAGGCTGGAGTGCTGTGGTGCAAACATGGCTCACTGCAGCCTCCACCTCCTGGGCTCAAGCAATTCTTCCTCCGCCTCCTGAATAGCTGAGACCATAGGTGCCTGCCACTGCACCCGGCTAATTTCTTAAACTTTTTTGTAGAGATGGTTCTCACCATGTTGCCCAGTCTGGTCTCGAGAGATCCTCCCATCTCAGCCTTCCAAAGTGCTGGGGTTACAGGCATGAGCCACCGTGCCCAGCCTTTAGTTTTCCCAAATGAATCAACTTACATGTATGTTTTGGGTGGTCAGTGCAAAGCTCAGGTGGGGATTAGGAAACAGGAGCTCCAGCTCAGCTTGAGCACGAGTTCTGACTACAAGGGGCTTGCAGCCCCTCAGTCGGGTTGCTCACTTATCTGTGTACCTAGGGCCCTTTGCAGTTCTGCAGCCTGCAGTTCTCCCCAAGGGGGGCTGAGGGCCCCCTGAGAGGAGATGCTGGACCCCAGCCCAGTCAGGGCTGGATGAGGAGGATGCCCTCACACATGGTGATGTTGTTCAGTGTCTCAAAGCAACTCTCAAAGCCTAAACAGTGAGAGTGGTTCAATTCTTGGGGGAAAAAAAAATAATAATGCTAAGCCCTGGTCTTCTGCAGCCTGATTTTTTTTTTTTTTTTTTTTTTTTTTTTGTGATGGAGTCTTGCTCTGTCACCAGGCTGGAGTGCAGTGGCACGATCTCAGCTCCCTGCAACCTCCAACTCCCTGGTTTGACTGATTCTCCTGCCTCAGCCTCCCGAGTAGCTGGGATTACAAGCATGTGCCACCACGCCCAGCTAATTTTTGTATTTTTTAAGTAGAGACGGGGCTTCACCATGTTGGCCAGGATGGTCTCCTTCTCTTGACCTCATGATCCGCCTGCTTCATCCTCCCAAAGTGCTGGGATTACAGGCGTGAGCCACCATGCCCGGCCTTCTGATTTATTTTGAATGCAGTCCTTGATGTTTTTTTCCCCAGCTCCTGACCTTTAAGCATTTCAGTGGTTACCTGAGCTCTCCCCTCCTCCTGAATCTCTCTTAAAAGTCTTCAGTGTTGAATTTCATGGTCACTCTAAGGTTAAGTGTGGAATTGTCTTACTGCCTTTCTTTGCCTAGTGCTTTATCATTTCAGAGGAAAACTACACTTCCCTGCTTCCATCACCCCACAGCAGACAAAAAGACATTTGCAGAATCATCAACTTTTAATGATTCTGCTGAAACTGGGCTCCTCGGAGGGCCGCTAATGGAGAATGTGTGTCTGCTTTGAGATTCACAACCGTCCCCCAGGCGGCTCAGGTTCCTACGTGGCCCCTTTATCAAATCTGACCATCAGAGACCATGGTGAGATGGATTTCAGCTGAGGCCCTTCGGTGCGGGAAGCAATCAGAATGGGTTGGCTGAAGGTTTCAGGTGTGCTGAGCTCTGGGCTCTGGGAGAGAGGCATGTTCAGAGCAGCGAGCCACACTGGGCCGGGAGCCTGTATGAGTTCCAGGGCTCTCAAAAATGGTTGAGGCCAGGCGCAGTGGCTCATGCCTGTCATCCCAGCACTCTGTGAATCCGAGGCAGGAGGATGGCTTGAGCCCAGGAGTTCAAGACCAGCCTGGGCAATGTAGTGAGACCGCCCCCATCTCTTTTTTTTTTTTTTTTTTTGAGACAGAGTCTTGTCTGTCGCCCAGGCTGGAGTGCAGTGGCGCAATCTTGGCTCACTGCAACCTCTGCCTCCCGGGTTCACACCATTCTTCTGCCTCAGCCTCCCAAGTAGCTGGGACTACAGGCACCCACCACCACACCCGGCTAATTTTTTTGTATTTTTAGTACAGATGGGGTTTCACTGTGCTAGCTAGGATGGTCTCAATCTCCTGACCTCGTGATCCGCCCGTCTTAGCCTCCCAAAGTGCTGGGATTACAGGCGTGAGCCACCGCGCCCGGCCGAGAACCCCCTATCTCTACAAAAAAATTTAAAATAAGCCAGGCATGGTGGCATGTACCTATGGTCCCAGCTTCTTGGGTGGCTGAGGAGGGAGGATTGCTTGAACCCAGGAAGTTGAGGCTGCAGTGAGCATGGTCATGCCACTGCATTTCAGCCTAGGTGACAGAGTGAGACCCTACTTCAAAAAAAAAAAGTTTGAGTCCTAGAAATAAAATTTTTTGACCCCCAAATATGAAAAGAAAAATGGGAAAGTCAAATTAATATTCATTTATAACACCAAATAGTAACAGCACTAACGTTTTAAAAATAGTGAAATGGCTGGGTTTGGTGGCTCACGCCTGTAATCCCAGCTACTTGGGAGGCCGAGACAGGAGAATTGCTTGAACCTGGGAGGCATAGGTTGCAGTGAGCGGAGATCATGCCACTGCACTCCAGCCTGGGTGACACAGCGAGACTCTGTCTCAATAATAATTATAATAAATAGTGAAATGTACTTAATGTGGTATATCAGCTGCTTGAATGAGCCTGGTGTGATGTGGTGGAAGGACACCTGGCCTGGGGAGAAGAAAGACACCCAGGCCCCTGGAGGTGTCCAGGGCTGCTTTCAGCCCTCATGGAGGGCCCACCAGGCTGGTGGGGCCCCTAAACACTGAACTGATGTCTTCCACTTGGGTGAAGGCCTACCCTTGTACAAACCTGTTGTGCCTTCTACAAGTGTGCACCCCTGGTATCCTAGTCTCTGTCCTGAGTCCAGCTTTCAGTCTTGGATTCTTAGCATAAATTCCCCTTTTTGCTTAATCCAGCTTGAATTGGTTATTTACTTACAAACTAAACTCTTAATTAAGGCAAAAATCCAAGCTTCTTGGCCAGCCCCATCCTCTTCCCACAGTTGGGGAATCTAGTTAGTTGGTTCAAGAAAGCAATGAAAATATTCAAAGCATTCAAATCAATTTCCACAGTAGGCTGGTTTGGGGTTTCCACTTGGCTAGGCACTTTTGCTGAAATTATCCAAATAAATAATTGTTGCCTATTATATAGGCTTGTTTTTATGGTGTTTATTGTTTAGGGTCTGCATTTTCCTGCTAGAATGTAAGTTCCACGTGGGGTAGGAATCTTTATTTTCCTCACTGTTTTATCAAGTGCCTAGTAGATGCTCAATAAATATGTTGTGGAAGAATGATAAACAGTTTCACTAGAAACATTCAGGCCTAATATTAATCCTAATATCAGAAGTAACTGTGTTACCTGTAGTCTCAGCTACTCAGAAGGCTGAGGCAGGAGGATGGCTTGAGCTCAGGAGTTGGAGGCCAGCCTGGGTGACACAGCCAGACAGACCCTGTCCGTGAAAAAAGAAAAAAGAAAAAAAGAATGCTGTTAGTTCACTATTAACTAAACTTTTTACATCATTTTCAAAGAGATTGATGAGCAAAAGCTAGATTTAGCCTGGGGGGCGCGGTGGCTCACGCCTGTGATCCCAGAACTTTGAGAGGCCGAGGCAGGTGGATCACCAGTGGTCAGGCGTTCGAGACCAGCCTGACCAACATGGTGAAACGCCGCCTCCATTAAAAATACAAAAATTAGCCAGGCATGGTGGTGCACACCTGTAGTCCCAGGTACTCAGGAGGCTGAGGCAGGAGAATCGCTTGAACCCAGGAGGCGGAGGTTGGCAGTGAGCCGAGATCACGCCATTGCACTCCAGCCTGGGTGACAGAGCGAGTCTCTGTCAAAAAAAAAAAAGAGCTACGTTTAGAAGGGGGCTTCCTAGCTCATTTGATCCAGTTCTTTTATTTTACAGATGAAGAAAAACAGGTGGAAGGAAAGGGATGACTTGTCCAAAGTCTGCCAATCTGATATGGTTTGGCTGTGTCCCCATCCAAACCTCATCTTGAATTCCCACATGTTGTGGAAGGGACCTGGTGGGAGGTCATTGAATCATGGGGGCAAGTCCTTCCTAATAGTGGGGACAAGATGGGGATAAGATAGATGGGGGCAAGCTGTTCTCCTGATAGTGAATAAGTCTCATGAGACGAATCACACTTTTATTCTTGGTCCTGATTTTCCAGATTCAGCTGTTTCTTTGATAGTGAGTAAGTCTCATAAGATCTGATGGTTTTAAAAAGCGGCATTTCTCTGTACAAGCTCTCTGATTTTTTGCCTGCCACCATCCACATAAGATGTGACTTGTTCCTCCTTTTCTTCTGCCATGATTGTGAGGTTTCCCCAGCCATGTGAAACTGTAAGTCCAATTAAACCTCTTTCTTTTGTAAGTTGCTCAGTCTTGGGTATGTCTTTATCAATAGCATGAAAACGGACTAATAGACAACCCCAAATTGACAGCTGAAAACCAGAGCTCAACTCTCTCAGCTCAGATATCTCCCTGCTACACCAAGCAACCGCTCATTCATAGCACTCATAGGTGAGACATTGGGCAAAGTTTGCTTTTTCCCTCTGCTATGCAACAGCACCATCATTCCACGGTAAACACAAAGTGACTGGATGCTAAGGGAGTTGGCTCTCCTGTCCCAAAGTACCAGCAAAACGGAAACTTCAGACCATAGGACTGTGGCAGTCAGTGTGCTGTCCACTCTGACCATTGGAACAGGTGTTGTCAGACAAGCCTGAAGCTGTATCCTGTACCCGCTAAGAGGGAGGACCGCGGGCAGTTTCCAGGGTGAATCACACTTTTACTCTTGGCCCTGATTTTCTAGATTCAGCTGCTTCTTTGATAAAGCTCAACCTCTAAATCCCTTTGCCCCAGCCCGGGGCGCAATTGGATCCCCTTTGGACAGGTAACAGAAGAATTTACCATGCCTGTGCAATATTGTAGCATTTTGTAGTCCCCAAACCCCAATGGTTCAGCATGGGGGAAATAAAAATGATTCTGGGAAATCCTGAGGTTGAGCTCCTGAGGCTGCCCAGCAGATTATGGAAGAATCCAGGAATGGAACAGCTACATGAAAGTATCGGACAATTCAGTGATGTGCCCCATTAACAGACTGAAGAGTGCATTATCCACAGTGTTTCTGCTGAGAAAGTTCAATGTGCTATTCAATTGTGATCATCTCAGAGTATTTCCGTCTTATTTACCACCCATGATCTATTATAATGGCTTGAAGCATAGTGACACGCATAGAGTGGTCACTATATTAAAATAAATCAGAAATCAGATGTATTAATCATATGAAAAAACTGATCACCTGGCATAAAACCAATTCTATACATGCACATTTCCACTTAATATCCAAAAAAACTGAACAAAACTAGATGTTTGGCATTTGAGGAGCTCTGGGAGAGGAGAAGAACCAGCCTTGGGCATTGGATTAAGGACGGTTTCTATAGAAATGTAAAACTATCAGGCACTTGGAGAGGTTTTGCTTTAAAAAAATAAAAGAAAAACTTCCTTGATTTGTCACCACAAGGGGGTGAATTTTCATTCAAAGAAGGCTGTGGCACAGTCCTTATCAGAGATAGCTGGTCAGGGCAACTCCAGCTGTGGGTACCCTCAGCTGGTGAATATTTGGCATCCCTCCAAACTGACATTTTTAAAATATTTTTTCAATATTTTCTTTGTGGGGACAGAAAGAACAGATTGTCTAGTAAGAAAAACTGTACACCTCTTTCTTTATATTCAAAATAAAGGATTTATTGTATTACATGACTGTGAAAGACAAAATGCACTGGACAATTAAGGAGATGATTTTATTTAGGCTGTTGCAAGATGGAGTCACTCATTAATGAGGAATGCCTCAATGTGGACAAGGGGTCTGAGTTTTCTAAAGGCAGGTAGCCCCGAGAGTAATCCACGAGGCCCACAGCATTAGGAGAAGCAGTGGACAGCAAGTCTTATCTAAGCATATGGGGCAGGACTGTTCTTGGTGATTAGGGTTGGCACTTTACTGGAACACAAAAGCGTGGGGGCATTTCAGAAAACAAACAAACGGGTGGGGGACTTGTCACCGTTGCCCTTTTCCACGAGCATGGGTCTCAGATAATGGTCAACATTGTCCGGCTCTAAATGACGACGTTTGCATTTTTTAGAATTGTCTTTCATGTCACCATTTTTCTGCGATTTATTGCTGAACAGTATAGGTTGCGCACGCTCCCAAAGATCTGCTTGAAATAATTTACATGTTTTTTCTTCTGGTTTGCATAGAGCAAACACTTTCCTATTTTTCTTTTCTTTTTTTGTCAAGACAGAGTCTCGCTCTGTCGCCCAGGCTGGAGTGCAGTGGCGCGATCTCGGTTCACTGCAAGCTCCGCCTCCCGGGTTCACGCCATTCTCCTGCCTCAGCCTCCCGAGTAGCTGGGACTACAGGCGCCCGCCACCATGCCTGGCTAATTTTTTTGTATTTTTAGTAGAGACGGGGTTTCACCGTGTTAGCCAGGATGCTCTTGATCTCCTGACCTTGTGATCCGCCTACCTCGGCCTCCCAAAGTGCTGGGATTACAGGCGTGAGCCACTGCGCCCGGCCTTTCTTTTTTTTTTTTTTTTCCAGACAAGTTCTCGCTCTGTCGCCCAGAGTGGAGTGCAGTGGAGCAATCAAGGCTCACTGAAGTCTCAGCCTCCTAGACTCAAGTGATCCTCCCCTGCTACAGCCTGCCTCCTGAGTAGCTGGGATCACAGGAGTGCACCACCATACCCAGCTAATTTTTAAATTTTTTTTGTAGAGATGGGGTCTTGCCATTGCTCAGGATGGCCTCCAATCCCTGGGCTCAAGCAGTCCTCCCACCTCAGCCTCCCAAAGTGCTGGAATTATAGGCATGAGCTGCCGTATCCAGCCTGAAATTTTATTTTCATTTTTAGAGATGTAGTCCTGCTATGTTGCCAGGCTGGTCTTGAACTCTTGGCCTCAAGCAATCCTCCCACCTTGGCCTCCCAAAGTGCTGGGATTACAGGCATAAATCATTAAAGTCATTAGAATAAATGGGGGTGCCGGAGCCACTGCGCCTGGCCCCCATTTATTCTAACAATTTTAAAAATTATTATCATTGAGACGTGATTCATGTACCATTAAGTTCACCCTTTTACAATTACAGCCACTAAATGCAATTCAGTGGTTTTTAGTACGTTCACGAAGTTGTACAACTATCACTACTATCTAATTCCAGAATATTTTTGTCACCCCAAAAAGAAACCAAGTACCCATTAGCAGTCACTACCCATTCACCTCTCTCCCCAGCTCCTAGCAATCATTAATCTACTTTATGTTTCTACAGATTTGTTATTCTGCACATTTCATACAAATGAGACCATACAATATGTGGCTTCCTTTTGTATGTGTCTGGCTTCTTTCACTTAGCGGATTGTTTCTGAGGTTCATATGTTGTAGCATGTGTCAGCACTTCATTCCTTTTTATTGCCAAATCATTTGTCATTGTAAGGCTATTCCACATTTTGTTTATCCATTCATCGATTTATGGATATTTGGGCTGTCTCCACATTTTGGCTATGATGAGCAATACTGTTATGGACGTTTTTATACACGTTTTTGCATAGACATATATTTTCATTTCTCTTGGTTATATACCTAGGAGGAGAATTGCTGAGTCATAGGATAATTCTATGTTTAACTTTTCGAGGAACTGACAAACTATCTTCCAAAGCAGCTGCATCATTTTACATTCCCAATAGCAATTTATGAGGGTTCCAATTTCTTCACATCTTTGCTGGCACGTATTATTGTCCATGTTTTTTAGTGCAGCAATCCTAGCGGGTGTGAACTAGTATCTCATTGTGGGCTTGATTAGCATTTCCCTAATGACTAATGACTTGAACATCTTTTCCTGTTCTTCTTGACCATTTGTATATGTTCTTTGGACAAAGAAGATTTTATTTCCTTTCCTCTTTTTTCTTTTTTTTTTTTTTTTGAGATGGAGTCTTGCTCCGTCGCCCAGGCTGGAGTGGAGTGGCATGATCTCGGCTCACGGCAACCTCCGCCTCCCGGGTTCAAATGATTCTCCTGCCTCAACCTCCTGTAATCTGAGCTGGGATTACAGGAACCCACCACTATGCCCAGTTAATTTTGGCATTTTTAGTAGAGATGGGGATTCACTATGTTGGCCAGGCTGGCCTTGAACTCCTGACCTCAAGCGATTCACCCACCTCGGCCTCCCAAAGTGGTGGGATTACAGGTGTGAGCCACTGTGCCCGGCCAGATTTTATTTCTTTCTTTTTTTTTTTTTTTTTTGAGACGGAGTCTCGCTCTGTCACCCAGGCTGGAGTGCAGTGGTGCGATCTTGGCTCACTGCAAGTTCCGCCTCCCAGGTTTCCACCATTCTCCTGCCTCAGCCTCCCTAGTAGCTGGAACTACAGGCACCCGCCACCACAACCGGCTAATTTTTTGTATTTTTAGTATAGACGGGGTTTCACTGTGTTGGCCAGGATGGTCTCGATCTCCTGACCTCATGATCTGCCTGCCTCGGCCTCCCAAAGTGCTGGGATTACAGGCATGATCCACCGTGCCCAGCCGATTTTATTTCTTAATTGGGTTATTTGTCTTTTTATTTCTGATCTGTCAGAGTATTCTATATATTCTGGATACTAGTCCCTTATCAGATATATGGTTTGCAAATATTTTCTCCCATGCTGTGGGTTGTCTTTTCATTGTCCTGATAGTGTTCTTTGATGTATAAACCTTTTCATTTTGAAGAAGTCCAGTTTATCTATTTTTTCTTTGATTGCTTGTTTTAGTGCCACTTGGAGCTTAGTGCCACAGTGTCAGCTGCCCAACACTTGCCTTGAGCTGGTTCAGTCTAGGGCCTTGAAGGCTTTGGAAAACACTAATATGCAATGTGTCAAAAGAAAAACTTCAGACAAAATAAATTTAACAGTTTATTTGAACAATTAACAATTAATGAGTCAGGCAGTACTCATAAGCAGGAGAGGTTCCAAGGACTCCACCCGTAAGTGTGAGCAGTGAACTTTTATAGACCGAACACAGAAGCAAAGCAGAGAAATCACCTGATTGGCTACTGCTAGGCATTTGCTTTATTTGAGCATGATGTGATCAGCTGGCTGCCTTGATTAGCTGAAGTTTGGCTGTTTGTGATGGGCTAAAACCTGGCTATTTGTTATAAAAATATGCCCCTGCTGGGCGCAGTGGCTCATGTCTGTAATCCCAGCACTTTGGGAGCCTGAGGCAGGCGGATCGTTTGAGGTCAGGAGTTCAAGACCAGCCTGGCCAACGTGGTGAAACCCCATCTCTCCTAAAAATACAAAAATTAGCTAGGTATGGTCGTAGCTACTTGGGAGGCTGAGGCAGAATTGCTTGAACCCGGGATACAGAAGCTGCAGTCAGCCAATATCATCCCACTGCACTCCAGCCTGGGCGACAGAGTGAGACTCCATCTCAAAAAAATAAATACAAATAAAAATAAAGTCTCTGAGAAGTTCTGCAATAAATAAACAAGTTGAAACCAATGTTTCTCAAATTATTGAGCAAGACACTATTACAAACAAGGAACTTAACGCTTTTTGAATGAGTACACAGTTGATTGGTCAGAAAACAGTGAAACTCCATCACTCTTTTCGCTCACATGAGAGATTTTTGGGGTCTGGCCCTAATCATCACCCACACTCTTCTGTCCACATTTCCTTGGCCAGAACTCATCTCTTATTTCTCTCTCTTTTTTTTTTTTTTTTTTTTTTGAGGTGGAGTTTCGCTCTTGTCCCCCTGGCTGGAGTGCAATGGCATGATCTTGGCTCACTGCAACCTCCTCTTCCCAGGTTCAAGCTATTCTCCTGCCTCAGCCTCCCAAGTAGCTGGGACTTCAGGTGCGTGCCACAATGCCTGGTTAATTTTCGTATTTTTAGTAAAGATGGGTTTTCACCACGTTGGCCAGGCTGGTCTTGAACTCCTGACCTCAGGTGATCTGCCCGCCTCTGCCTCCCAAAGTGCTGGGATTACAGGCGTGAGCCACTGCACTCGACCACATCTCTTATTTCTCTAGATGCAATGTGGTCTCTTTGTGTGCTTAGAAGGAAAAGATTTAGTGACACATAGGGTAGTCCCAGCTATACATGCTCTTGGGCACAATCTGTGGCTGCCTTGTATGGCTTCAGAATAGGCATGCATGCTGATTGACATCACATAGAGAAGCTCCCAAGAACATGGTGACCTTTTCTCCTGGATGCCTCCTGGTGGGAGTGCTGGAAGCCAGGGAGAATACTGTTTATTCTGACCTTGCACTTACCTTGCCATCAATAACATGTATTTCTGCAAAAAACAGAGAAACATTTGGAAAATGACATGCCAAAACATTTTACATTTTTATTTCATCAAAGACGAAATTGGACAGGAGCAATTGAGTGTATGGCTTTAGATGGTACCACTGAAAATCATGCCAGTGGAATACTAATGTGAGAATACAGCTCTATATCTGTGCAGACCAGAAAAAACTCTGAAAAAATGGAAACAGCTGATGCATTAACAGGACTAACCTATATCAGTTATTATTGAGTGTCTGGACATGCAATAAAAATAAAAAGGGGGAAAAAAGTAATGTTAGTGGTAATACTTAATGTTTTCCCAGAAAGAAAAATAGGTCTTGGTGTGGTTTGTACATTAGGAAACACTATGTGAGCTGCATTCTAATGACATACAGCAATAGCCCTGAAAGACACATTAGTATTTTACACCCAAAATCAATCCCTACTGAGCGCATAGGATTACTATTATGCTTCATTAACGTTTATTTGAAGCTTTTCAACATCAAGTGGGGTTGCGAAGGACAATAAGAGCCACTGGGAATGTAACGCTGAAAAAGAAAGAGAGAAATAGATGATAAAAATGGTTAGAAAGGGTCCTGTGTGTGCATGGATGTGAGGTGCTTGGGAGGGTCCCCAGGTGGGGAACAGGCCAGGGGCAGGCAGGACTCCAGCTGGTCTGGCGTCCTCTCTGACGTTTTCTCTCCGGCATTCTCCTGACTTCTGGCCTGGGCTGCAACCTGTCAAAGGTGGCTGCCCACGGAGGCACCCCAAAGGAGGGCTGCTCTCAACCCCCAGACATGAGGGAAAGCTTGTTTGGCATGCTCAAGAGCACTCACATTGGAGCAGAAACTTGCTCTGCTGCTTTGGGACTTGGAACAAGTCACTTTCCCTCCTAGCAGGGCCTGCCTCCTCCCCTGGAACCGTGGGCTGCCTCTGCACCCCTCCCAGGGTTATAGCCAGTGCTGGGCATGATTGCATGGGGAGGGCTTCCATGATTAGTGAAGACAGAATGGAAAACCTTAGGAAACTCAAGACCTAAGACACAGGGTCTGGCCAGGTGTGGTAGCTCAGGCCTATAATTCCATAGCACTTTGCGAGGCTGAGGTGGGAGCATCTCTTGAGCCTGGGGGCCTGAGGCTGTAGTGAGCTGTGATCATGCCACTGCACTCCAGCCTGGGTGACAGAACAAGACCCTGTCTCAAAGAAAATAAATAAGTAAAAATAAGAATAAGAGACAGGGCTTGCCCTCCAGGAAGCATGGATGCTCCGCTTTCCTCCGACTCCTCCTGGCATTTTTCATATACGCAGATTAGAACTGACAAATGCTGGGGAGAGATAAGACTTTAAATATATTTTTTAATTAAAATAGGAGACATGCTACTTGTAGAATTTTCAAACAATACAGAAGCTTATCAAATACAACACCTGAGTTCCTCACAGCACCCCTAGATTTGCTGAATCTTTCTTTCTTTCTTTCCTTCCTTCCTTCCTTCCTTTCTCTCTCTCTTTCTTTCTCTCTCTCTCTTTCTTTCTGTGTTTTTTTTTTTGTTTTGTTTGTTTTTTTGAGATGGTGTCTCACTGTCCCCCAGGCTGGAGTGCAGTGGCACGATCTTGGCTCACTGCAACTTCTGCCTCCCGGGTTCAAGCAATTCTCCTGCCTCAGCCTCCCAAGTAGCTGGGATGAAAGGCACATACCATCACCCCCAGCTAATTTTTTGTATTTTTAGTAGACACGGGGTTTCTCCCACGTTGGCCAGGCTGGTCTCAAACTCCTGAGCTCAAGCGATCTGCCCACCTTCGCCTCCCAATGTGCTGAGATTACAGGCGTGAGCCACCGCACCTGGTGGTTTGCTGAATATTTCATTAGACCTTTTTCTCTGCACAGCAGGGGAGGGGAAGAGTGTGCATGTGAGGGAGGGGATTGAGGGCTCAAAAGGAAGACCATGGAAGCAGGGAAGCAGGTGGAGCCTTCACACCTGCCCAGCTTAGGGGGCCAGAGTGCCTTTGTGGAGAAAAACCCAGGATTCCTTAGGGTTCATAGTAAATGAGCCCTAATAGAGAGTAATTTTCCACTAAAAATCATTGACTCATACATTTTAAATAGGTGAATTGTACGGTGTATGAATTTTGTCTCAATAAAGCTGTTTTTGTTTGTTTGTTTTAAGAAAAAGGATTTTAAACCAAGTGAGGTTTCAGATGGTAAAAAGAGAAGAAACACTCTTTTATTTATTTATAATTTATTTTTTGAGATAGAGTCTTGCTGTGTTGCCCAGGCTGGAGTGCAGTGGCACCATCATAGCTCATTGTAACCTCGAACTCCTGTGCTCAAGCTATGTTCCTGCCTCAGCCTCCCATTCCTGTGCACCTCCCAAGTGCACAGGCTTGCACCACCACACCCGGCTAAGTTTTAAACTTTTTGTAGAGACAGAGTCTTACTGTGTTGCCCAGGCTGGTCTCAAATTTCTGGCCTCAAGCAATCCTCCCACCTTGGTCTCCCAAAGTGATGAGATTATTGGTGTGAGCCACTGCACCTAGTCTAAGAACCCCCCCCTTTAAAACCCAGATACAGGCTGACAATTTTCAAAGCTTATATATTTACTATTTTGAATAGGATATTACTTTTTTAATGAAAAAAATTTAAATAGTACAGGAGAGAATGCATTGAAAAGAGAGGCTCCCCGGACCTCTGTCCCCCAGTGGAGAGGCAATGGCAGTACAATGGATTTCTGGTGTATCTGTGGTATTTGTTCAGCGATCCTATAAATGGACATACACATAGAGTTAGTCTTTTCAGAGTAGGAAATGTGGACCAGGGAGGGAGACACATTTGAGAGGAAAAACATACCCAGGGGATGACTACTGTATTTATATTCTTGATTTCTTTTTCTTTTTTTTTTTTTTTTTGAGACAGTCTTGCTCTGTTGCCCAGGCTGGAGTGCAGTGGCACGATCTCAGCTCACTGCAACCTCCGCCTCCTGGGTTCAAGCGATTCTCCTGCCTCAGCCTCCTGAGTAGCTGGGATTACAGGCACACACCACCATGCCGGGATAATTTTTGTATTTTTACTAGAGACGGGGTTTCACCATGTTGGCCACGATGGTTTCGAACTGCTGACCTCAGGTGATCTGCCCACCTCGGCCTCCTAAATTGTTGGGATTACAGGCATGAGCCACTGCGCCTGGCCTATATTCTTGATTTCTTAGCCTGGGGGACGGGCATGTAGGTGCTTATTATAGTAATGCTTACAATTTTTCATATGCCTAAGCAAATTTCTTTTAAGAGAAAAAGATTAGAAATAGCTAAAATTCATTCAAAAAGATAACTTCACATACCATAGATTTCCTTCATCAGATTAGCTCCAAGGGGTATTTTATATATTGGAAGAAGTTACATAGCTGTTACTTATAGTTGATACTCTGTTTTTGCTTGATTTTAAAATGAAAGTAAGGGAAACGATGGTTTCCGGGCCTGATGAGCTCCGGGCCTGGGGTTTAAGACTTGGCTGGTGCATCGGATCAGTTTCTGATGCCATCTAGTGTTAATGACATGCAATCTTTGGGAGCAGCCTCCAGGACTCAGCCTTGGAAACTCCTTAGAGATCAGAAAAGTACTGATGGGTAGGGTGCGGTGGCTCATGCCTGTAGTCCCAGCACTTTGGGAGGCTGAGGCGGGCGGATCGCCTGAGGTCAGGAGTTCGAGACCAGCCTGGCCAAAATGGCAAAACCCCATCTCCACTAAAAATACAAAAATTGCCTGGGTGCGGTGGCTCATGCCTGTAATGCTAGCATTTTGGGAGACTCACACGGGTGGATTGCCTGAGTTCAGGAATTTGAGACCAGCCATGGGCAACATGGTGAAACCCTGTCTCTAGGAAAATACAAAAAATTAGCTGGCCATGGAGGCATGTGCCATGTTATAGAGACTATTGGGGTGGCTATTTTTCTTGAGACCAGAAACTTCCTGGGAGCAGCTGGGCATGAAAGGACAACACGGAACCAGCTGTCCTTGCAGAGGAAATAGCACGCGCAAAGGCCCCAAGGCTGGAGGAGGTTTGGCCTGTCTAAAGAACTGCAGAAAGGCCGAGGTGAGCAGAGCATGGGGGAAAGGAACAAGTGATGCCACACAAGGTCAGAGAGTTGGGCAGGGGCAGGGTCATTTGGACTTTGTAAACTACAAAAAGGAGTTAGGATTTTATACCAGCTGTACCAAGAAGCCACTGGGCTTTTAAGCAGGGTAGTAAATGATCTGTAAGTCTAAAATAGGGGGAACACTAGCACTCACTAAAGCAAAATAATTTCATGTATCTTAAAATTGAAGTTTTTCGTCAGATTTTTCTAAAGGGTATCTTATTCAAGATTGTCTCAACAGGTAGACATTAGGTGCATGTTGATTTGCATGTTGATTGTTTATTAAGGGTGAGTACTCTGTTAGATTTTTAACTTAAAAAAGCATTGCAAGGCCAGGCACAGTGGCTCAAGCCTGTAATCCCAGCACTTTGGGAGGCTGAGGCGGGCGGATCACCTGAGGTCAGGAGTTCGAGACCAGCCTGACCAACATGGAGAAACCCTGTCTCTATACTAAAAATACCAAATTAGCCGGGAGTGGTGGTGCATGCCTGTAATCCCAGCTACTCAGGAGGTTGAGGCAGGAGAATCGCCTGAACCCGGGAGGCGGAGGTTGCAGTGAGCCGAGATCACACTATTGCATTGCAGCCTGGGCAATGAGAGTGAAAATTCATCTCAAAAATTAAAAAATTAAAACAATTTGCAATTTAGGGGTCCCCCCGGCCACTTGTAGGTTCAATGATTTGCTAGAAGGGCTCGCAGAACTCAGAAGTGATTATATTCATGGCTATTTATTTATTTATTTGAGATTGAGTCTCACTGTCACCCAGGCTGGAGTGTAATGGTGTGATCTCAGCTCCCTGCAACTGCTGCCTCCCAGGTTCAAGCGATTCTCCTACCTCAGCCTCCCTAGTAACTGGGATTACAGGTGCCTGCCACCATGCCCAGCTAATTTTTTTTGCATTTTTAGTAGAGACGGGGCTTCACCATGTTGGCCAGGCTGGTCTCGAATTCCTGACCTCAAATGATCTGCCTGCCTTGGCTTCCCAAAGTGCTGGGGGTTATGGTTTATTGCAGAGAAATAATACAGAATGACGCAGAGGGAAGAGTCACAGAGGCCCAAGGGACAGCAGGCACAAGCTTCCAGGAGTCTCTCCCGTTGGAATATTATGGACAGTGCTTAACTGTCCTAGCACAATGCATGACAACCCACATGGAGTACTGCCAAACAGGGAAGCTCATTTGAGCCTTGGTGTCTGGGGTTTTGATTGGGAGTCAGCCGTGTGGGTGTGGTTGACTGACCATGTAGCTGACCTTAGTCTCCAGGCCCTCCATAAGTTGAGCTGCTACTGTGTGGCCCAACGTCCCCCAAGCCACATATCAATTGGCATACACGATCTTGGTGGCCCAAGGCCCCCAGATAAACAAAGGCACCTTATCTTATCAGGCAGGATATTCCAGGCTTAGAGGTTACCACCCAGGAGTTGAGCAACCACCAAACATTTCTCTGGACAAAGTTAATTTTTTTTTTTTTGAGAAAAAGTCTCATTGTGTCACCCATGCTAGAGTGTAGTGGCATGATCAGAGCTCACTGCAACCTCCGTCTCCCAGGTTCAAGCAATTCTCCAGCTTCAGCCTCCCAAGGAGCTGGGACTACAGGTGCCTGCCACCACGCCCAGCTAATTTTTTGTATTTTTAGTAGAGACGAAGTTTTGCCATGTTGGCCAGGCTGGTCTTGAACTCCTGACCTCAAGTGATCCACCTGCCTCGGCCTCCCAAAGTGCTGGAACTGCAGGCCTGAGCCACCGCACTTGGCCAGTGAATCCTTTACCGCATAATTGTGATCATACATTTTATGTTAAAAAAGCTTTATCATTTGTCCCATTTATGTTTTCTCAAAGGTCACTCTGGCTATTATGTGGAAAACGGAAGCAAGAGTGGAATCGGGAACACCAGGGAGGAGGTGCTGCAGTTATCTGGGAGACGACTGATGATAATATTATCCTTGAGGCTGTCAGCCATTGCTATGTGCCAGACACTGTGACAAGCGCTATACATGAAATATCACATTTAAGCATGCATGGCTTCTTGGAGGACATGGCATCTAATTTTCTCACCTTAGAAATAAACAGAAGGCCAGAGAAGACACGCTCAAAGACATGCTCGAAGCTAGCTGAAGGCAGAGGCTGCTCAAAAGCTCAAGCCCTCTCCCTTGCTGCCCTCTCTACAAAGCTAACAGTGTCTCCCAATGGTCCAGATACTGGCACTCCAGAGAAATCTACCTTTAAAACACAAACTTTAAAAAACAGATACATAATTGTACACATTTATGAAGTACATGCAATATTTTGATGCAAGCATACAATAAGTAATGGTCAAATCAGGGTAATTAGGATATCCACCTCCTCAAACATTTAGCATTTCTTTGTGTTGGGAACATTCCAAATCTTACCTTCTAGGTATTTTGAAATATACATTAAATTATTGTTAACTAGTCATCGTGCTGTGCTATCAAATGTTAAAATGGATTCCTTCTAACTGTATGTTTATACCCATTAACCAACCTCTCTTCATCTGTGCCCTCTTCCTAGCCTCTGGTAATCATTATTCTACTTTCTACCTCCATGAGATCAATTTTTTAAGTTCCCACATATGAGTGAGAACATGCAATATTTGTCTTTCTGTGCCTGGTTTATTTCACTTAACATAATGACCCCCAGTTCCATCTATATTGCTGCAAATGACAGGATATCCCTTTTTATGGCTGAATAATATTCCACTGTGTGTTAAGTACCACATTTTCTTTATCCATTCTTCTGTCGATGGACACTTCAGTTGATTCCACATCTTGGCTATTGTGATGTTTGCTGCAATACACACGGGAGTGCAGCTATTTCTTCCACATAGTGATTTCCTTTCTTTTGGATATATACACACAGCCGTAGGATTGCTGGATCGTATGGTAGCTCTATTTTCAGTGTTTTGAGGAACCTTCAGACTGCTTTCCATAGTGGTTGCACTAAATATACATTCCTCTCAACAGTGTACCACTGTTATCCTTCTTCCGCAGCCTTGCCATTATCTGCTATTTTTTGTCATTTTGATAACAGACATTTTAACTAAGGTGAGATAGTATCTCATTGTGGTTTTGACTTGCATTTCCCTGATAATTAGTGATGTTGAGCATTTTTTCATATACCTGTTGGCCATTTGTATATCTTCTTTTGATAAATGTCTATTCAAACTTTTAAATCCAATTATTTGACCTTTTGCCATTGAGTTATTTGAGTTCCTTATATATTCTGGCATATAACAATGGTTTGCATAACCCCTTGTTAGATGCATAGTTTGCAAACATTTTCTCCCTTTCTGTAAGTTGTCTTTTCACTCTGTTGATTATTTTCTTTGCTGTGCAGAAGCTTTTTAGCTTGATGTAATCCCATTGATCTATTTTCGCTTTGGTTGCCTGTGCTTTCGAGTTCTTCTCCATAAAATCTTTGCTCAGATTAATGTCCTAAGGTGGTTCCTCTACGGTGTTTTTTTAGTGGTTTTATAGTTTCAAGTCTTACATATCAGTCTTTAATCCATTTTGATTTGATTTTTGTACATGGTGAGAGAGAGGGGGGTCTAATTTTATTCTTCTGCATATGGATATTCAGTTTTTCCAGCATCGTTTATTGAAGATACTCTTCTTTCCCAAGTATATGTTCTCAGAGCCTTTGTCAAAAATGAGTTGGCTGTAAATGTGTGAATTTAGTTCTGGGTTCTCTATTCTATTCCATTTGGTTATGTGTCATGGTTTTATACACAAGCCATACTGTTTTGGTTATTATAGCATTGTAGTATATTTTGAAGTCAGGGAGTCTGATGCCTTCAGCTTTGTTTGGTTATGGGTTACTGCAGAGAAAGAACATAGAGGGAAGCAGAAGGAAGAGGCACACAAGCCCAAGGGACAGCAGGCCCAAGGGACGGCAATCCTTTTTGCTCAGGATTGCTTTGGCTATTTGGTGTCTTTTGTGGTTCCATAAAAATTTTGGGATTTTATTTTTTATTTCTGTGAAGAATGGCATTGGTATTTTGACAGGGAGCATATTGAATCTGTAGATTGCATGGACACCATGGGTACCATGGACAGTTTAACAATATTCTTTCAACCCATGAGCATGGGCTTTCCATTTTTGTGTGTATGTGTCTGATATTGTTTGGCTGTGTTCCCCACCCAAATCTCATCTTGAATTGTAGCTCCTATAATTCCCATGTGTTCAGGGAGGGACCCAGTGGGAGATAACTGAATCATGGGGGGTAGTTTTCCCTGCACTGTTCTCATGGTAGTGAATAAGTCTCACGAGATCTGATGGTTTTATAAGGGGAAACCCCTTTTGCTTGGTTCTCATTCTCTTACCTGCCGCCATGTAAGACATGCCTTTCGCCTTCCACCATGATTGTGAGGCCTCCTCAGCCACGTGGAACTGTGAGTTCATTATATTTCTTTTTCTTTATAAATTACCCAGTCTCGGGTATGTCTTTATCAGCAGCATGAAAATGGGCTAATACAGTGTCCTCTTTAACTTCTTCCATCAGTGTTTTATATTTTTCACTGTAGAGATATTTTACTTATTTGATTATATTTCTTTCTAGGTATTTTTTGTAGCTACCTACATGTGATTGGTCTATTTTTCAGATTGTTTGCTGTTAATTTATAGAAATGCAATGATTTTTGTATGTTGATTTTGTATCCCACAACTTTACTAAATTTGTTTATCAGTTCTAGCGGACTGTTGGTAGAGTTTTTCTAAATACAAGATCATGTCATCTGCAACAAGGATAATTTGATTTTTCCTTCCCTATTTGGATGCCCTTTATTTTAACTTTTTCTTGCCTAGTTGCCCTGGCTAGGATTTCTAGTATTATGTTGAATAAAAGTAGGCATACTTGCCTTGTTCCAGATCTTAGAGGAAAGGCTTTCCGTTTTTTTCCCCATTCAGTATAACTCATACATTTGTCATACATGGTCCTTGTGTTTTGACAATGTTCCTTCTATACCCAGTTTGTTGAGAATTTTTATCATGAAGGGAGGTTGAATTTTTTCAAATGCTTTTTACCATCTATTGAAATGATCATATGGTTTTTATTTGTGATTCTGTTAATGTAAGTCGTCATGTTTATTGGTTTGTATATGTTGAATCATCCTTGTATCCCTGGGATGAGTCCCACTTAATCATGGTAAATGATCTTTTTAGTGGGTGTTGAATTCGGTTTTCTAGTATTTTGTTGAGGATTTTTACATCTATGTTCATCAGAGATACTGGCCTCTAATTTTCTTTATTTTTGTGTGTCCCTGTCTGGTTTGGTATTTGGGTAGCGCTAGCCTCATAAAATTAATTTAGAAGTACTCCTTCCTCTTTGATTTTTTGAAGAGTTGGTGTTAGTTCTTTAAGTGTTTGGTAGAATTCAGCAGTGACACTGCTGAAACCAAGTCCTGGGTTTTCTTTTTTTCTTTTTTTTTTTCTTTTTTGAGACAGAGTTTCGTTCTTCTTGCCCAGGCTGGAGTACAGTGGCGTGATCTCGGTTCACTGCAACCTCCACCTTCCGGGTTCAAGTAATTCTCCTACCTCATCCTCCCGAGTAACTGGGACTACAGGCACGCACCACCATACCCAGCTAATTTTTGTATTTTTAGTAGAGACGGGGTTTCACCATGTTGGCCAGGATGGTCTCAAACTCCTGACCTCAAGTGATCCACCGGCCTCAGCCTCCCAAAGTGCTGGGAGTACAGGCATGAGCCACCACTTCTGGCCAGGTCCTGGGTTTTCAAGAAGTCTCCCTTTAAGCAACTGTGGCCTTTGATGGTCATGCTAAACTGTTAAGTTACTATGAAGTTTAGCAATACACAGAAGTGCTGATAAATATTGGTCATTTTGCATATCATATTTTGAACTAAGGCTGTTATTTATAGCAATAATCTTCAAAATAGGCCTAATCACCAAAAGAGGTCTAAGCACCAAAATAGGGCCTAAAATTATTCGATGAAATCCATGGCTTAAGTACTATATTATATGGTTTGGCTGTGTCCCCACCCAAATCTCATCTTGAATCGTAGTTCCCATAATCCTCACATGTCATGGGAGGGACACAGTGGGAGGTAATTGAATCATGGGGACAGTTACCCTCTGCTATTCTCATGATAGTGAAAGAGTTCTTATGAGATCTGATGAGTTTTTTTTGTTTTTGTTTTTGAGATGAAGTCTTGCTCTGTCACCAGGCTGGAGTGCAATAGCATGATCTCGGCTCACTGCGACCTTTGCCTCCCGGGTTCAAGCGATTCCCCTGCCTCAGCTTCCTGAGTAGCTGGGACTACAGGTATGTGCCAACACGCCCAGCTAATTTTTGTATTTTTACTAGAGACGGGGTTTCACCATGTTGGCCAGAATTGTCTCGATCTCTTGACCTTGTGATCCGCCTGCCTCAGCCTCCCAAAGTACTGGGATTTCAGGCGTGAGCCACAGCGACCGGCTGAGATCTCTTGGTTTTATAAAGGTCTTTTCCTCCTTTTGCTCGGCACTTCTCTTGGCTGCCACCATTTGAAGAAGAACGTGTCTGCTTCCCCTTCTGCCATGATTGTAAGTTTCCTGAGGCCTCCCCAGCCATGCGGAATCGTGAGTCAATTAAACCTCTTTCCTTTATAAATTACCCAGTCTCAGGCAGTTCTTTACAGCAGATCATGTCATCTGGCTAATACACTATAACTTCTATAATACCCTGTAACTTTTCATTTATATTTATTTTTATATCATTTATTAAAGATGGATTCTTACTCTGTCACCCAAGCTGAAATGCAGTGACACAATCATAGCTCACTGCAGCCTGGAGCTCCTGGGCTCAGATGATCCTCCCACCTCAGTCTCCCAAGTAGCTAGGACTACAGGCATGCACCACCATGCCTGGCTAATTTTTAAAAGTATTTTGTAGACACGGCAGGGGGGGGGGTCTTGCTATGTTGCCCCAGCTGTATATCATTTGTAACTTATATTTTTGTATATTTTTATGCTGTACTTAATAAATTAGCATAATAATATACACATTTATATAAGTATGTATATATGTGTGTATAAATAGGTTGAATATCCCTTAAATTTCTTGGGACCATAAGTGGTCCCAAGATTTCAAATTTTTGAAATCAAAAATTTTGAAAATTTCAAAATTTTGAAATCTGGATTTCATATACATAATGAGATATCTTGGGGATGAGACCCAAGTCTAAAATCAAAATGTATTTATGTTTCTTTTCTTTTTCTTTTTTTTTAGAGAAAGAATCTTGCTCTGTCACCCAGGCTGCAGTGCAGTGGCACCATCATAGCTCACTGCAGCCTCAAACTCCTGGGCTCAAGCAGTCCTCCCACCTCAGCCTCCCAAGTATCTGGGACCACCATGCCTTACCATGCCACCATACCTGGCTAATTTTTTTTTACTTTCCTTAAAACAGGGTCTTGCTGTGTTGCCCAGGCCAGTCTTGAACTCCTAGCCTCAAGCAATCCTCATGCTTGGCCTTCCAAAGTGCTGGGATTACAGGTGTGAGCCACGACTACTGGCCCATTTTTGTTTTACATACACCTTATACATGTAGCATGAAGGTAATTTTATAAAATATTTTTAAATAAATTTGTGCATGAAACAAAGTTTTGACTGTGACCTGCCATATGAGGTCAGATATGAAATTTTCCACGGTGGCATCATGTCAGTGCTCAAAAGATTTCAGATTTTGGAGCATTTTGGATTTTGGACTTTTGGATTAGGGATGCTCAACCTGTATAATATGGGGGTCCATATTAAAAAACAGTTTTACTGATGGGTGTTATGACCAAAAAAGCTTGGAAAACACTGATTTATTAGATACCATTTAGAAACTATTCCAAAAATCAACTATTGACATTTGGTTTCATACAAATTTATATATTGTGTATAAATATATGCAATTTTGTAGTTTTACTTGTATATGTCTTTACTGTATAAAAACTCAACATTCAGATATAAAACAAGTTTATGTTTTCTGTTCAAATAAACAACCCTGCACAACTGGATCAGCCAGAAATTTGTCTCCCTTACTCCCCGAAGCCACTATATCAGCCGGTCCTGGGAATTTTATATCTTTTGTTTCTTGAATTTGTTTGCCTCTCTCCATCTCCATTGCCTGTACCCTAGTCCAAGGGAGGACAACTCATTTAGTAGAAAAGGGGAAATTGTAACTAAGCAGCCACAGAAGAAGATATATGTGTGAAGTAAACAAATTTGTTGAGAAAAACAGCTGGGAGTCTGAACACTTGGAGGTCCCAGGAAGATACCGGAGGAACTGTTTTAGCAAAATGAGGAGGTAAGTTGAAGTTGAAGAGCACGTGAGATTAGGAAATGGGACACAGAACAGGAGAACAGCAAAAGGAGGTCCCAGGAAAGTAGCTAACTACCAGGTCTAAAGGTCCCAAAATACCTGCAGGGGGGGCAGGAGCAATGACGAATACAATTGTCAGTCATTGACATGCTTGGGCCATTGAGAAATTAGATAGATCTGAGTATCTGGATAAATGTTAGTGATAAGTACATAGGAAGACGCACATAAAAATAGATGCACTTATGAACTTCAGGAAAAACACAAGGCTATTGGAGGGGAAAAAATAAAAACCCATAATTTTGGCATATCATCTGGCTTGGCAGTGAGCAATATCACATTATCTAAATGCTGGTGACTGATTTAACTAAATGTTGTGACAGAACCTCACCGGGAATATAGGGAGGGAAGGTTAAGAGAAAGGGGGCATATAAAGATACTAAAATCCCAACTACCAAAAATAAGTCAATAGGTAATACCTAAAAGTTATAAATCAAGAAAGGGCAGTATAAACATAGTATTTGTTTATTTGTTTACTTTGTGGATCAAAGCCAAGGATCTATGTTTTAAAAAGCTTCCAGGTGATTTTGATAAACATTCAAGAAATTTTCACCCTTCCGGTGTGATTCCTGCCAAATCAAGTCCCTACATTTCTTGTGATTAACAGGAATTCTGTATCTATTACCCTTTTTTTCCATATACAATGCTATGTTTACAGTACACTGTGTGCTGGGGAATGTTGAGAAAAGAAGCAGGGAAAGTAGACAATGGTTTCTCTGGCAAGTATGGAGGACACCTCAAGATTGGAATGACCAGAACTTTTCATAGGTGAGCAGATGGATCTGTGAGGGTCTAAACAGGTGTGATAAATAGAGCTAAGTGGAGTGAGAAAATCTAAACAAAGACTATATAGGGCAGGCTGGGTGTGGTGGCTCACACCTGCAGGGAAGCCATGGCAGAGGGATTGCTTGAGAAGTACGAGAACAGCTTAGGCAATATAGCAAGACCCGACTGACCCTGTCTCTAAAAAACAATTCAAAAATTAGTTGGGGCCAGGCGTGGTGTGGCTCATGCCTGTAATCTCAGCACTTTGGGAGGCCAAGGTGGGCAGATCGCTTGAGGTCAGGAGTTCAGAGACCAGCCTGGCCAACATGGTGAAACCTTGTCTCTACTAAAAATACAAAAATTAGCCAGGTGTGGTGGTGCACGCCTGTAGTCCCAGCTCCCCAGAGGCTGAGGCAGGAGGATCACTTGATTCTGGGAGGTGAAGGTTGCGGTGAGCCGAGATGGCACCACTGCACTCCAGCCTGGGCGACAGAGCGAGACTTCATCTCAAAAAAAGAGAAACTACTACTTGTTAAGTTTTGGTGTTGTGTCAAAGAATAGCCACAATTATACAAAAAGGCTGTCTCAAAAAATAATGATAATTAATAAAAAAAATATTAGTTGGGCATGGTGGTGCATACCTGTAGTCCCAAATAGTTGAGAGGCTGAGTTGGGAGGATCACCTGAGCTCAGGAGTTTGAGGCTGCAGTGAGCCAGGATTATGCATTCCATTGCATTCCAGCTTGGGTGACAGAGTGAGGGGAAAAAAAAGACAACATACGGGAAAAATCTGGGAGGGAATATTCAAGTAAGAAGAGAATTCAAGTTAGAAGGATTTTTTAATAAAAATGAACAGCCAGGGCTGGGAGTGGTGGCTCATGCCTGTAATCCCAGCACTTTGGGAGGCCAAGGCAGGTGGATCATCTGAGGTCAGGAGATCGCCACCAGCCTGGTCAAACATGGTGAAACCCCATCTCTACTAAAAATACAAAAAATTAGCTGGGTGTGGTGGCGGGCACCTGTAATCCCAGCTACTCGGGAGGCTGAGGCAGGAGAATCATTTGAACCTGGGAGACGGAGGTTGCAGTGAGCTGAGATTGCACCATTGCACTCCAGCCTGGGCAACAGAGTGAGACTCCATCTCAAAAAAAGAAAAAAAAAATGAACACTCGGGTAGAAGAGATGCATAGGGCAGGGCATGGGGGAAGGCAGATGGAGTTTCCATGCTCTCCCTGGGCACCTCCATGTGTTCAGCTATCTGGAAGCTCTTAAATATGTTATTTATTTATTTTTTAATTTATTTTTTTGAGACGGAGTCTCGCTCTGTCGCCCAGGCTGGAATGCAGTGGCGTGATCACGGCTCACTGCAAGCTCCGCCTCCCGCGTCCAGGCCATTCTCCTGCCTCAGCCTCCCGAGTAGCTGGGACTACAGGCGCCCGCCACTACGCCCGGCTAACTTTTTGTATTTTTAGTAGAGACGGGGTTTCACCGTGTTAGCCATGATTGTCTCGATCTCCTGACCTCGTGATCCGCCCGCCTCGGCCTTCTAAAGTGCTGGGATTACAGGCGTGAGCCGCCGTGCCCGGCCCCAAATATATATTATCTAGACAACATGAAGGTTATTCAGTACTAGAAGAAACAGCTAAAAGAGTTCAAAATGGTTACCTTTTGGAAGAGAAACACGTAGGGAAGAGTAAGCCAGGAGACAGCTGTTTCTTCATTATAAGCCTGTTAGAACTATTTGGTCTCTTGTGCAAGTACCAGTTTGGTAAAATAAAAATTAAGGTCTTAATAAATTAAAATATGATAAAAACGTACTAATTTTTTAAGAATTATAAAAGGATAGTAAAAATAAAAATCAATTAAAAATTTAAGGCCAGGCGCAGTGGCTCACGCTTGTAATCCCAGCACTTTGGGAGGCCGAGGTGGGCAGATCACCTGAGATCAGGAGTTCGAGACCAGCCTGGCCAACATGGTGAAACCCTGTCTCTACTAAAAATACAAAAAATTAGCCAGGCGTGGTGGCACACACCTGTAATCCCAGCTATTTGGGAGGCTGAGGCAGGAGAATCGCTTGAACCCAGGAGGCAGAAGTTGCAGTGAGCTGAGATCATGCCACTGCACTCCATCCTGGGAAACAGAGTGAGACTCCATCTCAATAAAAAAAAAAGAAAGAAAAGAAAAAAGAAAAAAAAACTGTTAAGAAGAGATGGAAGATAGGTATCCAAAAATGTTCCACGATGTCAAAGATGACAAATGAAAACCAGTGGGACTTATTTATGTGATATAAAATATCTTGAATTATTCTGAGTGCTGTTATTTATTTTTATTTTTATGGGCTTGAAAAAACCCATAAGGGTTTTCCTAGGTTCATTTACAGCATCAATCACTTTTTGCAAAAAAGGCAGTGGGTTTCAGCTCGTATTCCTCCGAGCTGTGGGATGATGGAGACACCTCTAAGCCACCTGAAGGATTTCGTCCAGGGGAGGCAAAGCAAGTCAGGTCCTGGGCACCTCCTCTTTCACCAGGATAGCTCTCCTTTTATCTGGTTTACATGCTTTTTTTTCCAAGCTGGAGTCTCACTATGTTGCCAGGCTGGTCTCAGATTCCTGAGCTCAAGGGATCTTCCTACTTCAGCCTCTTGAGAAGCTGGGACAACAGGTGTGTACCACCGTGCCCAGCTCACATTCCTATTCTTCACAGGATTTCTCATGAATGGGGACCTCTGCTGGTAAAAGAAAATCTGGAAACCACTGCCAGAGTTTTAAGTCCTGCCATGGCTTCTGTTTGAGGAAGGCTTCTATACTTAAATTCAGAAATAATCGCAGCTCACACCATCTCTAGTCACCAAGTTTTTTTTTTTTTTTTTTTTTTTTTTGAGACAGAGTCTCTCTCTGTCACCCAGGCTGGAGTGCAGTGGCGCAATCTCGGCTCACTGCAAGCTCCGCCTCCCATGTTCACGCTATTCTCCTGCCTCAGCCTCCCGAGTAGCTGGGACTACAGGCGCCCCGCCAACACGCCTGGCTAATTTTTTGTATTTTTTAGTAGAGACGGGGTTTCACCGTGTTAGCCAGGATGGTCTCGATCTCCTGACCTCATGATCCACCCGCCTCGGCCTCCCATAGTGCTGGGATTACAGGCATGAGCCACCGCGCCCAGCCTAGTCACCAAGCTCTTTATTTGGACAAGTTGTGCTAGGTGAGGAGGAGGGGCTGGAGATCTGATCCACTCAACACTGGCTCAGCAGCAGCCATAGCAGGTCAGGTGCCTTGAGTTTTGGTGCTGTGGTCTCCTTTGCAGGCAGGCTCAAGGGATCCCATGATGGATAAATGAGTGGCTGAGGGTTCCTTGGCTCTGTGGCCCACCCACTAGTCACATCATCAGGACTCTCATGCATCCTTTGTCAGTGAAACTTTATTGACCCCACAGTGGGCCAGGCACTGGGAAAGAGCTGCAGATCCCACAGTAAAGAGGGGCACGCACCCGACTTCATGTTGGGCCAGCTAGCTGAGGACACACGCTGGTCCACGGGCACTCACAGGACATGGCCGAGCCATAGATCTTTCATCCACCCCACCCCTAGCCTCCCTCCACCTTTCTGTGCCCTGCCCTCTACCATGGAAGCCTGACCTTCATGGACCCCATTGGCAGGCTCCCCAGGCCCCTGGCTTCCGTGTGGGTTTTGCCAGCAGATCTGAGAAGGCAAGACAGTCAGTTACGGTATTTATTTCCTTAGCTTAAATGGAGGTCACTGATCCTATGTGATTCCTTCCAGATTCTGACAACCCCTCCCTCCCTTTGTTTCTCTGGGCCCAGAGGTGGTAACCGACCAGGGGTTATCACATCATTCCCTGTAATTCCCCAACCACACTTCCCTAGAGTCATCCAATTTGAACATGCCATCTATTTCCTGTTGGGTCCTTGACCCCAACAACTCCGACAAGTGCAATGTCAGGACAGACACAGAGCATAGCATTGCATAGGGTATATCTTGTAATGAGGGTGTGGGCAGGAAGTTGTGTGAGACAAGAATGATGGGATATATTTGTTGTGTCCTCATTTGATTGGCTGAGGTTACATTAATAGTCATCTTGTGGCTTAAAAGTCCACGAGCAAGGCGGGGCGCGGTGCCTCACGCCTGTAATTCTAGCACTTTGGGAGGCCAAGGCAAGGAGATCACTTGAGGTCAGGAGTTCAGAGACCAGCCTGGCTAACATGGTGAAACCCCGTCTCTACTAAAAATAGAAAAATTAGCTGGGTGTGGTGGTGGGAGCCTAGGGAGCCTATAGTCCCAGCTACTTGGGGAGGCTGAGGCACGAGAATTGCTTGAACCCGGGAGGTGGAGGTTGCAGTGAGCCGGGATCGCAACACTGCATGCCAGCCTGGGCCATAGAGCGAGATTCAGTCTCAAGAAAAAAAAAAAAAAGTCCACGAGCAATTGGGATTGTCTAAAGCAGGGGTAGGTAAACTACTGCCTGGGCCAAATCTGGCTGTTTTTGTAAATAAAGTTTTTTTTGTTTTTATTTGAGATGGAGTTTTGCTCCTGTTGCCCAGGCTGGGGTGCAATGGCGCAACCTTGGCTCACTGCAACCTCCACCTCCCGGGTTCAAGCTATTCTCCTGCCTCAGCCTCCTGAGTAGCTGGGATTACAGGCATGCGCCACCACGCCTGGCTAATTTTATATTTTTAGTAGAGACAGGGTTTCACCCTGTTGGTCAGGCTGGTCTCGAACTCCTGACCTCAGGTGATCCGCCGGCCTCGGCCTCCCAAAGTGCTGGGATTACAGGCTTGAGCCACCGTGCCCCCCTGTAAATAAAGTTTTATTGGAACACAGCCACACCCCTCCATTTACACATTATCCAGGGCTGCTGTTGCACCACACCTGCAGAGTTGAGTAGCTGTGACAGACTGTCTGGCCTCCAAAGCCTAAAATATTCACCATCTGGTTCTCTACAGAAGAGGTTGGCTGATCTCAGGTCTAAGGCAGCAGTTCTGGTCCATGGGATTTGGGGGGTACCCAAGACCCTTTCAGGAGGCCTATAAGGTTGAAATTATTTTTCTAATAAAAGTAAGACATTATTTACCTTTTTTGACTGTGTTGTCATTTGATAGTGCAATGGCCATGGTGAGTAAAACTGCTGCTACTTTATCATAAATCAAGGCAGCACTGTTAAGTTGTTCTGGCAATTATATTCTTCACACACTCCCAGTAAAAAAAAGGAAAAAGGCCAACTTCACTGAAGAATGTTCTTGATGAAGCAGTACAAATTATTAATTTTATTAAATATCATCACTTGAAATGAGACCATGTCCTTTGCAGGGACATAGATGGAACTGGAAGCCATTATCCTCAAGAAACTAAGGCAGGAACAGAAAACTAAACACGGCATGTTCTCACTTATAAGTGGGAGCTGAACAATGAGAACACAGGGACACAGGGAGGGGAACAACATTCACTGGGGCCTGTTGGAGGGGGTGGGCAGGTGGAGGGAGAGCATCAGGATAAATAGCCAATGCATGCTAGGCTTAATACCTCGGTGATGGGTTGATGGGTGCAGCAAACCACCATGGCACACGTGTACCTATGTAGCAAACCTGTACGTCCTGCACGTGTATCCCAGAATTTAAAATAAAATGAAATTAAATGTTTTAAAAAACTCATCCCTTCAACACGTGCTTTATTTTTTCTTTTTATTTATCTATTTATGTATTTATTTATTTTGAGACGAAGTCTTGCTCTTGTCACCCAGGCTGGAGTGCAATGGCATGATCTCAGCTCACTGCAACCTCCGCCTCCTGGGTTCAAGCGATTCTCCTGCCTCAGCCTCCCGAGTAGCTGGGATTACAGGTGCGTGCCACCACGCCTGGCTAGTTTTTGTATTTTTAGTAGAGATGGGGTTTCACCATGTTGGCAAGGCTGGTCTCGAACTCCTGACCTCAGGTGATCTGCCTGCCTCAGCCTTCCAAAGTGCTGGGATTACAGGTGTGAGCTACCGTGCCCGGCCTTTATTTTATTTATTTATTTATTTATTTATTTATTTATTTTGAGACAGAGTCTCACTGTGTCACCCACGCTGGGGTACAGTGGCACGATCTTGGTTCACTGCAACCTCTGCCTCCCAGGTTCAAATGATTCTCCTGCCTTAGCCTCCCGAGTAGCTGGGATTACAGGCGTGTGCCACCATGCCCGGCTAATTTTTTTGTAATTTTAGTAGAGACGGGGTTTCACCATGTTGGCCAGGCTGGTCTGGAACCCCTGACCTCAGGTGAGCCGCCCACCTCAGCCTCGCAAAGTGCTGAGATGACAGGCATGAGCCACCATGCCTGGCTGAACACATGCTTTCTCAATATTCTGTGTGACAAAATGAGAAATATGTGTAAAGCACTCCTTCTCCATCCATAGTTGTCTCAAAGAAAGGCAGTTCGACGATTGTTTGAATTTTGAGCTAAATTAGCCACTTTTTTCATGAAACATCATTTTTATTTGAAAGGTGGGTTAGCAGATAAACTATGGCTATTTAGATACCAGTACTTGAACAAACATTTTCTTGAAAATGAATAAAGTGAGCTTGACAGTTCAAGGAAAACTACTGACAGTATTTGATGCCAATGACAACATTTAGGCATTCATGTGAAAATTAGAATTTTGGAAAACTTGTGTCTGCTCCCGTGAGCTTGACAGCTTCTCAATACTTAAAATACGTTTCCAATGATATCAGTGATGATATTAATAAATGTGAGTTTTGATATTGTATAATATAATGAAATGTGTCAACATTTGGAAGATCTGCATATCACAGTCAATATTTTCCAAATACTAATGTATGATACTCCCAAAACATGCATGATTAAATATTTCTACAATGTGCAAGATAGACGAATTGATTTTAATGTAATCAGCTATGAACATTCATTGATATGGTTTCAGATTCCTCATTATGAAGAACCTTTAAGAAACTACTACTTGGGCCAGGAGTGGTGGCTCACACCTGTAATCCCAGCACTTTGGTCTGTAATCCCAGCCAAGGCAGGAGGATCACTTGAGGCCAGGAATTTGAGACAAGCCTGGACAACATGGTGAAACCCCGTCTCTACTAAAAATACAAAAATTAGCTGGGTGTGGTGGCACACGCCTGTAATTCCAGCTACTTGGGAGGCTGAGGCATGAGAATCACTTGAACCCGGGAGGCAGAGGTGGCAGTGAGCTGAGATCACGCCACTGCACTCCAGCCTGGGTGACAGAGTGAGACTCCATCTGAAAAACAAACAAACAAAACTAGTACTTGTTGAGTTTTGGTGTTGTGTCGAAGTATAGCCACAATTATATAAAAAGGCTATTAAAATACTTCTCCATTTCTAACTTCATATTTAAGTGAGGCTGGATTTTCTTGATATACATCAGCCAAAACAACATATTCCAACAGATCAAATACAGAAATGAATGTGATTAAGCCAGACATTAAAGACAATTGCAAAAATGTAAAGCAATGCTACTCTTCCTACCAAGTATATTTTTTGTTTTTTTTTTTTAATTATTCAAGACCAAGTCTCACTCTGTTGCCCAGGCTGGAGTGCAGTGGTGTGATCTCAGCTCACTGCAACTTCCACCTCCCGAGTTCAAGTGATTCTTGTGCCTCAGCCTCCCAAGTAGCTGGGACTACAGGCATAAGCCACCAGGCCTGGCTAATTTTTTGTATTTTTAGTAGAGATGGGGTTTCACCATATTGGCCAGGCTGTTCTCGAACTCCTGACTTCAAGTGATCTGCCTGCCTCAGCCTCCCAAAGTGCTGGGATTACAGGCGTGAGCCACTGTGCCCGGCCCCAAGTGTGTTTTGTTTGGGAAAATATTGTTATTTTCATTGTTACAAGTTTTTGAGACAGGATCTCGCTGTTTCCCAGGCTGGAGTGCAGTGGTGTGATCATAGCTCACTGTAGCCTTGACTTCCTGGGCTCAAGCAATCCTCCCATCACTGTAATTTTTAAGTGAATAAATATTTTAACATTTTATCACGTTTAATTTTAATACAATAAGTCTTGATAGATATAACCCACATAGAAGAAAAGCTCTTTGGGGGCCTCAGTAATTTTTAAGGGTGCAAAGGGTTCCTGAGACCAATTCATCTGAGAGTTTCCAATCTGAGATAGGGAATGTGGAAGTCTTTGTTACTGAGCAATGGGCTCACTTTCTGACGTGCATGGAAGCCAATCCTACGGCACTGGCTTTTGAGGAAAGTAAAAGGTTTATTATGAGTTGGCTGGCAAGGAAGGAGACAGGAGGCAATGCTCAAATCTGTCTCCCTGCTCTGGGGAGTGGGGTCAAGCTTTTATGACATTTTTAACTCAGTCCAGGTGATGCCACTGCAGCCGGTCTGCCAGGCTGGTGGTGCTAACCATCAGGAGGGTAAAGCGTTTTCCCATTGCGCATGCCTGAGCTACATGACTTTCAATTTTGGCTCTGCACCATAGCGGCAGCTTAAGCAGTGGTTAATTGGTTTGAGCTGGTCCTGTGGTTACAGCTGTAGACATTCAGAAGGCACTTGGGACACGGAGACACTAGGCAGACCACAAACGTTAGGGCAGGAAATGATTTTGCACATCACTAGAGCTGGGGTTTTGTGTTACTAAGTATGGTGCCAAGCCTTGACAGTGGTTGTCTAGTTTCAATGACCCTCTGACATTGGTACTATTTAACTTGCCACTCTCAAATGAGGAAAGTGAGACACAGATCTCAGTTCACGCAGCTGGTAACTGGAGTGGGGACTCGAAGACTGCCAGTGGCTTTAGATCCAGTGTTCTCGCCGTGCTCAGGCTGCCCTGGACACACACCCATTCCCCAATACACTGAGGTGGCTCATGAAGATCCTAACTCACTGTTTATCGCCCTACAAATGCTGAAGGACCTGCACTGTAGCCCTTCCTCAGTCATCCTTGGTCATGCTGAAGGAGTTCCAACACAAGCGAAGACAAGGACGGTCAAAGAGTTCACAATTCTCTCCAACAGGAAAATGGAAATAACCGCTTAGTTCCTTATGAGTTTCCCACTTAACTCACAAGTTACAACTGACAGCTGCCTTCAGTACTGGTATCGCCATTTAGTGCCCTGGATGGCACTCCGGGTTCTCCTCAGCAGGGTCTTTCCTCGCTGCATGGATAAGACAGCTGTTTACAGATATCTACGATCATAGGTTTGGTCTTTTTCACGGGAAAGATTTAGGAGTGCTGGAAACTAATTTTATGTCAGATGTGTCCTGTTGAAGTAATCCAAAGGCTAGAATGAGAGTTTTATTGAAGAAGGTGAAAGGTAGAACCAGTTTTATGCCTAAAACTCCACAAAAGAAAGATTCATCCTTTTAAAAAGAAACCCTTATTGGCTGGGCACAGAGCCCTCAGCCTGTAATCCCAGCACTTTGGGAGACCAAGGCGGGCGGATCACTTGAGGTCAGGAGTTTGAGACCAGCCTGGCCAACATGGTGAAACTCCTTTTCTACTAAAAATACAAAAATTAGCTCGGTGTGGTGGTGCCTATAATTCCAGCTACTTGGGAGGCTGAGGCAGGAGAACTGCTTGAACCCAGAAGGTGGAGGTTGCAGTGAGCCAAGATGGTGCCATCGCACTCAAGGCTAGACAACAGTGAGACTCCATCTCAGAAAACAAACCAACAAACCAAAAAAAAGACCCCTTCCTCCCCATTCTCAACATATTTAAGAAGAGGCAAGGGATCCCAAGCAAGGCCCCCGTCCTTGTGCTATCAATCTCCTGCCCACAGAGGAAAGGTTTTCTCTGTAACCCAGGTGAGGACACCAAAGCTGAGAAGGGTCAATGTATTAGTCCATTTTCATGCTACTGATAAAGACATACCTGAGACTGAGCAATTTACAAAAGAAAGAGGTTTAATAGACACAGTTTCATGTCACTGGGGAGGCCTCACAATCATTGCAGAAAGTGAAAGGCAGGTCTCACATGGCAGCAGGCAAGGGAAGAGGACTTGTGCAGGAAAACTCCTCTTTATAAAACCATCAGATCTCGTGAGACTTATTCACTATCATGAGAATGGCATGGGAAAGACCCACCCCCATGATTCAGTTGCCTCCCACTGGGTCCCTCCCACAACACATGGGAATTGTATTGTGGGAGCTACAATTCAAGATGAGATATGGGTGGGGACAAGCCAAACCGTATCAGTCAACAACTGTTAAAGCAAACTAAATATGGCCTGAGAAGGACTCCATATTTGAGTCCTTGTGGATGAACTGTAACCTAGATTAACAGGCAGACAAAAGTGAAAACCTAACTTAGTAGTATGCACCTGTAACAATAGCTAAGTCTTGGCCAATCCCAATGGCCGTACTTCAACCATTCAGACACTGCTGAGTGTTCAAACTGTGTTCAAATAAGGCATACCCCAAGCTTTAACCAATCCAGCCATTCTGTATCTCACTTCCAATTTCTTTTTCTTTTTTCTTTACTTTTCTCTTTTTTTCTTGAGATGGAGTTTCACTCTTGTTGCCCAGGCTGGAGTGGAATGGTGTGATCTCAGCTCATTGAAACCTCTGCCTCCCAGGCTTCGTGCAATTCTCCTGCCTCAGCCTCCCAAGTAGCTGGGATTACAGGTGCACACCTCCATGCCCGGCTAATTTTTTTGTATTTTCAGTAGAGATGGGGTTTCACTATATTGGTCAGCTGGTCTCAAACTCCTGAACTCAGGTGATCCACCCATCTCAGCCTCCCAAAGTGCTGGGATTATAGGCGTGAGCCACAGCGTCTGGCCCTCACTTCCAATTTCTGTATGTCATTTCCCTATTTTTGGTCTATAAATCTTCTTCCGCCTCATGGCTGCACTGGAATCTCTGTGAATCTGCTGTGATTGTGGGGGCTGCCTGATTTGTGCATTGGTCATTGCTCAGTTAAACTCCTTTAAATATAATTTGGCTGAACTTTTTCTTTTATCACAACTTGCCCACATTTACAAAGCAGGCTCCTCCTCATGCAGTCTGAACCCTCCTGGATGGCAGGGACAGGGTCTCTTTCCCTTTGCATCCGCAGGGCCAGTGCAGGCCCAGCACACAAGAGACTCGGCAGATGTCTGTTCAGCCGCACCTAACTCTCAGGCCAGGGATACTGACCAGCTAAGTCTGATTCTGAAGCCTGTGCTTACCTCCCTGGCTTCCTCATACTCTTAACAGGATTGGGCAAGTCTTTTGAATGCCTTGAATGGGTAAGTTAAAGAGATCCCAGGCCAGGCGCGGTGGCTCATGCCTGTAATCCCAACACTATGGGAGGCTGAGGCGGGCAGATCACCTGAGTTCAGGAGTTCAAGACCAGCCTGGCCAACATAGTGAAACCCCGTCTCTACTAAAAATACAAAAATTAGCCGGGCGTAGTGGTGGGTGCCTGTAATCCCTGCTAATTAGGAGGCTGAGGCAGGAGAATCTCTTGAACCTGGGGAACGGAGGTTGCAGTGAGCTGAGATTGTGCCACTGCCCTCCAGCCTGGGCAACAGAGTGAGACTCTGTCTCAAACAAAAAAAAAAAAAAAAAAGAAAGAAATCCCAGACAATTGATAATTGTATGGGGAATATAGGAGGGCCTCGGGGAGAAAAAGAGAGCTTTTGGATGCTAACATCTGCACAGGAAGGTGTGCCATTCCTCCAGTGGGCACAAAACCAAATGTTTCCACTGAAGCTGCCTCATTCTTCTTTGCCTCTCCCAATTTTCCTGAAAGAACCACTTGGGAGGGATGAGAAACAGACCAACCTCAAGAACCATTAGACAGCACCATGGGGAGAGTGAGAACGTTGGGCCTTGTGTTTGGTGGTGTTCCACATTGAGAGCGGATTGAAACTGCTGTCAACAGCCTGTGTCAATGAGCTAGAAGGGAGGGGGCTCAAATCTCAGAAGGGAGAATGCTGAAGCACATCTGGCATTTCCTTCAGTTTGGGAAACGAGGGAAATTTCAGAAAAGAACACATAGGCAGATGTCTGAGTTACAAAGGACAAATTCCAATCATCAACTTACATGGATGCTTTACCTCTTTTAATACTTTTTTTCATTCTAAAAATAATACATGTGTGTTTGGAAATCACATGAACATAAAAAAAGTACCTAAAGACAACCATTATTAACAACTTTAAGTATGTATGTGTGCATACACTTTATACAATACATAAAGTGTGTATATACATATGGTATACACACATATAATATTACATATATTTTATTTATTTATTTTTGAGACAGGGTCTTCTTCTGTCACCCAAGCTGGAGTGTAGTGATGCAATCATGGCTCACTGCAACCTCGACCTTCTGGGTTCAAACGATCCTCCCACCTCAGCTTCCTGAGTAGCTGGGACTACAGGCATGCACCACCATGCCCAGCTTTTTTTTTTTTTTTTTTTTTTTTGGTAGAGACATGGTCTTGCTATGTTGCCCAGGTTGGTCTTGGACTCCTGGGCTCAAGTGATCCTCCCACCTTGGCCTCCCAAAGTGCTGGGATTACACGTGTGAGTCACTGCACCTGTCCTATTTTACTTTTTGCGTGTAGCATTATGCCATAGGAATGTTGCTAATTTTTTTAAACTTTTTATTTTGAAATTGTCACAGATTCACAGGAAGTTAATTTTTAAATATATGGCAAGTCCCCATGTACTCTGCACCCAGCTCCCTCAATGGTAAGATCTTGTGGAACTACGGTTCAGTCTCAACCAGGAAGCACGCAGGGTTACAGTGCACATCCCTGTAGCCACCATCACAATCAAGATACAGGACTGCTCCCTCACCCCAAGGCTCCCTCATGCCACCTACTTCCTCTCTGCCCCCCACCATCCGTAACCTCTGCCAACCACGAATCTATTTTCTATCTCCAAACTTTTGTTATTTCAAGAACGTTAAGTGATGGAATAATATAGTATGTGACCTTTTGAGATTGTCTTTTTTACACTCAGCATAATTCCCTTGAGACTCATCCAAGTTACACATATCGATGGTCCATTCCTTTTTTGTTGTTGAGTAGTATTCTATGGTATGGATTTATAATATTTATCTTAAATAGTTAGTAAACAACATTTTTAATGACTGCATGATGTTCCCATGGGTGGAGATGTCATCGGTTTCCTAACAATTCTATTATTGTTGGACATTTAGATTGTTGCTGGTAAAAATAAATGCTACTGAAAATCTTGTATACAAGGGTTTCCTGATTCTGATTTCTTTAAGATAGATTTTTTTAGAAGTGGAATAACTTAGACAAAGGATATTGACAATTTTCAGACTCTTAACGCCTGTTACCAAATTAATTTTGCAAAAGATTGTACAAATGTATATAGGTCCACCAGCAATATAGAGGCTGAGGTAAGAGGTTTTCCTAAATTATAATACAAGCTGAATAATAAATATGTAGCTTGCTTTCTGCAAAAGCCAACTCAATATCCATAGGAAAAACCAATGAGCCTTATTATACCCATGATGTACTTGGTCTGGGTATGTATGATCTAAAGTTACTTGATATCATGCTGCCCTTTTGGTGAGCAACATGATTGGAGGCAAACTGTGGCATACATGCATAGTACAATGGTGGTCTCTTGGCTGCATTTGTGTTGGCTGTCTGTGCTAGGGCTGCCATAACAAAATACCACAGACGAGGTGGCTAATACAACAGACATTTATGTTCTCATAGTTCTGGAGCTGGAAGTCCAAGATTAAGGTGCCAGTGGGGTTGATTCCTCTGAGACCTGTCTGGCTTGCAGATACCCAACTTCTCCCTGTGTTTTCTTTTTTTATTCTTTTTTTTTTTTTTTTTTTTTTTGAGATGGAGTCTCACTCTGTCGCCCAGGCTGGAGTGCAGTGGTGTGATCTTGGCTCACTGCTAGCTCTGCCTCCCGGGTTCACGCCATTCTCCTGCCTCAGCTTCCCGAGTAGCTAGGACTACAGATGCCTGCCACCACAACCAGCTAATTTTTTTTTGTATTTTTTAGTAGAGACAGGATTTCACCATGTTAGCCAGGATGGTCTCGATCTCTTGACCTCATAATCTGCCCACCTCGGCCTCCCAAAGTGCTGGGATTACAGGCATGAGTCACCAAGCCCGGCCCTCCCTGTGTTTTCACACCATGTCCCTCCAAGCATGTATTAGTCCATTCGCATGCTGCTATAAAGAAATACACATGACTGGGTCATTTATAAAGAAAAAAGGTGGAATTGACTCACAGTTCTACATGGCTGCGGAAGCCTCAGGAAACTTACAATCATGGTGGAAGGGGAAGCAAATATGTCCTTCTTCACATGATGGCAGGAAGGAGAACAATGAGTGCCAAGCAAAGGGGGAAGCCCCTTATGAAATGATCAGATCTTGTGAGATCTCACTATCATGAAAACAGGATGGGGGAAAACTGCCCCCATGATTCAATTATCTCCACCTGATCCCTCCCATGACATGTGGGGATTATGGGAACTACAATTCAAGATGAGATTTGAGCGAGGACAGAGCCAAACCATATCAATCCATGAATTCCCCTTGTGTCTCTCTGTGATTCCTATCTCCTCTTCTTATGACACCAGTCAGATTGGATTACAACCCACCCTCAGGTCTCATTTTAACTTAAAGACCCTATCACCAAATACAACACATTTGCAGGTACTAGGCATTAGGACTTTAACATTTGCATTTTGGGTGGAACACAATTCAGCCCATAACAGAAGGTGTTCACTGCTAGAAAAGAAGGAAAAGTGAGAGAGTCAAAAGAGTTCAGATCTAGGAGGATAGGTGACTGGCCTGGTTGGTGCAGGCCACTGACATGTTGAGCCCACCCAATGGCAACACCTACCTGGGAGCTCCATCTTCAGGGTTGACCAGCAGTTTAAGTGAAATCAGCTAATTAGGAACCTTGCTTTTATTGTTAGTGATATTAATCAGCTAAACTCATGAGTGAAAACTGAATTCTGAAGCTATCTCATCCACGTAGTACAAAGATCTCTGAATATAGACATGGACATTCCTTCTAGTATCAGCAGTTAAAAACTTCTGGCCAAAGATGCTACTGTCTTAGCTGCATTTGTCCAGTGTCATAAGCAGTCCCATGCTCAGCACAGGACATATTGGTAGCTTTAGTACCTGGAGCCAGCTGAGAAAATTGGCCAACCCTCTAGGCAACCATAATCCAGAGCCAAGCCTGAGACAGCCTGAAAACTTGTCAGGGTCCTTGACCAATGGAGTGGACTGGACTCAGTACCATCTTTTCTTGAAAAAGGCAATGGTTTTCAACAGAGTTGGGTGTTATTCTTCTTAGCCCCAGAAGTCCACCGGGGCCTAGAAAGGGGACATTGAAAATAAGGATTTAGGGTTTGTGGTTCAGCTGATAGAAGTTGCTGCAACATGCTTCACTGGAAATCAGCTATGTTGGTGGATTCCAGTGAGCAAAGGTTACAAGTCAGGAAAAATGAGCTGGCTGTTAAGGTATTTAGCTGTAGTATCAGCAACCAGACATGCTTAGCATTGTTTGGACCCACACTCCGAACTGATGTGGCTCCAGTCCCTTTAAGTGGCTGGCTTTTATACCATATTACATATATCTCACAAAGCCCTCTCACGGCATGGGAGAAAATATTCATAGTACCTATATCTGAAAGAGGAGTTATCCCTAGAATATATAAAGAATTCCTACAAATCAGTAAGAAAGCAAATACAAAAATGGGCAAGAGACTTCAGTGGGAACAAAAAGAATACCAAATGTCCAATAACATGAAAAAGTGCTCAACTTCATTAGTTATTAGAGAAGTAAAAATTAAAAGCACAATGCTATACCACTACACACCAACCAGAATGCTTAAAAAGTATTAATAGTTAGTGGCTATGTGAATCAATCCATATTCTTATGCACTGCCCGGAGTGGGGTGGAGTATAAGTTTGTACAACCATTTGGGAAAGTCTTTGCCAGTACTTACTCAAGCTGAACATGCAAGTATCCTATGACCTAGCAATTCTACTCCCAGCAAGAAAAATGCTTATGTCTACAAAAAAGAGCTTTACTTGAATATTCATAGCTCCTCTATTCATTAGAGCCCCACATTGAAAATTATCTAAATACCTGTCAGTAATAACATGGGTAGAGAAATTCTTGTAGACTCACTCACACAATGGACTACTGAATCTGTTGTGCCACAAACTGGGTGGCTTTAAAAAAAAATGTACTCTCCCACACTTCTAGAGGCTAGAAGTTTGAAATTAAGGTGTAGTCAGTGTCGTGCTCTAGGCCTCTAGGGCAAGAACCTTCCTTGCCTTTTCCAGCTTCTTGTAACCCAGGTGTTCCCTGGCTTGTGGCAGCATCACTTCAGTCTCAGCCTCCAACATCATGTGGAGTGTGTAACTTTTGGATATGAGCTGTCTGTTTAGTTGCTTCCTCCTCCTCCTTCTTTCTTTCCTTCCTTCCTTTTTTCTTTCTTTCTTTGGCTTAAGCAAGAGAAATGTATTGTCTCACAGTTCTGGAGGCTGGGAGTCCAAGATCAAGGTGTTGGTAGGGTTGGTTTCTCCTGAGGCCTCTCTCCTTGGCTTGCAGATGGCTGCCTTCTCACTGTGTCCTCACATGGTCTTCCTTCTGTGCATGCATGACCCTGATGTCTCTCTGTCTGTTCTAATCTGCTCTTCTTATAAGGACACCAGTCAGATAAGAATAGGGCCCACCTCCACCAATGGCCTCATTTTAACTGAAATACCTCTTTGGGTATTTAAGCTGAAGTCCTTATCTTCAAAAACAGTCACATTCTGTGGTATAGGGGGTGAGGGTTCCAATTATAAATGTTGGCGGGGGACATAATTCAGTCCATGACTCTCCATTCTCTGAATCCCCAAAATTAATGTCCTTCTCACATGGAAAATACATTTACCCCCATCCCAATGCCCCAAAAATCTTAACCTATTCCAGCATCAATTTCAAGTTCAAAGTCTCACCTAAATATCATCTAAATCAGGTATGAGTGAGACTCGAGGTTCAATTGTCTTTTTTACTTTCATTTTGAGCTTCCCAGGATCCTTGCAGCCAATTGAAGGGACAATGAAACATTTCCTTGCCTCATACCAAAGTTATTGCTTAAATATCAAGCTACCTTTGAAAGGGGAATCCCTTGTTAGTAACGGCCAGGAAAGAGAATGTTAGAAGAAAAGCATGAGAATTTCTACAAAACGGTGAAAGCAGAACAACGAAGCAAACATCAGGCAAGATTATAGCTTAGGTACTGAAGTGGTTACGTTGTTTGGGATATATACCCTGGGGTTCGTTTTCACGTGCCAGGAAAATTTAGGACACAAACACCACACCGAGTTTAGGAGCGGAGGCTTAATAGGTAGAAGAAAGAAAGAGAAACAGCTTCCTCTGTAGAGGAAGGGGTCTCGGAGTGGAAAAGATCTGCTGGTAGTGAATGCACTGAGTTTTATTGTCCACTTTGATGAGGCGGTGTCTGATTTACATAGGGTTCATAGATTGGTTCAATCAGGTATGACATTTACATAGTATGTGGGGAAGGCTGGTCGCCCCACCCTAATCTTCTTATGCAAATGAGCTTTCCAGTTGATCAGTGTCTTGTCTGCCCCTTTACAGTACATGTGACTGGAAGAGAATGGAAGATGGAGCTGCCATCTTGAAAATGTCTAGTCCTGAGCCAGCATGGTGGTTCATGCCTGTAACCCCAGCACTTTGGGAGGCCGAGGCAGGCAGATCACGAGGTCAAGAGATTGAGATCATCCTGGCCAACATGGTGAAACCCTGTCTCTACTAAAAATACAAAAAATTAGCTGGGCATGGTTGCACGTGCCTGTAGTCCCAGCTACTTGGGAGGCTGAGGCAGGAGAATTGCTTGAACCCGGGAGGCGGAGGTTGCAGTGAGCTGGGATCATGCCACTGCACTCCTTCTCAAAAAAGAAAAAAAAAAAAAAAGAGAGAGAAAATGTCTAGTCCTTAGTTCCTGCCGGCATTCACCCGTGCAAGCTCCCAGCTTGCAGGCTGCTCTTTGTTAGAAAATGATTTAGGACTGCTTGGCCAGGTGTGGTGGCTCATGCCTGTTATCCCAGCACTTTGGGAGGCCGAGGCAGGCAGATCACCTGAGGTTGGGAGTTCAAGACCAGCCTGACCAACATGGTGAAACTCCGTCTCTACTAAAATATAAAACATTAGCTGGGCATGGTGGTGCACATCTGTAATCCCAACTACTCTGGAGGCTGAGGTAGGAGAATCACTTGAACCTGGGAGGCGGAGGTTGCAGTGAGCTGACATTGCGCCACTGCACTCCAAAAAAGTCTCACTGAGGACTCCCATACCCTTGCTATCTGCCTAAGTGATTTATTCTTAACTCCTATATCAGTACAAAAGCCAAATATCCAGTAACCTCAGCTACCTGCAACTCAGGAAGGGATCAACGAATGAGCAGCAAAGTTTCTCAAGCAGCCAAATGAGTGTCACAAAATTAAGTTTCTATCAACCATGAATCTTTTCTGACTTCATCACTCTTGTCTGAACAATATCCTAAAAAGTAAGATGCTCAGCCCTCTCAGCTTTGAAGAGCAAACTGTGAGGTTTGCAACAACCTAACAGGAATGAAAGACCTAGAAAAACTATAAAAGGTAGACATAAGAATTCAAAAGGCATAGCAATCCAGAGGTCACTTTTCTATAGCAAAGCTCTCTGTGCTTTACTGGCTTCATTTGTAGCAGGACAAGCCGTGGACAAAACCCCTCAGACACCGGGTTAAAGAAGGAAGTGGCTTTATTTGGCCAGGAGTGTTGGCAGACTTGCGTCTCAAGAACCAAGCTCCCCGAGGAAAGAGTTCCTGGCCCTTTTAAGGGCTTACAGCTCTAAGGGGTCCACATGACAGGGTCGTGATAGATTGAGCAAGCATGGGGTACGTGACTAGGTGGGGGTAAGCAAGGCAAGCATTTCTCCATACCATTGTCTGTGATCTATAAATAGCACAAGTGATTAGGGTGGGGTTAATCTTTAGCCTACAGGCCTGGCCAGTGGCCCCGATCAGTCTGTTATTTTTCAGTTCTTACTTCCTCCTTTTCTTTGGAGACAGGAGACAGTAAGAGAAATGGCCTCTCTCCTCACATTTAGTGGGAGAATAGCATCTCTAAACCATCAAATTAATATCTATCTCCTAAACAGCTTTCAAAAAGCACATGACTTTGCCAGTTGCAGTGTCTGATGTCTGTAATCCTGGCTCTTTGGGAGGCCTAGGCGAGAAGATCACTTGGGCGCAGGAGTTGGAAACCAGCCTGGGTAACGTCAGAGGCGTTCAAACCAGAGTGACCCCATCTTGAATAAAGCCTGGGTAAAATGAACCTGACACCTATTGGACTCCATTCCCAGGAGGTTAAGGCATTCTAAGCCACAGGATGAAATAGGAGGTCAGTACAAGACACAGGTCACAAAGACCTTGCTGATAAAACAACATGTAGTAAAGAAGCTGGCCAAAACCCAGCAAAACCGAGAATGAGAGTGACCTCTGATCGTCCTCACTGCTCATTATGAGAGGTGAAGCCAGCTGGACTTATAGCTTTTCTATCAAAAATCCTTAACCCAGCAGGTTTCCTAACAGGGGATCTAAATCTTAATTAATTACCATAAAAAGGTCCGACCAGATCTAGGAGGAACTCCTTTCAGGACAGGAGGATAGATGGTTCCTCCCAGGTGATTAAGGGAAAAAGATACAATGGGTATTCAGTAAGTGATAAGGAAATTCTTGTAGAAGCAGAGTTAGGAAAAGTGCCTAATAATTGGTGTGCTCAAATGTGCAAGCTGTTTGCACTCAGCTGAACCTTAAAGTATTTACAGAATCATGAAGGAGCCATCTATACCAATTCTAAGAAAATATGTACTGAACGAGGTCTTATAAATAGCAAAGAATAATTGAAATCCCAAACTTACAAGGTTTTCAACAAAAGTAAAGTTTGCTAAAAGTTAACAGTGTAACATGTATTATCCTGACTTCTAATCTTGTGGAAATCAGACCCTATCCATGCCCCTCAAAGCTCAAGTACATCAGCACAGGGCCATACAACTAATACTCCTACTTATAGGGTTACGAATGGCTACTGCTACAGAAACCAGAAGAGCAGGTTTATCTATTTGATTATCCTATTACCAGACACTCTCAAAGGATTTCTCAGACAGTTTACAAGAAATAACAAAATCTATCCTCACTCTACAATCCCAAGTAGACTCTTTGGCAGCAGTGACTCTCCAAAACTGCCAAGGCCTAGACCTCCTCACTGCTGAGAAAGGAGGACTTTGCACCTTCTTAAGGGAAGAGTGTTGCTTTTACACTAACCAGTAAGGGATAGTATGAGATGCTGCCCAGAATTTACAGGAAAAGGCTTCTGAAATCAGACACCTTTCAAACTCTTATACCAACCTCTGGAGTTGGGCAACATGGCTTCTCCCCTTTCTAAGTCCCGTAACAGCCATATTGCTATTACTCGCCTTCGGGCCCTGTGTTCTTAACCTCTTTGTCAAATTTTTTCCTCCAGGATCAATGCCATCAAGCTACAGATGGTCTTACAAATGGAACCCTAAACGAGCTCAACTAACAACTTCTACTGAGGACCCCTGGACCAACCCACTGACCCTTTGGCTGGCCTAGAGAGTTCCCCTCTGGAGGACACTACTACTGCAGGGCCCCTTCTTTGCCCCTATCCAGCAGGAAGTAGCTAGAGTGGTCATCACCCAATTCCCAACAGGAGTTGGGGTGTCCTGTTTAGAGAGGGGATTGACAGGTGAAGCCAGCTGAACTTCTGGGTTGGGTGGGGACTTGGAGAACTTTTCTGTCTTATAAGAGGATTGTAAAATGCACCAATCAGCACTCTGTAGCTAGGATTGTAAAAAGCACCAATCAGTGCTCTGTGGCTACCTAGAGGTTTGTAAAATGGACCAATCAGCACTCTGTAAAATGGACCAATCAGCAGGACATGGGCAGGAACAAATAAGGGAATAAAAGCTGGCCACCCCAGCCAGCAACAGCAACCTACTCGGGTTCCCTTCCACGCTGTGGAAGCTTTGTTCTTTCACTCTTCATAATAAATCTTGCTGCTGCTCACTCTTTGGGTCCATGCAATTTTTAAGAGCTGTAACACTCACTGTGAAGGTCCATGGCTCCATTCTTGGTGTCAGTGAGACCACGAACCCACTGGAAGGAACCGACTCCAGACACAATTATATGCTAATTATAATGTATTAACATGCTAAAAGACACTTTCACCAGTGCCATGACAGTTTACAGATGCCATGGCAATGTCAGGAAGTTACCCTATATAGTCTAAAAAGGGGAGGAACCCTCACTTCTAAGAATTGTCCACCTGTTTTCCCGGAAAACTCATGAATAATCCACCCTTTGTTTAGCATATAATCAAGAAATAACCATAAAAATAGTACACCAGCAGCCCTCAGGGCTGCTCTGCCTATGGAGTAGCCATTCTTAATCCCTTTACTTTCCTAATAAACTTGCTTTCACTTTATGAATTTGCCTCAAATTCTTTCTTGCAAGAGACTCAAGAAACCTCTTGAGAGGTCTGGATGAGGACCCCTTTCCAGTAACAGTAACACGGTGAAACCCTGTCTTGACACAAAAGTACAAAAATTAGCCAGTGTGGTGGTGCATATCTATAGTCCCAGGTACTCAGGAGGCCGAGGTGGGAGGATTGCTTGAGCCTGGGAGGTCGAGGCTGCAGTGAGCCAAGATTGTGCCACTGCACTCCAGCCTGGGGTGACAAGTAAGACCCTGTTTCAGATTTTAAAAAGGTAGAAATAGGAAAAAGAAGAAGGAAGAAGGAAGGAGAAAGGAGGAAGGAGAAGGAGGGGAAGAAAAATATTTATAAGGACTGCCCCCACCCCCCGGCATGGTGGCTCATGCCTATAATCCAAGCACTTTAGGAGGCCAAGGTGGGCAGACTGCTTGAGCCTAGGAGTTTGAGACCAGCCTGGGCAACATGGTGAAACCCCATCTCTATACAAATATATAAATATAGATATAGATATAGATATAGATATAATTAGTCAGGCATGGTGGTATGTGCCTGCAGTCTCAGCTATCTGGGAGGCTGTGGTGGGAGTATTGCCTGAGCCTGGGAGATTGAGGCTACAGTGAGCCTCACTGTAGTGATTACACTACTGCACTCCCGCTTGGGCGACAGAGGGATACCCTGTCTCACAAAGAAATAAATAATAAAAAAGCTGTTTCAGGCCAGGCACACTGGCTCACACCTGTAGTCCCAGCACTTTGTGAGGTTGAGGTGAGCAGATCACCTGAGATCAGGAGTTCAAGACCAGCCTGGCCAACATGGTGAAACCCTGTCTGTACTAAAAATACAAAAAATTAGTTTGGCATGTGGAAGGAGACCCCCTGAAACTATTGCTACGGAATAAAAGATAAAATGCCCCTGATTATTGTAAATACAAAATTGCAGGCAGGATTGTGTAAAGACAATGCCAGGTTGGGCTGCCAGAATGAGCCAACAGCACGTGATGTGCTTCCCCCTGCAGAAAGCCTATAAACGGACATGCAGTCAGGGAGGTTTCACATCACCAAGATTCCTATTCCACAAAAGCAGATGTTCATAGCTCTGGGAATGGAATGCGACCCTTGTGGAGAGACTATATATGGACGCATAAGGGGAGCCTGTTCATATGGATAAGATAGTGCTATAAATACCCTCATCTTGCCACGGCTCTTCTAGGCCTCTTTAGTGTTAAGGCATGCTACCTTCTGAGAATTTCTGGTCTAACCAGTTGTCTAGCTTCATGTCCTGTTTCTATGGATTGTGTGAAATCAGCTTTTACTGCAACTGTTACTGCTGATTAATATCTTGCTAATCACAGGTTATGGAAAGACTGTGTTTCTGTTTTAAGGTTCTGTTAGAAATTACTGATGCACACACTATGTTGTAAATTCTTATCTCTGTATACTGTACTTCTGCATAGAGATGTTATGTTAAAGAACTACTTCATCTCCATGTGACCATCTCACCTCATAATCAAACGACTCTAAATCCCTCACTAACCTACCCCCGCCCTCACTAAACTTAATAATAAATGCTGGTATATCCAGTGCATTGGCGGCATTGCGGGACCAGAAGGCGGTGACCCCCCTGGACCCAGCTTTCACTATCTTGTGTGTGTCTATTATTTCTCAACCTGCCGATCCACCTGGGAACAAAGAGAGAGCCCCATTGCATTGTGGGCTGCTGGCCAGACCCCGCAATATCTGGCGCCCAATGTGGCCTTCTTTGTTCCTCGACTAAGTGCACTCCGAGTGCGGGATTGTGACGAGTAGTCTTCAGTCTTGATGGTAAGGTCTCTGGGTACACTTTTTCCAACTCTCCCCTCTTTTTGGGTTTTTTGACCGGTATTATTCCAGGGTTATTATGGGACAATCACAGTCTAAACACCAGGCTTATCTGTCTTTTATTAAACTTCTTCTTAAACAGGGTGGAATCAAGGCTGATTCCAATAACCTTATTCTCTTATTTCAGACTATTGAAAAATATTGTCCTTGGTTCCCTGACGAAGGTTCTATGGATCTGTTAGACTGGGATAGAGTTGGCACCACTCTCCACCAATTCATGAGAGATGGTGTTTTACTTCCTATTTCTGTTTGGGCTGACTAGGTTCTTATTCATGTCGCTTTACTTCCTTTTCAGTCTGGTGATCCTCTTCAACTGCCACAAGTTAACATGGATGGTGAGCTGCTCCCTTTACCGTGGGTAGCTGACCCCCCTACTAGTCTTCCTTCTGATGATGAGGAGGAATTCGATCTCTCCTTGTTTTCTCCCCAAGAGAAGGAACCTGGTGATGATCCCCTCCCTCCACCTCCTATCTTGGAACCTGTATATGTTAACTCTTCTTCTACCAAGCTGTTGCCCCCTCTGCCAGAGGAGGACGTGTGGCATTCATCTGAATGGCCCGTTTCTCATTCCTCTCATCCTTTCAGACCTCTCCCCTCTTCTAAGCCTACTGTTTCTTTCGACGCTCTGGGACCCCTTCTTTCAGAGGTTTGGAATCCTGCTTCCCCCCGGTCCATATCCCAGAACCCTCACTCTCCTTCTCTTCCTCTGCCCATGCACAATGGATGTGTGAGTCACCTGTTTGGGTAGAGCAGTGGCCGCTTTCCAAACACAAGTTGGAGGCTTTAACTGAAATTGTTAATGATTTACTACAAGCAAACACTACCGAGCCCTCCTGGTCTCCATGGAACTCACCTGTGTTTGTTGTACAAAAGAAGTCAGGAAAATGGAGGACGGTAACAGACTTAAGAGCTGTTAATACAGTTATTAAACCTATGGGGGCATTACAACCCAGTATGCCCTCCCCCTCCGTGATTCCTGAGGCATGGCCTTTAATTATCATTGACCTTAAGGACTGCTTTTTTCATATTCCTTTAGACAAGTCAGACTGTGAAAAATTTGCTTTCACTACACCTTCCATTAACAATTCAGCTTCTGCAGCTAGATATCAATGGAAAGTTTTACCTCAAGGAATAATTAACAGTCCTACTATTTGTCAGTTGTTTGTCAGTACTGTGTTACAACCTATCCAACAGACTTTTAAAAATAATTACATTCTTCATTATACGGATGATATACTGACTGCTGCTCCCACTAAAGATGAATTAATTCAATGTTTTACCTCTTTAAAATTAGCTGTTGCCAATGCAGGACTCCACATCGCTCCTGATAAAATTCAACCAGCCACTCCTTTTCTGTACTTAGGAATGCAGCTAGAAGCTCTCTCCATTAAGCCCCAAAAAGTCCAACTTCATACTGACAATTTAAACACCTTAAATGATTTTCAGAAATTACCAGGTGACATCAATTATCTCAGACCAACCCTAGGCGTCCCTACTTATGCATTATCTCACCTATTTGTTACTTTATCGGGAGATACAGATTTAAAGAGTCCTCGCTCCCTATCTGAACCAGCAAAACAAGAGCTGTCTTTTGTAGAACAAAGAGAGAGGTACAAGTCTCTCGTATTCACCCAAATTTGTCTTTACAATTTTTAGTTTTTCCTTCCATCCACTCTCCTACGGGACTTATAGCACAAAATGATTCTCTAGTTGAATGGGTATTTCTTCTTAATTCAGCCTCTAAAACTCTTTCAATATATCTTGATCAAATGGCCACTTTAATTGGGTTAGGACGTCAACATATCACTAAAATTTCCGGCTTTGATCCAAACATTATTGTGGTCCCTTTGTCAAAAAATGAAGTTAAAAATGCCTTTTCTACATCCTTCTGCTGGCAGACTAATCTGGCTGACTTCATTGGCACTATTGATTATCATTTGCCTAAGTCAAAATTCTTTCAATTTCTATGAAATACTTCCTGGAGTCTACCAAAACTTACTCGTTCATCACCACTAGAGGCAGCTGTTACCATTTTTACTGATGGATCCAGTAATGGAAAGGCAGGGTATGTAGGGCCAAAAGATAAAGTCATTCCTACTCCATACACTTCTGCTCAAAAAGCCGAGTTGTTTGCTGTTATCTCTGCATTACAAGATTTTGATCAGCCTCTTAATATTGTCTCTGACTCAGCTTATGTAGTCCATGCCACCAAGGCAATAGAAACAGCTACCATCAAAAATATTGCTGACACTAATCTGTTTTCCGTGTTCTCTTTGTTTCAAAAAACTGTCAGAAACCAAAAGCACCCTTTTTTCATCACTCACATTCGATCTCATACTAATTTGCCTGAACCTTTATCCAGTGGTAATCATAAAGTTGATACTCTAGTTTCTCTAGCCATGACAGATGCAGAACAATTTCATCAACTCACTCATACTAATGCCTCAGGTCTTAAACACAAATATTCTCTCAGTTGGAAACAAGCTAAACAAATTGTACAACACTGTTCTCAATGTCAGCTTCTTGTCTTACCCACACAATCTCCCGGAGTTAATCCCCGAGGCCTTTCTCCTAATGCTATCTGGCAAATGGATGTTACTCATGTTCCTTCTTTTGGAAAATTAGCTTATGTGCATGTCACAGTTGAAACCTTTTCCAATTTCATCTGGGCTACCTGTCAAAACGGAGAAGCCACTTCTCACGTTAAAAAAAATACGTTTTCATGTTTTGTGGTTATGGGATTCCTAGTGAGCTCAAAACAGACAACGGTCCAGCCAATTGCAGTAAAGCTTTTAAAAATTTTCTTGATCAGTGGCATATTAAACATATTACTGGTACTCCTTATAACCCACGAGGCCATGCTATTGTAGAAAGAAGTAACAGAACTCTAAAATTACAATTACTTAAACAAAAAGAGGGGGATAAGGAGAGGTCTACCCCTCACATACAACTAAACTTGGAATTGTTCACGTTAAATTTTCTTAATATTCCTAAATCTAGTTCTGTTACTGCTGCTGAAAAACATTTCTCTGGTAACTGTCCCATGGTAAACCAAGAAGGGAAGTGTGGTGGAAAGATGTTCAATCCAATATATGGTCAAAAGGTTCTATTTTAACGTGGGGAAGAGGCTACGCTTGTGTTTCCCCAGGTGAACATCAATCTCCTGTTTGGATTCCTGCTAGACACCTGAAATTGTGTCCTGAAGATGCGTGCAACAATGAGACGGAGAAATTTGCTGAAAAGTCGCCAAGCAAAAAACAACTAACACATCCAACCATCAAAAAAAAAGAAAGAAAATAATCATGCTAACTCCTTTAAAACAGACAATCCAGTCAGCCATCCTGAACAACTTGTCTCCAGCGATCCAGGAATGGCTCAACCTCTGCCTCCTCCTGATGACACTGATCCTTCTACCCTCTGTCACTCCACAGACTGTTAAAAACTATACATATTGGGCCTATATTCCTTTTCCTCCTCTTATTCGAGCCATGACATGGATGGATGCTCCTATTAAGGTCTATGTTAATGATAGTATTTGGATGCCTGGTTCTGTAGATGATCGTTGTCCTGCCCAACCTTCAGAAGGAATCCCTTTCAATATCACTTTAGGTTTTAGGTATCCACCTTTGTGCCTGGGACCCACTAATGGATGTCTCTCATTAGATATTCAAACTTGGGCAGTCACACTACCATCTGGTCACTCTGTCCCTCCTTTAGGACACTTGGTATCAGGGCTCTCATTAAAACCTCTAAGGCAGATAAAATAGGAATTGCTGATTATATTCACACTTCCCAATATAAGCCTTTAGGACCTGCGTGTCCTCTCAACTTGTGTTAAAATGCTGACAAATTAATGTGGAAGGATTGTGTTAGTCCAGAAGGAACTGTGTTATTTAATTCTTCTCACTACACCATTGTTGACTGGGCTCCTAAAGGTCATATTACTAATGATTGCTCTCAAGGTCACAGAGATTATCAACATTTTCTCTATGATATTACTTATCAAAAAAGTAGTGACAGCCCTCCCCTATTATATCGTAGATTTAACTCCTTTTTTCCTTTTAAGTGGAAAGGGGCAGGGGTTGCCCCTCCAAAGCCAAGGCTCGTTGTTCCCCACTTAGGACCTGAACATTCAGAATTATGGAGATTAACCATAGCTATGACTGGTTTGAGAGTTTGGGCTGGAGAAAGTGTTATAAGTAAATCCACCTTGTCACCTCAAAAACTAAGACAACAGATTAATTTACACTACTATTTCCACACAGCCAAAAATATCACTATGGCAATCATCAAAATGTCAATTCAAAGATGGGACAGTAAAGACTATGAGGACTTGTACCCCCCCATTACTAATGACCCCCACCACCTCTCATACAACCTATTCCCCCCACCCCACATTTCACAAAAACGAATACCATCCCAAAATATATACACTATCTATACGGAGTCCAATAAAACTATACCACTTAAAAGTTGTGTTAAACCACCATATATGTTATTAGTAGGAAAGATGCATATTAGTTCAAAAATCAACATAATTACATGTGTTGTTACTTGTATACTTGCATTGACTCATCTTTTAATCAATATCATGGTATTTTAATAGAGCCAGGGAAGTTATTTGGCACCTCGTAGCCTTACATAGGCCTTGGGAATCTTGACCTTCTATCCTTGTTATTAATAATATTCTACAGAAAAATCTTAAAAGGAGTAAATGATTTATTTTTACATTAATTGCAGTAATAATGGGCTTGATTGCTGTTACTGTGACTGCTGCTACTGCTGGAGTTGCATGACATCAATCTATTCAATCTGCTCATTTTGTGGATAAATGGCAAAAAAAATTCTACTCAGATGTGGAATTCCCAGTCAGGTATTGATCAAAAATTTGCCAATCAAATTAATGATCTAAGACAAACTGTTATATGGATGGCAGATAGAATTATAAGTTTAGAACATCGATTACAAATGCAATGTGATTGGAATACTTCTGATTTTTGTATAACTCCATTCTAATATAATGAGTCTGTTCACAATTGGGAATCAGTAAAACGCCATTTACAAGGAAGTGAAGATAAATTAAGTTTAGATATAAGCAAGCTAAAAGAACAGACATTTGAGGCCTCTCAAGCACACTTAACTGCTTTACCTAGTGCTGAAGTTTTAGATGGTATCTCTGAGGGGTTATCTAATCTCAACCCCATTCAATGGGTAAAATCTTTGGGAGGATCCACTATCATTAATTTTGTTCTGTGTATAATTTGTGTTATTGATTTATTGTTCATGTGTAAAATTGGAAAAAATACTCTTCAATCCAATCGTGATCAGTGCCAACCTATGATTGCTATGGTTCATTTAAATCAGAGAAAAGGGGGAGATGTAGGGAGACCTCCTGAAACTATTGCTACGGAATAAAAGATGAAATGCTCCTGATTATTGTAAATACAAAATTGCAGGCAGGATTGTGTAAAGACAATGCCAGGTTGGACTGCCAGAATGAGCCAACAGCACATGATGTCCTTCCCCCTGCAGAGAGCCTATGAACGGACATGCAGTCAGGGAGGCTTCACATCACCAAGATTCCTATCCCAGAAAAGCAGATGTTCATAGCTCTGGGAATGGAATGTGACCCTTGTGGAGAGACTATAAACGGATGCATGAGGGGTGCCTGTTCATATGGATAAGATAGGGCTATAAACGCCCTCATCTTGCCACAGCTCTTCTAGGCCTCTTTAGGGTTAAGGCATGCTACCTTCTGAGAATTTCTGGTCTAACCGGTTGTCTAGCTTCATGTCCTGTTTCTATGGATTGTGTGTAACCAGCTTTTACTGCAACTGTTACTGCTGATTAATATCTTGCTAATCATAGGTTATGGAAAGACTGTGTTTCTGTTTTAAGGTTCTGTTAGAAATTACTGATGCACACACTATGTTGTAAATTCTTATCTCTGTATACTGTACTTCTGCATAGAGATGTTATGTTAAAGAACTACTTCATCTCCATGTGACCATCTCACCTCATAATCAAACAACTCTAAATCCCTCACTAACCTACCCCCGCCCTCACTAAACTTAATAATAAATGCTGGTATATCCAGTGCATTGACGGCATCGCGGGACCAGAAGGCGGTGACCCCCTGGACCCAGCTTTCACTATCTTGTGTGTGTCTATTATTTCTCAACCTGCCGATCCACCTGGGAACAAAGAGAGAGCCCCACTGCATCGCGGGCTGCTGGCCAGATCCCGCAATATCCATGGTGGTGCACGCCTATAGTCTCAGCTACTCAGGAGGCTGAGGCAGGAGAAATGCTTAAACCTGGGCGTGGAGGCTGCAGTGAGCTGAGATGACGCCACTGCACTCTAGCCTGGGTGACAGAGTGAGACTCCATCTCAAAAAAAAAAAAAAAAAAAGCTGTTTCATAAAAAGCTGTTTTATCACATGGCACAAATTAAATAAACAGACGTTAATTAAAACTATTAAGGAGTTCCGTGAATTTCAATATTTAATGCCAGCTGTTATTCACATTAATATTTTAACATTTTACCATTAAGATATTTACTACAAAGGATTGATATGTATTTAACTGTTTAAGGCTGCGCGTACAGGCTTACGTCTGTAATCCCGGCACTTTTGGAGGCCAAGGCAGGCGGATCACCTGAGGGAGAACAGCCTGGCCAATATGGTGAAACCCATCTCTACTAAAAATACAAAAATTAGCTGGGTGTGGTGGTGCACATCTGTAATCCCAGCTACTTGGGAGGCTGAGTCAGGAGAATTGCTTGAACCTGGAAAGTGGAGGTTGCAGTGAGCTGAGATGGTACCCCTGCACTCCAGCCTGGGTGACAAAGCAAGACTGTCTCAAAAAAACAAAAACAAAAACATACGTCATGGTTTAGAGCGCTAGTTAAACCTGCTCAAATCGTTCCTGGACCAAACTGAGGGTCAGGCTGCTATTTCTTGTGGCCCAATAATGAGATGCAGATGAACTGGGTAGGAAGACAGTTTTTATTTCTGCAACCAGTTACAGGGTGAAGGCCTGGAAATTATCACCAGACCAACTCAAAATTACAAAGTTTTCTAGAGCTTATATACCTTGTAAGCTATAAGTCTACATGTAAGTGTGCATTCATCTAATGACATAAGTGATTAACTTCTTTTAATCTATAACTAAGGTCTGAGTCCTGAAAACCTTCCTCTGGAGCCTGAGTAAATTTACTTAATCTAAATCCGTCCAGGTGCTGGGGTGATTACCCTTATTTTGCCTCCTGCTAAATCATGGAGGTTTGGGGAGTTCCTTCAGACCCCCAATAAACTTGTTTGTGGAGGACTGGGGGAGTTTCTTCAGACCCCCCCCCCCAAAAATTCATTTAATCCTAAATGGGTCCTGTTAAGAATTCCTTCATTATTTTGTCATGCTTTAAAACCCAGGACAGGCCTAGGCAAAACTCTTGGTGGGCTTCTGTTACATTCCAGCCTTTGTACAAGGACACTGGCTTTTTTAGCTTTTAATATTTAACTTAGGTCCAGCGCAGTGGCTCATACCTGTAATCCCAGCACTTTGAGAGGCCACAGTGGGTGGATCACGAGGTCAAGAGATTGAGACCATCCTGGCCAACATGGTGAAACCCGGTCTCTACTAAAAATACAAAAATTAGCTGGGTGTGGTGGTGCGTGCCTGTAGTCTCAGCTACTCAGGATGCTGAGGCAGGAGAATTGCTTGAACCCCGGAGGCGGAGGTTGCTGTGAGCAGAGATCGTGCCACTGCACTCCAGCTTGGTGACAGAGCAAGACTCCGTCTCAAAAAAAAAAAAAAAAATTTTAACTGACCACTCAGTACTGAAACAGTTGTTTTGGAGGCCTGCATTAGCGAGACCTGGCCTGCCACAAAATGACTAAGAGGAAATGGAAAATAACATTCCCTGAATGCCTACTATGTGTACAACTCTACTTATGTATCTTGCTTAATTTTTATGATGATTCCATGAGGGAGTTTTTTTTTGTTCATTTTTTTCAGTGATTGTCCAATCCTGCAGACCATGAAGTAGATTTTAATTCTCATTTTAGAAATCAGGAAAGTAAGGCTCAGAGAGCTTATTCAAATTTCCTGAAGATACATAGCTAATAAATTGTAGAATTAGAATCTGAACCTAGGTCTACCTGACTGCAAAGCCCATGTTTTGTGGAAAACTCTCCTCTTTATTCTTTTTATTAATTTCATAAAATTAATCTCAACTGACATTTGAATCAGCATCTCTGTGGGTTATTGAAGAGAAGTTATAAGTTGTCAAGCCTCTGCTTTGCAGTGAGAAAATATGGGTAGGATTTGAATGAGATAAGAATGGGATGCTTGGCCGGCACGGTGGCTCACGCCTGTAATCCCAGCACTTTGAGAGGCCGAGGCGGGTGGATCACGAAGTCAGGAGATCGAGACCATCCTGGCCAACATGGTGAAACCCCATCTCTACTAAAAAAATACAAAAAATTAGCCGGGCATGGTGGCGGGCGCCTGTAGTCCCAGCTACTCGGGAGGCTGAGGCAGAATGGTGTGAACCCGGGAGGTGGAGATTGCAGTGGGCCAAGATTGGCCACTGCACTCCAGCCTGGGCGACAGAGCAAGACTCTGTCTCAAAAAAAAAAAAAAAAAGAATGGGATGCTTGCACAGTATTTTGTGGTTTTTAAATTTTTTTATTTTTTGTAGAGATGGGGGTCTTACTATGTTGCCCAGGCTGATAGTATCTTATTTATGCTGCTAAGGGAATATTTTTGTCTCCCTTTTTAACAGCAGGGTATCCTAGGAGAATCTTTTGAAATTGAGCTCAGTCCTGAGGTCTGAACTTTTCCTATTGTTAGTCACCTTCAAACCAAGTGATTTGTTACCAGCTAAAGGTTATGTTATTTAGAAGGCTTTACTCGATTTTTATTTTTTTATTTTATTTTTGAGATAGAGTCTTGCTCTGTCACCCAGGCTGGCATGCAGTGGTACGATCTTGACTCACTGCAACCTCTGCCTCCCAGGTTCAAGCGATTCTCCTCCCTCAGCCTCCCGAGTAGCTGGGATTACAGGAATGTGCCACCACACCCGGCTAATTTTTGTATTTTTAGTAGAGATGGGGTTTTGCCACGTTGGCCAGGCTGGTATTTATTTATTTGAGTTGGAGTTTCGCTCTTGTTGCCCAGGCTGGAGTGCAATGGCACCATCTTGGCTCATTGTAACCTCCACCTCCTGGGTTCAAGTGATCCTCCTGCCTCAGCCTCCCGAGTAGCTGAAATTACAGGTGCCTGCCATGCTCAGCTAATTTTTTGTATTCTTTAGTAGAGCTCGGGTTTCACCATGTTGACCAGGCTGGTCTCAAACTCCTGACCTCAGGTGACCCACCCGCCTCGGCCTCCCGAAGTGCTGGGATTACAGGCGTGAGCCACCACTCCCGGTCTGGATCTTTAGAAAAGGACGTGATGGGGAGGGTTAGTGAAGAAGTGGGGCAACGAGAATGTAGACTGCAGTGTGGAAAGGCAGGACCAGTAGATGCTTGGAGAGCAGTTGGGGGGAAAAAAAGAATGATCATTACAATTAATAGCAGTAGCTTTGCTTCAGTTATAACTTAAGGAAAAAGGCTAAGGGGCCTATATTTTTTGCTCCAGATCCAGTGATTTAATTTTGAGAAGCAAGATCCAGTGATTGAACTCATGCAAGGGGATGACCTGGGGCCTGTGAAAAGTCAGGTTGCAGTTTCCATTGTATTCAGGAAAACCAGAAAAATAAATACAACTTTTGGAAGAAACTTTAAGTTTTCTCCCATTCACATTTAACCCTAGGGGTCTCACACTTCTGGAATTGCTTAGTGTCACGTGTGTCCATATAAACCACCTAAACAGGCTTTGTGTGAGCAACAAGGCTGTTTATTCACTTGGGTGCAAGTGGGATGAGTCCAAAAAGAGAGTCAGCGAAGGGAGATAGGAAAGGGCAGCTTTATAGGGCTTGGGTAGGCAGTGGAAAGTTACAGTTAAAGGTGGTTATCTATCGTCAGCAGAGGAGGGGGTCACAAGGTGCATGGTGGGGAGATCATAAAACTCATTGTCCAGAAGAAGAATGTCACGAGGTCAATTGATTAGTTGGGGCAGGGCAGGAGCAAGTCATAATGGTAGAATGCCATAAGGTGGATTAATTAGTTAAGGCAGGAACTGGCTGTTTCACTTCTTTTGTGGTTTTTTGGCTGCTCCAGACTTCTTGGCTCCTGCAGGCCATCTGGACGTGCAGGTCACAGGGGTTACAACGGATGAGCTTTGGCTCAGAGGCCTGACATTCCTGTCTTTTTACTTATAAAATATAAAGTTATAAGAAAAGATAAAGAAAACATAAGTTTTTACTGGGGATTATTGGGGTAGGGGTTATGTTAATCAGGGCTGCTTCTGGCATGACTTAGGGGCGACGTGGACACCTAAAGAAAGTTTAATTTTATAGTGAGTTGGTCTAGAAAGTTTTTAGGTACAATTCTGTGTGGCTAACAAGGCACCAGTTAGCATATTTTGAGCTTGAAATTGTCCTAATAAATTCTCTAAAAACAGCAAATAAGCATAATAGCGTTAAGGTAGGTGTCAGTGAGTTTCTATGCCAAGGTAGGAATAATGTTTTAGGTACCAAAGCCTTTTGTCCCCATTTTCCATCATATGAACAGGATTCCCTGTTATTTAGGCAATGATCTATTATATTACCCTTTTCCTATAGGTGTGAGTGGTGGTCCAGATGGAGAAGTTCAATAGTTCTGATTGCAGATCCTATGCAGGAGAGATAATAATCTTTGTCTCCTGGGTTAAGCTAAGGCTGGCAAAGAGACAAATGTCCCAAGCCTTCTAACAACCAGTGGCATAGTTTATGTTGTCCTGGATGCTGGTCTGGTTGCCAAATATGGGGAAGGAAATGAGGGGCTATATAGGAGGCAAGCCAGAGGCTTATATCCTACGTGGTAATGGTCATGAAGGGAAAAGAAAAAAGAAGCAAAAAGCAGCCCAAGAAATCACTTATTTTCTAACAAAGAGCAGCCTGAAAGATCGAGCTGCAGACATAAATAAGGAAGCTGGAAGCTTGCACAGGGTGATGCCAGCAGCCACACAGACACAGCAACCTGGGGCCATGCGTGTCCACCATGGGGGCTCCACCTTCCCTTTTTTGTTAGCATGTACACAGTAGGAAAGAGATCAGTCACAAGAATAGCTACCTGCCTGCATAATAAAAGACTGGGGTGGGGGCTGCCAGAGATTCACACTCTATGCAGATGGCACACCTAGTCCTAACCGGTTTTCTTTTTGAGACAGAGTCTCTATCACCCAGGCTGGAGTGCAGCAGCACGATCTCGGCTCACTGCAACCTCTGCCTCCAGGGTTTAAATGATTCTCCTGTCTCAGCCTCCCAATTACCTGTGATTACAGGTGCCCACCACCACGCCTGGCTAATTTTTTTGTATTTTTAGTACAGACGGGTTTTCTCCATGTTGGTTAGGCTGGTCTTGAACTCCCGACCTCGATGATCCACCCGCCTCGGCTTCCCATGTTTTTTATTTTTTTTTTAAGATAAAATAAAATGTTCAAATATTTTTGAAACATCTTGGAAAAAACCCACACAGCATTAGTATTACTACATTAATAACTGGCAATTGGTATAATTACTACTATTAAATAGTATTAGAACTGCAGGAAAATTACAATAACAAATAGACCCATAGACCACCCAATGTAAAATGGCTTGCACAAAATACAGTTTATTATAATAACAAAAATTTTTTTTTGAGACAGTCTCACTCTGTCGCCCAGGCTGGAGTGCAGTGGTGAGATCTCGGCTCACTGCAACCTCCACCTCCCAGGTTCAAGCCATTCTTCTGCCTCATCCTCCCAAGTAGCTGGGATTACAGGCATGAGCCGCCATGCTCGGCCAATTTTTATATTTTTAGTAGATTCGGGGTTTCACCACGGCCAGGCTGGTCTCAAACTCCTGGCCTCAAGTGATCCACCTGCCTCGGTCTCCTAAAGTGCTGGGATTACAGGCATAAGCCACCTTGCCCAGGCCCTATAATAAAAAATTTATGAGAGTACTTTTGAGCTAATTTGAATCAGTTCCCCAAGTTACCACATTATATCTGCTGCTGTTAGGAACGTTAATTGGCAGGATCTTTCTGAAGTGCAATTTAGCAGTAAATTGAAGAAGCCTTTAAAATTCAGTAGATATCACACCTGTTGACCCAGCAATTTCTCTTCCTTAAATTTTTCATAAGAATTGAGGTAGCAAACCAAATATTACACTTCTAAGTGGGAGCTAAGTTATGAGGATGCAAAGACATAAGAATGATATAATGGACTTTGAGGACTCTGGGGTGGGAGGGGGTATACGTGGGACAGGGCTGAGGGATAAAAGACTATATTTTGGGTACTGTCACGCGCGTCCGTGTGGAGACCACCAAACAGGCTCTGTGTGAGCAATAAAGCTTTTTAATCACCTGGGTGCAGGCGGGCTGAGTCTGAAAAGAGTCAGGGAAGTGAGAGAGGGGTGGGGCCATCTTATAGGATTTGGGTGGGTAGTGGAAAATTACAGTCAAAGGGGGTTGTTCTCTGGCAGGCCGGGGCGGGGGTCATAAGGTGCTCAGCGGGGGAGCTTCTGAGCCAGGAGAAGGGATTTCACAAGGTAATGTCATCAGTTAAGGCAGGAACCAGCCATTTGCACTTCTTTTGTGATTCTTCAGTTACTTCAGGCCATGTGGATGTATATGTGCAGGCTTGGGCTCAGAGGCCTGACAGGTACAGCGTACACTGCTCTGGTGACGGGTGCACCAAAGTCTCAGAAATCACCACTAAAAACTTATCCATGTAACCAAAAACCACCTGTACCCCCAAAACTACTGAAATACAAGTTTTAAAAAGATGAAAAAAATTTTTTTTACATAAAATATCTTTCTCCCCAAAAACACATAAAATAAAATAAAAATATGTTTTAAAAAAGAATTGAGGTGGCTCTTAACTAGATAATTAGAATCGCTGGTGGTAATCACTGGCGAAATACGCGTACGTTTCTGTAGGTTTAGGGACCGGGCAAGTCTGGGAAATGCCACCTGGTGGTTCTCAGCCCAGACTACACCTCAGACTCACCTGAAGAGGTGGGGTTTATTAATATCTCAATCAGCATCTCTGGGGGTGGAACTAGGTATTTGTAACGTCTCCCCGTGGGTTTCTAATGCACAGCTAAGTGCCCAGGATAAGTGCCCTAGGGCAATCTAAGTAAAACGTGGCACAGCAAACAATTTTGTAAATGAATATTAACTGGAGACATGTTCTCGAAATCATGTTAAGAGAAAAAACCATGTACAAAAAAGCTCATAGTGCAGTATGATTCCATTTCTGCAATGAGTGTAAGACTAGAAATTAACCGTGGTTATGTGAAATGTGTGGTATATTTGCATTTACTAAATTAAAAAAAATGTTTCTGAGACAGAGCGCCCGGGCTGCAATGCAGTGGTGATCACAGCTCACTGCAGCCTGGGACTCCCGGGCTCAAGCGACCCTCCCGCCTAGGACTCTCAAAGTGCTGGGATTACAGGCACGCGCCACCACGCCCGGCCTGCATTTACAATACTTTTTACGACGAATACTTACGGATGTTATATTAAGAAAATAGTTAACATCTGAGGTGCATTCTTCCAAATAATAACGTAGACAGCACTTACTGGGACCGTCTGGCACCAGGAACCGTCCTGGGGACCGCCAAAGGGCGGCTTAACCTCGCAGCTGCGCAGACGCATGCAGTCCCCGGGCTCTCCTGCCGCGGGACCTCGGCAGACCTAACCCTGAACGCCACCAGCCCGACCTCGCCCCGCCCCTCCCCTCCCTTCCCGGGCCCCGCCCCCGCTTCCTGCCAATTCGCCCCGCCTACCCCGCGTCTCCGCATCCTCTTCCTGGCTTCGCTCCATCAGCCTCGCTTTCGCTGGGCGCTGTCCCTCTCCGCGGCGGTCTGGTTTCCCCGACGTGTTTTGTTTGCGACGCTGTCGTGTAACAGCGCGCTTTACGGCCGCGGGGACGGAGCGAGCCGGCGCCAGGGCCCCTCGGGCCGGGAAGAGGGGAAGGGGAGCGAGGTTGATGCCCGGCGGAGGGGCGAGCGCGGCGTCTGGCCGGCTTCTCACCGCCGCGGAGCAAAGAGGGTCCCGGGAAGCGGCAGGGTCGGCGTCCAGGAGCGGCTTCGGGGGCTCCGGCGGCGGCAGAGGCGGAGCAAGCGGCCCCGGGTCCGGGAGCGGAGGCCCGGGGGGCCCCGCGGGCAGGATGAGCTTGACCCCGAAGGAGCTCTCGAGCCTGCTGAGCATCATATCGGAGGAGGCGGGCGGCGGCAGCACCTTCGAGGGCCTGTCCACCGCCTTCCACCACTACTTCAGCAAGGCCGACCACTTCCGCCTGGGCTCGGTGCTCGTCATGCTGCTCCAGCAGCCCGACCTGCTGCCTAGCGCGGCGCAGCGCCTCACGGCGCTCTACCTGCTCTGGGAGATGTACCGCACCGAGCCGCTGGCCGCCAACCCCTTCGCCGCCAGCTTCGCGCACCTGCTCAACCCCGCGCCGCCCGCCCGCGGCGGCCAGGAACCCGACCGCCCTCCGCTCTCAGGTACCTCCTGAAGCCAGCTGTGCCGTGTGGATAGCGTTAGATTCCGCAGCTTTCCACCTGCGCTGCTGGGAACTCACCTGAAAGGGAAATTAACTATCCCTGTGAAATGATCATCCTCTTTTTCCGCCTCTCTCTGCGTTCCCACGCCCCTCACTCCTCCCCGCCTTAACTCTAAAGAATGGAGAGGTGGTAGCTTAATTGCAAGTTCGTGACACCGAAAATGATTTCTCTATACACCCCATCACATCATACAGCTCAGTGTAGGTCTTGACATGTTTAGTGTCTCAAATACGGTTCGTTCTTCGAAAACCCGTCTGTGGTGTGTGAAGTTAAAACCAATGATAAGACTGGATCTGTCCCCGGTTTTTAGTCTCAAAGGAGTACGTGGAAGTCAGTATTAAGAAGCTGAAGAAGTTGGTGGGCGGAAATACACATGAAACACCTTAAAGACTTTGCAGCCGCCTTTCTTAGCCTGTTAGGGATGGGGGCAGAGGATAGAAAGTCTCAAATTGATGATCTCGCGTTTGGAAACACATGACTTACTGGACATTATGTAAAGTGCATACGTGGTATACATTATGTAAAATGTATTTACTATTGTGTGGCATTGGTGAGATCAAACTAGTAGGTTAGATGCGAGGCTGCATTTTTTTTTGTTTTTAAGCTCAAGCAGGTGATGCTTTATGTGGATTTGCTTTGCGAGAAGACTTGCAGTCAGAAAACAAGAAAAATGGCATGTTGACAACGGGACCTGAAGGATTTAGGAACCAGTGTAGTGGAGGAAGCACACAGAGATAGGAAACAGCTTGATCTTACATTCCTTAACCAGTATAGGTAGGGCCTGCTATACAGTGAGTCAAGGCTAGGCAGTAGATTTTGAAGTAACACCAGGAGTTTGTTTTTATGGTACAGGAGGGCCGCGTTTCTAGTTAGTGTTCCTGCCGGGCATCCCATCAGGATCTTCTGATAGGTGTCCTGTAGTGCCCTTATCTAAGAAGGGCAACCCTTTGTATTGGCCTGAGATGCCTTTAGGGTACAGGTACTTAACCTGCTTCTAAGAAGCTTGTGACTGCCCAGAAAGTGAATGTAACACAGGTTTGTGGTCAAAACTCACCACCTAGGCCTGGCTAGGTGGCTCACGCCTATAATCCCAGCACTTTTGGAGGCCGAAGTGGTGGAGGTTGGGGGGTGGGAATTGCTTGAGGCCAGGAGTTTGAAACCATCCTGGGCAACATAGTAAGATCCTGTCTTTACAAAGCAATAAAAAATTTGCTGGGCATGGGGTGGCTAACACCTGTAGCCCCAGCTGCTCAGGAGTTTGAGGCAGGAGGATCACTTGAGCCTAGGAGTTTGAGGCTGCAGTGAGTTAGGGTGACAGCTTCTAAACACACACACACACACAGACAACCACCACCCTAGGGTGCTTGTATTAGAGGATTGGGACACTGGGATTTAGATCAGAGGGCCCTTTGAATTCTGAAGAACAAGTGAGGCAAAGAAACCGTGACTTATATAATGTCATTCTCATGTACAGTGAATCTAAACCCACACCTAGTCCGTAGACCGCATTATACACACAGATTTGCCATAGGTGGGATGGCAGTCACCAGAGAAGGAATCCATGGATGGATTATATTTAACCATTTTGTGCCTCAGATTCCTCATCTGTAAAATGCAAATAGTAACAATTCCCAGCTGGTAGAGTTGTTACAAAGAATAAAAGTACCTGTGAGTGGGCTGGGCGCGGTGGCTCACGCCTGTAATCCCAGCACTTTGGGAGGCCGAGGCGGGCGGATCACAAGGTCAGGAGATCGAGACCATCTTGGCTAACACGGTGAAACCCCGTCTCTACTAAAAATACAAAAAATTAGCCGGGCGCGGTGGCGGGCGCCTGTAGTCCCAGCTACTTGGGAGGCTGAGGCAGGAGAATGGCGTGAACCTGGGAGGCGGAGCTTGCAGTGAGCCAAGATTGTGCCACTGCAATCCGGCCTGGGCTAAAGAGCGGGACTCCGTCTCAAAAAAAAAAAAAGTACCTGTGAGTGTTACCCACTATTATACCATTATTAAAGTAGGTAGGGATGGTGTGTAGATAACATAGAAGAGAAAATATCAGTGCCTACACTCCACTCCCAGAGCTGCTGATATTGTATGTTTAGGGTAAGACATTTAGTGGGTATGTCTTCAGAATGCTTTTCAGATGACTCTGAACAGAGGCAGGGCTGCGATTGTGTAATGCTGGGTAGTTAAGAGGAAGGAACGACCACCTGTGGAGCTGGAGAAATTCTCAGGAGTGATATTTTTTGCTGGATATTGATTAGGGATGCAGGAGGGAGGGCAGGAGTAGCTCTGCCAGGTATTATTAAAAAACTGGGTGTAAGGCCGGGTGTGGTAGCTCATGCCTGCAATCCCAGCACTTTGGGAGGCCAAGGCAGGCAGATCACTTGAGGCCAGGAGTTGGAAGCCAGCCTGGCCAACATGACGAAACCCCATCTCTACCAAAAAATACAAAAATTAGCCCGGCATGATGGTGCACTCCTGTAATCCCAGCTACTCAGGAGTCTGAGGCAGGAGAATTGCTTGAACCTGGGAGGCGGAGGCTGTAGTGAGCTGAGATCGCGCCACTGCACTCCAGCCTGAGCAACAGAGTGAGACTGCCTCAAAAAAAAAAAAAATAGTGTAGAAGTTGAGGGATTTTGTGCAACCGGGGTGTAGGGTACATGGATGGGAGAGAAGGTCAAGAAGTGAGATTAGGAAGGTGTGGTGGGACCAGATTTTGAAGGGTCTTGTAATGGTGTAGAAATCTGGGTTTAATTCTGTGTACACAGGTTAAGTAATGTGATCAGATTTGTACTCTAGAGATATAACTAAATGGTAAGAGGAAGTATGGACTATGGGTGGTGGGTGAGCAGGGGTCAAAACTGGGAGCTGGGGAAGTCAGTAGAGGGGGCAGGAGTAGTCCCAGCAAGAGAGGCGTGGGGACTACATCTGAGGGAATGCAGCCTGGTGACATTTCTGCAGTGGGAGAGATGAGGCTTCATGAGCAATTAAACATGGGACAAAAGGGAAGGAACATTCAGCCTTGTGGGAATTTGTAGCTGCATTGTGTGTTGAATCAGGTAGTGTATTTGGATAGCTGCTGGTTGCTCTTCTATTTATTCAACTTCTACACAGTGGAAACAGAGAAGAAAGAAAAGCATTTCCGAGCACTATAGTGTTGTCTGTTTTTGTTTGCATATATAAGCTTTAGCCTTTGCAGGAATTGAGGCACTTTAGAAAATGCAGTTATTGGGCCAGGCGTGGTGGCTCACGCCTGTAATCCCAGCACTTTGGGAGGCCGAGGTGGGTGGATCTCGAGGTCAGGAGATCAAGACCATCCTGGCTAACACGGTGAAACCCTGTCTTTACTAAAAAGTACAAAAAATTACCTGGGCGTGGTGGCGGGCGCCTGTAGTCCCAGCTACTCGGGAGCCAGAGGCAGGAGAATGGCGTGAACCCAGGAGGCAGAGCTTGCAGTGAGCCGAGATTGCACCACTGCACTCCAGCCTGGGCGACAGAGCGAGATTCCATCTCAAAAAAAAAAAGAAAAGAAAATGAAGTTACTAATGTGAGAGTTAAAGAGGAAAGAAACACCAGGCGGGGCACGGTGACTCATGCCTGTAATCCCAGCACTTTGGGAGGCTGAGGCGAGTGGATCACCTGAGGTCAGGAGTTCAAGACCAGCCTGGCCAACATGGTGAAACCCCGACTCGACTAAAAATACAAACATTAGCTGGGCATGGTGGCAGGTGCCTGTAATCCCAGCTACTTGGGAGGCTGAGGCAGGAGAATCTCTTGAACCCGGGAGGTGGAGGTTGCAGTGAGCCAAGATCATGCCATCACACTGCAGCCTGGGAGACAAGAGTGAGACTTCATCTCAAAAAAAAAAAAAAAGCCACAAAACGCAGCTTGGCAGTCAAAGACAGATTTTCTTTAGTTAGAACCTGAGAAGCACTCCTGGCCGATGTTTTAACTAAAGAAAACCTGTCTTTGACTGCCAGGCTGCGTTTTGTGTTTCTTTCCTCTTTCTTTAACTCTTACAGTTAACAAGTACAAAAACCTTAAGTTTCATTTGTAGGGCCACAGATCATAGAATTTCAAATGACATATTACATAGTTTGTAAATGTATATATTTGGTTGACTGAAACTTAATCATAATTTAGTTCTTAAAACTATGTGGCTTGAAGTGGCAAGTAGCAAGTACTGATTTTACCAGATTCAAGTTGATTTTTAAAAGTAACCATTGGAGAAATCGTTATACATTTTTGTTTGCAGGATTTTTACCTCCTATAACTCCACCAGAAAAGTTTTTTCTTTCCCAGCTGATGCTGGCACCCCCACGGGAACTCTTCAAAAAGACGCCTCGCCAGATTGCACTGATGGACGTTGGAAACATGGGCCAGTCTGTGGACATTAGTGGGCTTCAGTTAGCCTTGGCCGGTAAGGAGGAATCAGTGTTTTGGGCATTTCTGTGTGGTAATATTAGGCCTCTCTTGTTGAGGACTCTACTAAAATGATGTTTTTTGTAACTGCTAAAAGGTTAGTATCATCCATTTTAAAAAGTAGTTTTAGTACTGGATCTTAAATGGAAGTCTTGGCTGGGCACGGTGGCTCACACCTGTAATCCCAGCACTTTGGGAGGCTGAGGTGGGCAGATCATTTGAGGTCAGGAGTTTGAGACTAGCCTGGCCAGCATGGTGAAACCCTGTCTCTACTAAATATACAAAAAATTAGCCAGACATGGTGGTGCAGCACGCCTGTAATCCCAGCTACTCAGGAGGCTGAGACAGGAGAATAGCTTGAACCCGGGAGGTGGAGGTTGCAGTGAGCTGAGAACAAACCACTGCACTCCAGCCTGGGCTACAGTGAGACTCCATCTCAATAAATAAATAAATAAATAAATAAATAAATAAATAAATAAATGGAACTCTTTAAATTTTTGGATGCTAATAGCATGTAAATTCATTTGGAGTTTTCACTTGAATTGATTGCTTTTTCTGTTTTAGAAGAAAGCTGGATAAAATTTAGTGGGTTTTTTTTTAAGTTTTGATTGGAAGACTTACTATTTGTTAAAATGTCAATACTACCCAAAACAATCAACAGATTTGGTGCAATTCCTGTCAAAATTCCAACAGTGTTTTTTGCAGAAATAGAAAAATCCGGCCAGTCACAGTGGCTCACACCTGTAATTGGGAGGCTGAGGCACAAGAATCACTTGAACCTGGGAGCTGGAGGTTGCAGTGAGCTGAGATTGTGCAACTGCACTTCAGCCTGGGTGACAGGGCGAGAGTCTGTCTCAAAAAAAAAAAAAAAAAGAAAAATCCATCTTTAAACCAAAGAAAGGCTGGCATAGTAGCTCATGCCTGTAATCTTTGGGAGAGGCCAAAGTGGGAGGATCGTTTGAGGGCAGGAGTTCAAGACTAGCCTGGGCAACATAAGGAAACTTTGTCTCTGCAAATAATTAAAAACTTAGCCGGGCGTGGTGGTGCATGCCTGTGGTCTCAATTACTTGGGAGGCTTAAGTGGGAGAATCACTTGAGCCTGGGAGATCGAGGCTGCAGTGAGCTGTGATTGCGCCACTGCACTCCAGCCTGCACAATATCGTGAGACCTGTCTCGGGATGCTGAATAGCCAAAACCCAACGTTCTCTTGGCATCCTTGTTGAAAATCATTTGCCCATATATGCAAGGGTTTATTTCTGGGCTTTCTATTCCATTCTATTTGTCTATATGTCTGTCTTTCTGCCAGTACCACACTGTTTTGATTACTGTAGCTTTGTACTAAGTTTTGAAATCGGGAGGTATGAGACTTTCAACTTTGTTCTCGTTCAGGATTGTTCTGGCACATTCTGTGTTAAACCTGTAAGCAAATGAATGAGTGCTCTTGAAGTAAACAGTGTGTCCTGACAGAAAATAATAGGAGAAGGAGAACTGGTGGTCAGAGAGAGGCTCTCTGAGTTCTGAAGGAGTAGAGGAGGCACTTTGGGCTTGCCTGCTGTCAGCATTCATTTTCTCACTTGAGAGCAACTCAACAGGGAAATTGTAATATGTAGCTGGGTTTGTGAACCCTTGACTTTGTAATTAAGTAAGCTGAAGTATTTTGACAATGCCCCATCCTTCTTAGACTTCATAAACCTGTGACATTTGGCTTCTGATATAAGGTGACATGTTGCAGTAAACAGCTTTTCCTTTGCAACATTGTGAACCTTTAAACTATTGGGTATTAACAATATAACAATGGGGCCAGGCACAATGGCGCATACCTATAATCCCAGCAGTTTGGGAGGCCAAGGCATGAGAATCACTTGAGCCCAGGAGTTTAAAACCAGCCTGGGCAACATAGGGAGACCCTGTCTCTACAAAAGTAATTAAAAAAATAAAAATTACCTGGGTATGGTGGTGTGTGCACTTGTGGTCCCGGCTACCCAGGAGGCTGACATAAGAGGATCACTTGATCCTGAGAGGTCAACGCTACAATAAGCCATGATTGTACTACTGCACTCCAGCCTGGGCAACAGAGTGAGACCCTGTTACAAAAGCAGAGACAAGAACAATGTAACAATGGTTATGTTCTGAAACCAAAAGAAATCTTTTTAAGACTTTTTAAGGTTGTACTAATAAGTACAAAAGTACTAGCCACTAGTGCCAGATATAATTTAATAGAAATAAAATGATTACTTTTATTTATTCCTGACAAACACCAAAGATACTTTGAAAACTGGATACAGAAGTGATGTATTCTGATGGTTCTAGCTTAGTATTTATTATAATATTTATTTATAGTATTTAAATAGTAATTTTTTTTATCATAATAAAGTGAGAATCACATCTGACCTTCCTTTTAACTTGGGATGCCTTGAGTAGCCGTAAGAAAGTTGTGAAGTATATCACGTGGAGGAAGGATCACATGTCTAGAGTAAGGGCTGAGAAGCCTGGCCGAGTGGCTAAGCTTGCTGCCTGCCGTCCTCTACCCAGATTGCAGATGTCCGGATCCATTCCTCTTCACAAGTGTAAAGAAAAAGCAAGCATGCCTCCACTCTGGAGCTAGCCACCCAGATCTTCTCTCTGGAGGTCTAAAATTCAGATGTCTTCCAGTGGCATCCGTGGACCAAAGGTGTATTTTTGGATGATGCAGTTTGTGTTTTCTTAACTTTAAAAAAACAAGTAGACAAGTTAAACATAAGTGACTACAAGGGGTGAAGTTTTACCCTAACAATGAGTTTTCATTTCAGAGGTTTTGTTTTTCTTTATGATTTATTCCTGACAAACACCTACCACTTACTAGTTTACCAAACAGCTGGCCAATTTATCTTTTTTTTTTTTTCACATTTTGGTTGATAATATGTTATCTAACTTTTTGTACTTCAACAATCTGAGATTTTTTTAAATGGCATTACAGGATAATTTTAGTGAGCATTTCTCCTAGTAAGTGGATGAGAAAAGATGCTATATGTCTAAGGCATCTTTTCATATGTCTCTGGCCATTTTTCCATTGGGTTGATGGTCTTTTATTGATTTGTATAGTTCTTTAATCAGGAATTTAGCCCCGTGTTTTTAAAATTACACAATCTGAAGTGAAACATGCATTCACTTTTTAAAGGAATTATAATTAAGTGAACCAGGAGCAACCTGCCATCCAAGTTAAGAAAGAGAATATTTTCAGGGCCTACAGGCTCCCTGTTTCTCCCAGTGGCTGCCTCATCACTAACCTGATTTTTGTGATAATCATCCTCAATTTGCTTCCCTCCTGTGCCTGCCTATAGTTTCACTTTGCATGCCCTTGAACTTTATACATGTGGAATTGTACTGCATTTATTCTCTTGTGCCTTCCTTCTGTTGGGGGTTGACAGATGAGTCCATGCTGATGGCGTGTAACTGCAGTGGCTGCCCTTCATTGCTGCTGTGGTACCTTCACACTGTGGAGTACCAAGTTCTGTGTCCATTCTGTTGTTGATGGACATAATACTGCTGTGAACATTCTTGCACATTATTCTGGGGCGCGTGTGAAAGTGTGTCTCCTAGATGGAAAGAAATGCACATGTAAACATTATAAAGAAACATCAAATTATTTTCCAAAGTTGCTTTGCCATTTTTCACTCCTGTAGCACCATGCAAGTTACCTTACATCCTCTTCAGCATTTGGTAATGTCAAGTTTATACATTTTTGCCAATCTGGTGGGTATGTTATAGTATCTTGTGTTTTAACTGGATTTTCCCTAGTTCCTAATGGGATTAAATATCTTTTCAGATTTTTTTGGCCATTCAAGCTTTTTAAACAAAATCCTTATTAAAGTTACTAGTCCATTTTTTCCTGTTGGTTTCTTTCTTTCTTTTTTTTTTTTTTTTTTTTGAGATGGAGTCTCGCTCTGTCGCCCAGGCTGGAGTGCAGTGGCGCGATCTTGGCTCACTGCAAGCTCCGCCTCCCGGGTTCATGCCATTCTCCTGCCTCAGCCTCTCGAGTAGCTGGGACTACAGGCACCTGCCACCATGCCCGGCTAATTTTTTGTATTTTTTTAGTAGAGACAGGGTTTCACCGTGTTAGCCAGGATGGTCTCGATCTCCTGACCTCGTGATCTGCCTGCCTCGGCCTCCCAAAGTGCTGGAATTACAGGCATGAGCCACTGCGCCTGGTGGGTTCTTTCTTTTTTTAAAACATTGATTTAAAAATATATGTACAGTAAGTCATCACTTAACATCACTGACGGGTTGTTGGAAACTGCAGATTTAAGTGAAGTGATGTACAGCAGGTCCTTGAATAACACTGTTTCATCAACATTGTTTTATTATAACATTGATAAAAATAGTTGTTTTGTTACACGTCACTTCACTTAGTGGCAGATTCCAAGAACCTTTCAACAACGCTAAGTGAGGACCTGCTATACGTACAGACATACACACATTTTCTCTCTCTCTCTGAATCTGGCCCTTTGTTTTTCTCTGTTACAGATAGCTTGCCTCAGTTGGTAGCTTGTCTTTTCTCTCTCCTCATGATGTCCATAATTTTAAAATGTCTCCTATTTCCAGAACGCCAATCTGAATTGCCAACGCAAAGCAAAGCGAGCTTCCCCAGTATTCTCAGTGACCCAGACCCGGATTCTTCTAATTCTGGATTTGACAGCTCAGTTGCCTCTCAGATCACAGAAGCTTTAGTCAGCGGACCAAAGCCACCTATTGAAAGTAGGTACATATAAATTAATTTATACTCTTTGTTTTATTCTGTCAGCAGGATCCTCTAGGACTTTTCAGTTTTTGAGACATCATTTTATTTTTATTATGACTTAAATTGTAATTTAGTGTGAATCTTTCTAGTGTAGTGAGTGTCTAGAACATAGTAGAGATGTTCAGTGACAGTTAATTTCTTCTTTAAGAAAAATGCATGCCAAGTTGTTTGTTGCATGTCTATCCTATGCATACCTAAAGATACAGGCTGGGCGCAGTGGCTCACACCTGCAATCCCAGCATTTTGGGAGGCCGAGGCAGGTGGATAACTTGAGGTCAGGAGTTCTAGAGCAGCCTGGCCAACATGGTGAAACCCCATCTCTACTAAAAATAAAAAATTAGCCGAGTGTAGTGGCATGCATCTGTAGTCCCAGCTACTTGGGAGGCTGAGTCAGGAGAATTGCTGAGGCAGAAGTTGCAGGAGCCGAGATCGAACCACTGCACTCCAGCCTGGGTGACAGAGTGAGATTCTGTCTCAAAAAGGAAAAAAAAAAAATACAGATTCTCATTTTACTGAAATGAGTCTTTTTGTAGCAGCTCATTATCTTTTTGTTTTATACCTGTTAAATCTTCTTATTGCTATCATTTCCTTTTCCATTTTAAAGTTTTTCTTATAAACTCCTAATTTACTTTAATTCAAAGAAAACACTTGTAGAATTTGAAATAATATAGCTGCATTTTTTGGGGATTTCTTTAAGAGATGGAATCTTGCTATGATGCCCAGGCTGGACTCAATCCCTTGAGGCTCAGGGGATCCTCCTACCTCAGACTCCCACATAGTTGGAATTACAGGCATGCACCACTCTACCTGGCATCTGTTTTATAGGCTTCTGTGTGCTTTGAATTATGAAGGCAAGCTTTCTGCTTTGGGATGAGAACATGTTTACCAGATGATAGTGTAGTATCACCATGAGTTTGAAGTTCACACAGTGACTTTTGTACCATTTGGTTTACAGTAGATCTTTGACATACATAGGTTTAATATTTGAAGTTTCTGCTGGTCACAAGTGTGACTGAAATGTCCATGGCATGTAATGGCTTCTTTTAAATATTTGCTCGGGCAGAACTCTAAATTGCATAGGTCACCAGGAAGATATATGAAAAGCAGATCACTCATAATAAGTGGGTCTAGCCAAACACCAGGTGTCCCCACCTCGCAAGAACTCTCTATCACATAAGTAGTATTTCTCATAAATTGTTAAAAACTTTATTTTTGTAAGTGGTTGAAGGGAGATTCAGATGCTAGTCCTGGTGAGGTAAGTGAAGAGGCAGTGGAGATGTTTAAGATAAAGTGATGATTTTTAACTAAAAAATATTTTCTGTAAACTCAACAGTAGACTCTCAAATTTGGCAGGGCTAGGATCCATGACAGGAATAAGCCACTCCTGCCCTATGTGGAAACTATGTGAGATGTGAAATTGGTTCAGCAGAAGTCCTAGCCAGCATTTATTTCAGTGGGTTTGTAACTCAGGGATGAATCTTGTTTTATAAAATAGTTGAGTTGAACCACTTCATTTTCCTTTTGTACTTCTATTGTTTTCTGAAAATGAATATAGTATTTGTGAATTTAGGGATTCGTGACGGTTTCCACATTCGTTTCGAAATATCAAAAGGCAACCATACTTTTCCTCCTGCTGCTTCATCGCCACGTAATTTGTTACTTCAGTTATAAGATGCAAAGATAAAACTAGTACAAATCATAGTGGCAGCTGAACAAATAGTGGTAACTAAGAATAGGATGTGTGAGGGCATAGTATTTCATTTTTTCATCAAAAGACTTCACCCGTTTAGGAGTCGTGCCCTTTTGCTGTTGAGTGGCCATGCTCAAGTGCAGCATGGGCAGATCACGGCCAGGCTTTCCTCACTTCTGCAAAGCGAATAGATTGTTCTCTGGCATCATGCTGGCATAGTGTTCTTTCATTGTCTTGTTTGCATTCTGACTGAAACCCTGACTTCCTGTGTCATTCCTGCTTCTGATTTTGAAGTATGAGAGTTCTAGTCACATCATCCTTATTAAGAGATTTCTTTGCATACTTTATTAAGTGAAATGTGTGAGATGTGTAGAGATGTTAGCTTCCTGATAGGAGCAACTATCACGGCTCTCATTACAGGCCATTTTCGACCAGAGTTTATTCGTCCACCGCCTCCACTCCACATTTGTGAGGATGAACTTGCTTGGCTAAACCCCACGGAGCCTGACCACGCGATCCAGTGGGATAAATCGATGTGTGTTAAGAATAGCACTGGTGTGGAGATCAAACGAATAATGGCCAAAGCCTTCAAAAGCCCCTTATCCTCTCCCCAACAAACACAGGTGTGTATTGATTGTAAGCATTTTCTTATCTTTTTTTTTAAATTTATTTTTAATTAAAAAAATTTGTTTTTGAGACAGAGTCTCACTCGGCTGCCCAGGGTGGAGTGCAGTGGCACGATCTCGGCTCACTGCAGCCTCTGCCTCCCGGGTTCAAGTGATACTCGTGCCTCAGCGCCCCCAGCAGCTGAGACTACAGGCATGCACCACCATGCCCGGCTAATTTTTGTATTTTTATGAGATGGGGTTTTGCCATTGTTGGCCAGGCTGGTCTGGTGGCTTCAAGTGATCTGCCAACCTTGGCCTTCCAAAGTGCTGGGATTACAGGTGTGAGCCACTGTACCCAGCCATTGTGAGCATTTTCTTATCTTTAATCCAACAAGAGTTTATTTTTTTTTTGGAAAGTGGTAAGCAATAAACTAATCCTGTCACTGTGAGTGAGCAGTAGGAAGTTGCAAAGGTTTTTGGGTCTCTGAAGCTTTGTTCTACTCTTTGGTAATTTTGCTGTGGTGGGGCAAGAAGTCTGATGGCAAAAATGTTCTAACTTTTCTTTGTGATGTTTGTCCCTGGGAGAGGTGGGGTAGTGGGGGTGTCACTGCTGTGTACAGTGGGACACTACACAATGGTTACGTTTGAGCTGATGGTAACGCTTCTGATGGAAAGTGGAGTTACTGACAGGCTGTAGGGAGGAAAACAAGGCTGGGAAGGGGAACCCGCCCCCATCACACAGCTGGATCGTGGTGTATTTGAGATTAAAGTAGCCCCCACTGCCCGAGTGTGAGACTGGATGACTCTCCTCAGGAAAGGCAAGGCCACTCTTCTATTGGTTGGTGAATTTTATCCAGTTTGCACACTTTTGAGTTAGAACTTTTTAGGAGATGACCTCTCCTATCACGTTTGCCACCAAAAATATCATTTTCAAAACGAAATAATAGCAACGTTTGTAGTTCGCTTTGCTCGCAAGACCATCCTGAAAACACAGTCCACTGTGGAACATATTAAGTAGACGGGGGAAAAAAAGCATAGGACATTTAAAGAGGAAGTGCTTACTTCATAGAAAAAGTCCTTTGAGGATACCTGTTTGAATTACAAAGTGTGGGTGTGACTTGAACTGTAAAGTTCTGCAGACTGATGACTCGCAGCAGGTCAGCTGTCCGGATTCCCGCTCCGGCTTCCCACTCCGCCCCCTTCTCAGGTATTTCTGGTCTCCACCTGGGTGGGGTGGGGCAGGACTGTTTCTTGGGAGAACTAGTTGGTCATTAAGATTATTTTTAGTTACAACAGATGACAGAAAAAAAAAACCTGCAAAGGACTTGACATTGTTACAACCAGACAGTATTTTATCTGACCAGACAGTGTGGAGTCTGGTTTGATGCCCAGGAATAGGAATCACTAGCATATTTATAAACTGTCTTAGATGTGTTTGCATTTTAGTTTGTTCAAAATTAAAATGTAAATTTAGAAATGTCAAGACATCATGGGTTTGAAGGAAGAAATTTATGAAGTTGGTTCAATGCAGATAGTTTTGTAGCTTTTTGTATAAAATGCTTATTTCATATACATGGGAAAAAAAATTGACTCAACACCCTTTCTCTCTCCCTCTCTCTCTCTTTAAAAATCTGGTGTATTTAGCTACTTGGTGAGTTGGAAAAAGACCCCAAACTTGTCTACCATATTGGCCTCACCCCAGCCAAACTTCCTGACCTTGTGGAAAACAACCCTTTAGTCGCTATAGAAATGTTGCTGAAATTAATGCAGTCAAGCCAGATCACTGAGTATTTCTCTGTCCTGGTCAATATGGACATGTCTTTACATTCAATGGAAGTTGTAAATCGGTAAGTTTCTAGATTTGATCAAATGTGTGGGGATAGATACAGATTAGATGGCCAGGAAAGAAAAATTGTAACAGATTTTTGTCTTGATATTATTGGCGTAAGATTAACTATTAAAGAAATAATGTAAGCCTTAGCATTCACTACATGTAAATTTAGCATGCGTTAATAAGAACTGAGGGTAGGATTTCAAACATATTTAGTGTTAGTAGAAGCATAAATGAAATTTAATTGCTGAAATTTATTTTATTTATTTATTTTTTTGAGAGGGAGTCTCACTCTGTTGCCCAGGCTAGAGTGCAGTGGCGTGATCTCAGCTCACTGCAACCTCCACCCGCTGGGTTCAAGCAATTCTCCTGCCTTAGCCGCCCTAGTAGCTGGCATTACAGGTGTGTGCTACCACACCCGACTAATTTTTGTATTTTTAGTAGAGACGGGGTTTCGCCATGTTGGTCAGGCGGGTCTCGAACTTCTGACCTCAAGTGATCTGCCCACCTCAGCCTCCCAAGTGCAAGGATTACAGGCATGAGCCAGTGTGCCAGCCAATTGCTGAAATTTATTTCCCTATACATAGTCCTGTCTTCTTTATCCCTATACAAATATAGATACTATTTTTTCTTAGTGACTAACAGCTGTAAGTGTGGAAAAATATGGACCTTAAGAGCTGAGAATCCTAGGAATGCTGTCCTAGCTTCCTCGTGCTCTTCTCCCAGCCTTTCTGACCCCCAGGCTCCTGACCCTGCCATCCTTGACTGTCAGGAAAACAGAACATCTTCCCTTCTTGATGTGTGCTGTACAGTGTTTGCATTTTAGAGTATTTTCCTTACAAATATCTTTTAGGTAAATTGTGAATTAGATGGGCTGGAGGGCTTAAGTTGTTTATGTGCAGGGTGGCCAGAGGTTCAGGTGTGCCTGAGAGTCCTGGTGGAGGCTTTGCATCCTGAGCTCCCTTTCACGTGGTATCCTGTTTTGGATGATAAATTATATGGTCCTCCTGTATGGGGAAATCCATTCTGAGTGCCAAGCAACTAAACTTCAGTACTGGAGAGCATAGTTTTTGAACACCTGTTTGTAAGTTGGGGCTTTTTGAAAAAATCTATGTGAAATTGAACTACAGAATGTGTCCTTTTTTCATCAACTATTGGGGGAAAAAAAGCCCAGCTGGAAGCTGAGGGAGTGGAAGTACGTGCATAGAAGGAGAGTGCGTTCTTTTAGCGGTAGCAGAGGGAGGAAATGTGAGGTTTCCAAATTAATTTTTAACTTTAACCGTGGTCACTGGCAAAACCGGCTAGCTGCTTGTTGAAAACGTGCTGCTGCACATCTCCCCCCTCTTTGTTCCAGTCTTTCCCCTACTGAGTGAAGACTCACTCTTTTCAGTGGCCCAGTTCTGTGCAGGTCCTCCGGATTGACCACGCTGAGTGTTCACTTCCCTTTCACCATATTCTTATAGCAGTTCTTGTCTCTACCAGACATTTGGCCCTGAGTCCAAGATGCAGAATCACTTACATCTTTTTATCAATGTGATTCTATCTGCTCAGTATCTTGGAATTCAAGGACAAGGTCCTGTTTGTTTTCCCCCGATACCTATCATAGTGCATCATCCTTAAACGTGAAACACGTTTTTTGGCGACGCACAAATCTCAAGAGACTGCAGCAGCTCATGACAGTGTCCTTGGAGCACTACATCCTCATGCCTTATTGAAAAAAGTTTTGAGGTCTGTTAAGTTTAGAAAAGGCAGCATATATTAATCTTCTTTTGGAAATTCATACTTTGAGTACGGAATTCCTGTTCCCACCCCACTCGTTTTTCTCATTAAAACATTCCATGTAATCCTTTGGAAAATACTGGCTTTGGCCTTTATTATGACTCTAAATTCCAATAACAGACCATGACTTAGGATTTAACCAAGAATACTCAGGGACAGGGCTCAAAAAAATAATTGCGATATGTAAATGTAAGTAGAGACATTTTAAACAGTGTTATTTATGAGTAAGTAGGTATGGCTCTTAGGTTAATTTGCCCAAGTATATTTAAAACTAGGGAATTGGATATGTCAGAAAATTCCACCAGATGACCAAAGCAAATTTTGTATTTTATGGTTAACAGTGTTTCTCAATGTTAGCAAATGAAATTAATGGGCCAAATTTTCTTTTACGAAACAGACTAACTACAGCTGTTGATCTACCTCCTGAATTTATTCACCTTTATATATCAAATTGCATCTCTACTTGTGAACAGATTAAGGATAAATATATGCAGGTAATATAAATTTTTGTAAATTTTATAAATGGCTGCCAGGAAAATGAGCAGACTAACATTTTTTTTTTTCCTTTTTCAGAATCGGTTGGTGCGTCTTGTGTGTGTGTTTCTCCAATCCTTGATCCGTAACAAAATTATTAATGTACAGGATTTGTTTATAGAAGTGCAGGCATTCTGTATTGAATTCAGTAGGATACGAGAAGCTGCTGGTCTTTTCCGGTTGTTGAAGACATTGGATACTGGGGAAACACCTTCTGAGACCAAAATGTCAAAATAATACCTCATCAGAACCATCCCATCCATTCACTGTTCAGCTGTACTGTGATTTAGTTTTTACACCGTTAAAACCCTGAGTGGATTGCTTGGTTTAATGCATATAAACAGTACTTTATCTACTTAAAGCAAAGTTTTGCTTTCTTGAATGACTTTTTCTGTGAGATGAATTTTTGATAAGAACTAGGGAAAACATGTCTTTTAGGTGTCTTGCTGATGACTATCCATAGGAGGAATGGCTATCCCAAAAAAAGTTCCGCAAAAAAGTAGATGAGTTTCTTTTTTTTTTAAGCACTAAAGAACAAAATGCATTTTTCATTAATACAGGCTTCTGATGAACCAGGAATCCTGTTTTCGTAAAGTTCCAATGTTGATGAGAGTAAATTCTTAAGCATTTGTCCTAGAGGTGAAAGCAGCTGAATGTTTCTGAACCATCAAGAGGCAAACAAACAGGAGTTTGTTTCTTGAACCTGCTTATGCACACAGCTCTTAACTCCTCATGAGGCACACAGCTCTTAACTCCTGATGAACCAAGGATTTACTCATAACTTTCTCCTTGTCATGGAGGCTTAATAGACAACAGAATAAATGCATTTCTTGGGCCTCTTATAAACTTGGGAATTCTTAGAAAGCTGCTTCTATTACCAGGCTGTAATAGCTGGTATAGTTTTTTTTTTTTCTCTTAAGATGTTCTGTTATTAGTCTGAGACAGCCATTTTTTTGTTTTAAGGAAAAATATCAGTCAGTGCTCCGGGAGGTAATTTCCTGTGGGGTCTGCACCCTCCTGTCTGGGTGGTGGATGTGGGTTTGAGAAGTAGGAGAGCAGGGTGGTACCGTGTGGGCTCTTACCCTTTATGTGATTTTGGACAACAGTGCCTTCCATTAAAGTTCTTTTTATCAACTGTTATCTGATGTATTTTTTACTTTAAGAAATCATGAGAAATTCCTTTTACTGAGGTATTTTCAAAGCATATTTACAGGGAGATAATCTGTTCAACAGGAATTACTCTCTAACACCTTGAAAAAGTTAAAGGAAACCAAGCCTGTGATTTTTAAGATAAGTACAAGTTCCAGTCTTAAAGCTGGAGAAAGAGCAGTACTAAAGATTTATAATAAATTGTCTATAATAAATTGTTTTTCTTACAAAAGAAATGTTTAAGAATGTTTGCTTAGAGGAAATAATGAACTAAGCCCATCTATCAGAGGAATGCCTTCAGACAATTAAAATGATGGCAACAGAGATTTCTTTTTACACCTAAAAGCGAGCATCCCCGTTTTGCACGTTAGCATTGGGAAAAGGACAGCTTATTACTGAAGTACTTTAGGAGTGGCAGTTTCAACAACCCAGCTTTAGGTTCTAGGACCTACAGGACCTACTGATTCTCTGGCATAATAAAACACTGAACTCAGAGCCAACACCATCACTCATGCCTGAGTGAAGCTGATCTAACAGACACTTAGTCCATGAGGCACATCACAGCCTTGCCCTTAGAGCAGCAGGCAATATTTTGCCACACCTGAGGACCATTTTAAATAGTGAAATTGCCAACAAAAATTGCAGAAATGCAAAAAACATGGTACTGTGAAGAGACTATGAAAGGACACTTGCTTGTAGTAGGAGAGGAAACGGCAGGGCATCCCGTCCAGCCTCCGTCAGGAACGTGCGGGTCAGGCAGCTTGGCTCATTCGCTGCTCTGTGCATGTCTGAAAGTGACCGCATGGGATGATTTTGGAGTAACAAATACATTTTAGTAGGGAGGTTCTCAAATAGGGACTTCGTAAGTGAGGATCAAAATCACAATATTGGTGTTTACTTGAAAGACTTTAAAATTTATTTTAAATAGCTTACAAGGAATAGTGGTTATATTTATAGAACATTTTATAAAACAGATTTACACTTGCAACACCAACAAAAGCTTGAAAATAAAAGTTTACCTAAAGTAAAATTGGTGGCTGGGTTTGGTGGCTCACGCCTGTAATCCCAGCACTTTGGGAGGCCAAGGTGGGTGGATCACTTGAGTTCAAGACCAGACTGGAGGACATAGCAAGACCTCGTTTATATTGGGGAAAAAAAAATTATCAGGGTGTGGCATGCACCTGTAGTCCCAGCTACTCTGGAAGCTGAGGTGGGAGGATTTCTTGAGCCTGGAAGATTGAGGCTGCAGTGAGCAACAATGGCACCACTGCACTCAAAAAAAAAAAAAAAAAATTGAGAGTCAATAACTGCAATAAACTTTTTTAAGTATAATCAAATGAGTTCAACTGTCACGTTAAGATGCCTTGAATTCTTTTGATTTTCTAGTTCCAATTTCTAGCTTTAATATCTTCAAATCACCTGTTAAAAAGAAGACAGCAATGAGTAACATCTTAGGGTAGAAAGCAGTTATTTCAAAAGAAAAATAGTTTGAGAGCCTAAAATGTAACTATTAGAAATAATTAAGTTTATTTTAGAAAGCTTTAAAGAAATGGTATCGATTTTTATTCTTATAGTGTACATATACATTTACACCTAATTTTGAGTAGCACACTAAATGATTCACATTCGCTGGGAGAATGATGGTCACATGTCTCTTTTAAACAGTATTTTGAATTACATTCCTTAAACATTTTAAGGGTATCTGGAAAATTAATGCATAGGAAGAACTTTTTACACATTTGTTAAAATTTCAGCACCCTCTGTCTACTAAGATATTTTACTGATTTCACTTTACATCCTGTCCTTTTTATGCAATCACTACTGTTCTTATCAGGAAAATCCCCAAGATACTTCCAACAGTACCTGTATAATCCCGGATCTGATACCTGCAATCAGCCCACACAAAGTCCTAGTGTTCCCAGGCTTCTCACTAGCCAATAATACAGCCCTACATCTCGGCAAAGAAAAGCATGGGTTGGCTTTTTTTCCTAATGTTTAAATAAATGTAGTGCAAATACTTTTTTTCACAACTTTGCTGTACAAAGAGGGCAAGTCTCCAGCTGCATGGCTGATTATGACACAGTAGAAATTACACTTTTATAACTAGTAATCCAAATGTTAGTATTTTTCAAAATATGGTGACAAGTGTTTTAAAAAAAACTTTTAAAACTTAAGTACCTGGGTTGTTGTAGGTGGCGTTTCTAGTTGACTATTAAGTCACAGAAACACAACACATATTAACTACAAAACTAGTTTTGGTTTGAGTCAACATCCTGTGCTTTAGCAAATCACAAAGTAGGGTTTATACCAAGCCCACAGAAACTGCTTTTGACTAAAACATATAATTACCTCAAGTTCTACTTAGTAATACATATATACTGACTTATAATTTCAGCCTTCATTGAGCAAATAAACTTCAACATGCTCAAAAGAAAAGACTATTGCCAAACTAAGTGATCTTACTGGGGAATTTGGTTACATTGGGTATTTCATCCCCAGTATATGGGGACAATCACCTATTCCTGAAGGTCTATTATTATTTTTAAATTTCAGTTCTCTTTGGGATGCCTTTCTTGACAGCTCCCATGGCATGAAGCTTCCAATCCTGCTACTGAGGTCAGACTAGTGGTTCGCTTCAGGATATTTTGTCATCGTGTGCCCATGGAGAGCAAACTGCTGATGGAGACACTGCAATTCGGCCTTTTCTTGTCATCATTCCTCAGTAGCTGGAGGGAGCAGTCTTCTGGGAAAGGCTGTGTGTTCAGGATCCCTAAAAAGATAGCATGCGGGGAAATTATTACCTGCCAAGTGGTGTGTGTTTTTACACCTCTCTGGCCCTTTAGTTTTCTGCTGGGAAACCCAGAACGCCAGTCCAGACACCGAGGAGCCGAGGAAACAGGACAGCAGGCAGGGGGCTGCGGAGAGCAGCACAGTCACGGACACTGCCTCCTTCTCCATGCCACCCGCGGTTTCCACAGTTAAATACTGGTCCACATGACATGTGAACACATGGCTCCTATAATGGTTAGGAGGAAGGTGATTCATGTGGTAAATAATATAACAATGAAACCTGATTTATTATACATTCCCCCAATTCTCTGCATCTTATCAACTTAAAACTTTCAGCAAAAACTCTTGTAATATTTGTTTCTTTTTTTTTTTTTTTTTTGACAGGGTCTCACTCTTGCCCAGGCTGGAGTACAGTGGTGTGATCACAGCTCACTGCAGCCTCAACCTCTTGGGCTCAAGCGATCCTCCCACCTCAGCTTCCCAAGCAGCTGGGACTACAGGCAGATGCCACCACACCTGGCTAATTTTTTAAATTTTTAGTAGAGATGAGTTTTGCCTTGTTGCCTAGGCTAGTCTTGAATTCCTGGGCTCAAGAGATCCTCCCATCTTGGCCTCCCAAATTGTTGGTGTTAAAAGCGTCAACCACCACACCTGGCCTGTCACTTCTTTATCATGTTAATTTTCATCTAAAAAAACTATCACTGAAAACTTTTTCCTTTCAAAGTACTGAACAGTTTTCTTCTCTTGCTAATTTCTTTTTTGCTACTAAAGACTTGTGTTTCTAGAGATATGACCGTAATTATTCCAACCTCTCCAATTTATAATTTAGTGTTCAAGCTTTTAAATTAAGGAACACTATGTTTGACAGCTGCTGATTAAGAAATCACACTTCTGTAATTATCAAAAACAATTTACCTTGGTCTGTCACAGTATTTTTTTTTTTTTTTTAAGAGAAACACCCGTCAAATTTATTGCAGTTGTCCAGTCAGCAATGGTGATCTTCTTGCTGATTGCTGATCTTGCCATTCTTGGACCCCAAGTGCTCCATGACCTCCACAATATTCATGCCATCTTTCACCTTGCCAAAGACCACATGCTTGCAATCCAACCACTCTGTCTTGGCATCTTGGCAGGGCAGATAAAAAACTGGGAAACGTTCACGCTGGGTCCAGCATTTGCCATGGACAAGATGCCAGGACCCGTATGCTTCAGGATGAAGTTCTTGTCATCAAATTTCTCCCTGCAGATGGACTTGCCACCAATGCTGTATGGCGTGTGAAGTCACCACTCTGACACGTAAACCCTGGAATAATTCTGTGAAAGCAGGAACCCTTATAACCAAATCCTTTTTCTCCAGTGCTCAGAGCATGGAAATTTTCTGCTGTCTTTGGAACCTTGTCTGCAAACAGCTCCAATCTGTTAACATAGTTTTATGGATTAGATGAGCAGTCACTTCTTGCTTTCCAGGCCCCTTACCTCGAAGGAGACACAGCCCAAGGGCTCGCCATCGACAGCAATGTGGAAAAACATGGTGGGGTTGACCATGGCTGGAAGCAGGGGGCCCTGGGCGGCAGCAGCATCTGCAAAGCTCACAGCCTTCTTTTTAAAAGTCAGCTTCATTAGCTACTGGGAAGAATGACTAGTTAAAACATTTTCCCCTAGCATTTCTTTCTTTCTTTTTTCTTTTTGAGATGGAGTTTTGCTCTTGTTGCCCAGGCTGGAGTGCAATGGCACGATCTCGGCTCACCGCAACCTCTGCCTCCCAGGTTCAAGAGAATCTCCTGCCTCAGTCTCCCGAGTAGCTGGGATTACAGGTGCCCACCACCATGCCTGGCTAATTTTGTATTTTTTTTTTTTTAAGTAGAGATGGGGTTTCTCCATGTTGGTCAGGCTGGTCTTGAACTCTTGACCTCAGGTGATCCTCCCACCTTGGCCTCTCAAAGTGCTGGGTTTAGAGGCGTGAGCCACCACGCCTGGCCCTTCCCTAGTATTTCTGTTTTTTTTTTTTTTTTTTTTTTTTGAGGCGGAGTCTTGCTCTGTCGCCCAGGCTGGAGTGCAGTAGCGCAATCTTGGCTCACTGCAACCTCTGCCTCCCAGGTTCAAGCGATTCTCCTGCCTCAGCCTCCTGAGTAGCTGGGACTACAGGCACATGCCACCACGTCCGGCTAATTTTTTGTATTTTTAATGGAGACAGGGTTTCACCGTGTTAGCCAGGATGGTCTCGATCTCCTGATCTTGTGATCTGCCTGCCTTGGCCTCCCAAAGTGCTGGGATTACAGGCGTGAGCCACCGCGCCCGGCCCTCCCCTAGTATTTCTTTTTTTTTTTTTTTTTTTTTTTTTTTTGAGACGGAGTCTCGCTCTGTCGCCCAGGCTGGAGTGCAGTGGCGGGATCTCGGCTCACTGCAAGCTCTGCCTTCCGGGTTCACGCCATTCTCCTGCCTCAGCCTCCCAAGTAGCTGGGACTACAGGCGCCCGCCACTACGCCCGGCTAATTTTTTGTATTTTTAGTAGAGACGGGGTTTCACCGTTTTAGCCGGGATGGTCTCGATCTCCTGACCTCGTGATCCGCCCGCCTCGGCCTCCCAAAGTGCTGGGATTACAGGCGTGAGCCACCGCGCCCGGCCCTCCTAGTATTTCTTAAAGACAAAGAGCAAACAATCTACTTGCTACAGAATCAGGATGTATTTTCCTATTTATAATAAACTACAGAAGGTAGATTTCAAAGGTAATGGCTGTTATGGAAACCTACTTGAGGTTGTCTGCTAAAACCAACTCAGTGTGCAAAGCGAAATACATTTTCTACTTCAATAGCTCCTCATACTGCATCTGTCTGTAGAGTTTATTTCAGTAAAACTGTTTACTATTTCATGATGAGTAGCTAGAATTAAAGCATTAAGTAGCTTGAGAAAATAATCTATATAAATCTTTATATCCTACATATGGCTATAAAAATAAATTTATAATTTTAAAAATTGTTTTAAATAAACATTTATTTTTACCTACAAAGTAAAGATATACAGAATAACTAGGAGCAAGGAAAGACTATAATTCCACACTCTAAAAAATAACTGCCTCATACTCGACTTCTACCTCCAAGAAGTGAAAAAATAGCAGAGTGTGTGTTTAATCACTTTTTAACACTTAGCAGTCTCCAAAAGCTTTGCATTAGCCTGCTCCTTTGACCCAAAAGAACAGCAAGCAAGTAAAAAAGAAGAAACGGTTAAGCAAGGTCATGGTATTAAATCTGCTTAAACTCTAATCAAGAAAACTGGTTATTTCGAGTCAACAACAAAAACTAAAATTCTACATCTTTCGCCCTTTTAATTGTAAAGATTAAATTGTAACTGAAATCAATATAACAGATTCTGAGTCTGCCTACTCATTTTCCTTAACAAGGCAATGAAGAACTTAATGCTCATGTGCGATATAGAATCTTAGCTTTTTATTTGTAGGAAAAAATAAACAGATTTCCCTCCCCAACAAGGCGTCACAAGAAATGAGGCAATAAAGGGAAAAATGCAAATCCTAAAGTCATCTAGTGCCTTTCTCATAATTCTAAACAAAGAAAAAGTGCTCTCAGGTTTTGAAATCTTCACATACACTACAGATGGGCAAAAAAGCTACAGACATCTCAGTTTACAAGTTTCAAGTTCTTAAAAAAAAAACAACAAAAAAAACCTTTCCTCCAGGGAAAGCCCATGAGATCAATTATCGAATTGAATTATACAATTCCACTTCAACTAGTCTAACATTGATGTGCTTTGCCAAAAACCTTGAAAAATAGAATTAACTGGTTTTTACAGAACCATAGCAGCCAATTATTTAGAAACACCACCTGTCCTTTATATTAGAGTACCTGCCCCAGTTGTCTTTGTAATAGTCTGAAGCAACACACTGTTCATGGTAAACACTCTATTTTAGTAGATAAATATATGAGGACTAATCGAAAAGTCTCTTCAAGAAGAAAATATCTTAGTCCTTTGTATATCAAATCAGAATCTAATAGGTAAAATAATATACATTATTTTCAAATATACAAATTATGTGCTAAAGTAAAAAAAATAAAATGTCCTTTAGTTCAAGCCAAACTTCTGTTGGTGCCACTTCAGTGGGCACGTGTGCTAGGAGATGGGTCCTCCATGCCGAGAGTCACTCCTGCCGGCTTCTGCAAGAGAGCAACATAAGCTACTCCATCAGAAGAGGGCAGCATATTCCGAGCTTCAACTATGCAAACACACTTACTCACTTGGAGATAATTCAAGATGGTAAACAGAAAAAAAAATTTTTTTTGAGACGGAGTCTTGTTCTTGTTGCCCAGGCTGGAATGCAATGGCACCATCTTGGCTCACTGCAACTCCACCTCCCGGGTTCAAGCGATTCTCCTGCCTCAGCCTCCTGGGTAGCTGGGATTACAGGCACCCGCCACCACATTCAGCTACTTTTTGCATTTTTAGTAGAGATGAGGTTTCACCATGTTGGCCAGGCTAGTCTCGAACTCCTGACCTCAGGTGATCCACCCACCTCAGCCTCCCAAAATGCTGGGATTACAGGCATGAGCCACCGCGCCCGGCTAACAGAAAATTTTAAATAAAACATACATGGAAAACTGATAACCCATTCCACTGATAGCCAACAAGAAAAATCGGTAAACATCTTCATCATATGAGGAGTTTTCTAGCATTAGCCTAGCCAACATTAATCTCATCAGCAGATCAGTCTTTAAAGACAGTCAGAGATGGCGGTACCAGAAGATGTTCCCAAAAGTTGAACAAGTAGCTAAGGTGATGGTGATGCTGCCACCAATGAAAACAATAGCCAGTATTTATATTGACCCTAAGAGGTAGAGATTAACATGTCACCAGCCCCGGTTTATAGATGGCAAGGAAGAGGAGGAGCTGGTACTGAAATCCAGACAGTTGCTATTATGAAGTATACAAAATCACTTCACACAAAAGGCTCTTAGAATAGAATACTTCCTTAAAGATAGCAGCAGATCCCATTACTTTTTATTTTGCCAATTTAAAGTTTCTTTTTTCTTTTCTTTTTTGATATAGGGTCTCACTCTCTCACCCAGGCTGCAGTGCAGTGACATGATCATGGTCACGGCTCGCTGCATCCTCGACTTCCTGGGTTCAAGTGATCCTCCCACCTCAGCTTCCCAGAGAGCTAGGACTACAGTAGGCACACGCCACCACGCCCCGCTAATTTTAAGTAGAGACAGAGTTTCTGCATGTTCCCCAGACTGGCCTCATGCGATGCAATCTGCTCCCTGCCACCCTACCTCCAAAAGTGCTAGGATTACAAGTGTGAGCCACCATGTCCAGCCTGAAGTTTCTATTAAATGGTGAAATAACATAAGTAATCTCATAAAATGCTTCCTCTTGTTTTATAAATATAAGTGTATATTTATAAATACAAAATTTGTATTTACTGTTTAAATTGACAAAAACTGTATATATATATGGTATACAACATGATGTTCTGAAACATGTATACATTGTGGAATGGCTAAATCACACTAATTCATGTGCATTACCTGACATATTCATTTGAAGTGAGAACATTTAAAATCTACTCTTTGGGCATCTTTCAAGAATACTATACACTGTTATGAACTGTAGTCACCATGCTGTACAATGGAGCTCTTGAACTTGCTCCTAACTGAAACTTTGTACCTTTTGATCAATCTCTCCAATTCCCCCCACACCCAACCAAATATTTTGCACTCCCCTTCAAGGAGGTGAAGTAGGTGGAGAGTGATGTAACTGGAGAGTGGAAGGTGCACTTCCACAGGGAAACACCTTCTCCAGGGTCTACCATGAGTAACTTCCACATTCATTTCCTAGTTGCTCCTGAGAGTCTAGTAAATGTTTTCTCAACTATAAGTGAAACCACAGTTTTTTCTGGAAGTATTAATGCCTGATTTTTCTAATTTAGTGTTTTTCAATTTATGTCGTTACCGTTATAAGGCTGAAAGAACATTAACAGATAAAGTCAACTTGCTGTTGCACAATACTTGAGAATTTAAAAAAAGGACAAAGAGAAAAATAGAATGTGAGCCCCATACGGGGTGGGGTGGGGACACTGGGGAAACTGGCTGCTTCAGAATGTATCTGACATTTTGCTGCTTTGGAAACCTAGCTGCTTCTTCCACCTTCTTTATTTCTACCCATGATTTCATGATTTCTACCCATGATTTCAAATTGTATTATCTTAGTTCTAAGAGGGTATTTCAGGACAGCCAATGGTAAACTGTAAGGCACTGCAAGTTAACAAGGTAGCAAGAATGCAGAAAAATCTGGAGGCTGCTCTTGAAAGACATTTAGTCAGAATAAGAGTTTTAGTATCTCCAGGGTGCTCATGTACTAGAGAAGGCAAAGTTAGTTTTCTTTCTGGAGTTGGAAGGCAATGGCAAAATCACACTGGTATGCACTCTGGCTCTATATAAAGACATTCTTAAAAATAAGAGCCATTTACCAAGGGAACATGCTGCTTTGCAAGGTGGCCCAGTCTTAGCTGGAGAGCTGTTAGGAGAATGCCTACACAGATCAATCGCTACAATTTTATAATTCTCTGAAATCTATTCTCCTTTTTTTGTTCCACAATGCAGTCTTTTCTTCCTCTGGTGCTGGTTAATACTTACATTCTAATATTTCTACCGATTTTTGCCTCACAGATCCTAAATGTGCTACAAAAAAACTGACTTAGTTTCAATCTTACTGCTTTGGAAAAATATGCTTCCTCTTCTAGGATGACAAAATTCAAAACCTGAAGCATCGATTCTTCCCACTTAAAATAACCTTTAAGTGAATCCAATTCCAATAAAAATTCTGATGAGATTTTCTTTTACTTGGCAAAATGATTTTAGAATTAATCTTTAAAAAATGTAGAATAGGCTGGGTGTGGTGGCTCATGCCTGTAATCCCAGCACTTTGGGAGTCCCAGGAGGGTGGATCACCTGAGGTGGGCAAATCACTTGAACCCAGGAGGCAGAGGCTGCAGTGAGCTGAGATCGTGTCACTGCACTCCAGACTGGCCGACAGAGCAAGACTCCATCTCAAATAATAATAATAATAATAATAATAATGATGATGATGATGATAATGTAGAATAGTCCAGAAATTTTTTAAAAGAAGAATAAAGATGAAGGAAATTGCCTTGCAAATATAAAAACATATTATTTGCAATTATTATTCACTAAACAATATTAGGACAACTGATTAAACATTTGGGTTTAATAAGTGGAATAAAAGGAAAAAACAGATTAGTTAAATCTCCCCTCACACCTTAAACTATATGTGTTTAAGATGTTTAAGATTTACATTTAAATCTTACATTAAGATTTAAATGTAAAATACAAAACCCACAAATACTAGCAAAGTACAGGTCAATATCTTTACAATCCTAACATAAGAAAGACCTTCCTAAGTCAGCATGCAATCAAAGGCAGAATCATGAGAGAACGGGAAACTAAACTACATAATTTCTATCTGGAAAGTACAATGAAAAGCCAAAGGATACAGAAATTGGGGGAGAAATACATAAAATATATGACAAAGCCCTAGTATTTTCAATGTATAAAAAGCTCTAAGGATCAATATGAAAAAATTACTATCTCCATAAAAAAATAAGCTAGGGATAAAATAAGCAGTTCATCAAAGAATAAAGATGACCAACAATGTGAAAAGAGGACAAAAATGTAATTTAAAAAATGCAATGAGTCTAGACAACATGGTGAGACTTCATCACTTCAAAAAAATTTAAAAAGTTAGCTAGATGTGGTGGCACACGCCTGTGGTCTCAGCTACTTGGGAGGCAGAGGTGGCAGGATTGGTTAAGCCCAGGAGTTTGAGGCTGCAGTGAGCTGTGTTCTCATCACTACACTCCAGCCAGGGTGACAGAGCAAGACCCTGTCTCAAAAACCAAAATAAAACACAAAAAACAAAACAAAACAAAAAACATGCAGTTCACTACATTTTACCTATCAGAGTGACAGAAAACAATTAGACAAGGCATAAGTATATATACATAATGATTTCAAAGTGCTACTGATAATACAAACACTCATTAATTAGTTTCAAGAAATTATAGAAAATTCAAAATGTAATACTCTGTAGCTGTAAAAAATTATCTATTTATCAACATAGAAAGAGCTTCATATATTAAGTAAAAAGTAGGTTACCTAACAGCCCATAAGTGATATTCACCGACCCTTAAACACCTTTCGATTTCCAGAAAAACATCTGGAAAGGTAATTATCAAAGTGTTAAGATGACATCTCTACGTGGGGGACGACTATTTTCATTTTTTCCTTATGCTTTTCTGCACTTTATGTATTTCTTTATTTTCTTTCACAGCTACTAATAAAATTCCTTTTTTTTTTTTTTTTTTTTTTAAGAGACAGGGTCTTGCTCTGTCACCCAGGCTCAGGCTGGAGTACAGTGACAGGATCATAGCTCACTGCAGCCTGAACTCTTGGTCACAAGCCACTCTCCTGCCTCAGCATTCTGAGTAGCTGGGACTACAGGAGAATGCCACCATACCTGGCTAATCTGTGAAGTTTTTGTAGAGATGGGGTCTCACTATGCTGCCCAGGCTGTTCTCAAATTTCTGGTTACTTACTCTTCGATAGCTCAAACTCGAGCAATCCTCCCACCTTAAACTCCCAAAGCACTGAGATTACAGGTGTGAGCCACCACTCCTGGCCACATTCTATTGTTTTATAATTTGCACACCGCTCACCTAGCAATGCCGTATTTTCTCCTGCATCTCCTTTAAAGCTGGGATCACACTGTGGCTCAGATTCAGCAGGGGAGGCTGATGGTGGACTGCTGTCATCACTTCCGTCATCATCTGGTAAAGCTAGACTCAAATTTGCAGCTGGATCCCTTCCAGGAGGAGATTCTGGAGCAGGCATCTCCTGTACATCCCCAGGCTCTCCCTTGAGAATTAGAACAGAAGAAAAAACATGATCAAAGCTTAAAACATGATCAAAGCTTATGTATCATCTGGCTCGTAATTCACACACAATATTACGTACTTCTGTACAATGAATCTGGCAAAAAGCACATCAATGTCTCCCTTATCTAGTATCACAAGAAAATGAATTCCTTCTCGACAACCAATCTCCTAAGGCCAACATGTTTTTTATTCTAAAAAACATTTCCCCTCCTTGATACAAGCAATGCCACCTTTTAAACTATTGACAGAAAGTGAAGCTTTCTTCCACTTCCTTGCCTTCCCAGACAGAGGATTTGAGGCCATAGCCATGAACTCTGATTACCGCCCTGTGCTGGTTTACAGTGAGGCACTAGGGTTTCAGAAATAAACAAGGCTTTTGAACAGATGCCTTCAGACTGTATTATTTTCTTGAAAAAGTTACTCTGGCTCCTTCCGTATGGACAGGGTGTTGATCAGCTGTAGTTTGTCTCCACCTTCCCTCCCTCCTTCCATTTGCTGCTTTAAAGAAAGGAAGACAGTGAAAGTGGAGGGCTGGGGACACTATCAGCATCACTGCATTAAGTCTCAACATTTGGGGGACAGCTAGAAACTTTATTTGATTAATACCAGAGTCAAAGCTGTGTTGTAAGTGGATGGAACTCCTGGTAAAGTGACTTATTAGATGAGGGGTTACTGCAGGTTGACTATGACCTTCTGGCTCAGCATCTCACCATTGCTTCAAGTAAAAACACCACTCACGGGCACCCCTCCTCCCTCCACTGGGCTGTGCCCCCCACAGCCCTGCTCCACCTGTGTTCTAGAACCTGCCCCTCCTGCCTCACCAGTAACGTAACGCCCTCCCATCCCTACTCCTGACACACCAAGCAACAAATCCTGTGGCTGTGACATCACAATACCCAAACTCCTGCCCAGCCTAGCTCCAACCTTTTTACCTAAATATCTGCCAACTTAACTACCTGCCAACCTCCAACCCTGTCTGTTCACTCCACAGACACAGCATTAGCCTCAACACTTTGGTGTGTCTGATGGATAATGCAACACCCAGCTCAACTGCCCTCTCAAATGCACTTGCCCCACCTTCCAACTTCTACCTGGCAGCAGGGCACGTGACCCCTCCTCTGTGCTCCTACGGGCAGCACTTCAAACAGGCCTCTTTGGCCATGTCATGTCTGTATGCGTGCCCTGACCCCCTACCAGTCCAGAAAGTGAAATCTTCAAGAGCCCATGAGGGGAGGGGCTGTGTCTTACTCATCTTTGTCTCCCCAGAGCCAAGTGCAGATCTAGCACCTTAGATGTCATTTCTTTGACCCATCCTTGCCAAATGAATGAAAACAAGTGACATGGACACACTGAAATGGTTACAGCTGTAAACCTTTAAAGCCTGTGTGGTTGACTGAGGGTGACTCTCACTACAGTTATGGGGAAATAGAAAACTAGTTACTATAAGAGGGCACAGCATGGCTAACTAAAGCATACACTGCAGGAGGGGGTCAACAGGTCCACAGAAAAGGGTGTACTGTCTAAAGATTCAAAAGTCAAAGGCAAGACAGTAAGTTTCTGAGGTCTGATGTTACTATAGGTTCTGTTCTTCAAACAATAAATTAGGCATTCTGGGGATATATATTCTAGCTTTCTGAAATTAACATTCTAAGAAAGCAACTCAACCTTATGTGAGATGAAGAGTCTTAATTTTTAATATATGAAATATATATATAGCTTATTTCCAAAAACAAAACTCATGAGGATTAAAGTCCCTCTGCTATGGTCAGTGAAATTCCTTTCATACAAACATCCAGAAATGAAAAGCAAGTTTAAAACTACTGAGTAATGAAGAAAACAACTTAGAATACGCTTTAGAGTGTATCTAATGAAGGAAAAGAGTTCTAAAACCTTGCCAAGAAAGAAATCCATCAAGCTCCCTGTATGCTATTATTTAAAATGCTGTCCCACAAAGGCTCATTCTCTCATCTAAGCTACAGTTTCTGGAGCAAAGAGGGGATGAGCCAGGTTCATTAAGAAAGCATGTTATGCCATGCTAATCATAGCTACAATTACTGAAAACCATGAATATGTGAAGAAATTCTAGAAGAGAGACAAATTTTCTGGACATCAAAACAGTCTCAGTTTCTAGTCAGACAGTTCTTGAACACTGACCTCCACCTTCCTGTGATCACAGAGTGAAGGCGTTCTGGAACTCACATTTAAAAAACATAATTCAGTGGCCAGGTGCAATGGCTCATGCCTGTAATCTCAGCACTTTGGGAGGCTGAGGCGGGTGGATCACTTGAGGCCAGGATTTTGAGACCATCCTGGCCAGTGTGGTAAAACCCTATCTCTACAAAAAATATAAAAAATTAGCTGGGTGTACTGGAGTGCAGGTGTAATCTCAGCTACTTGGGAGGCTGAGGCTGGAGAATCACTTGAACCCATGAGGCAGAGGTTGAAGTGAGCCAAGATCACGCCATTGAACTCCAGCCTCGGCGACAGAGTGAGGCTGTCTCAAAAAAAACCAAACAAATCATAATTCATAGAGAATGACAGTAGTTGTTAAGGAAGTGGTCTCTTAAGCTAGAAGATGAGGGGGCATTTTAAGTAGACTGCAGTCTGGGAAATAAGTCTTGTTTAACGGGTCAGTTCTTTAATGATGCCACTATAGAAGCTTACATGACCATAATGGCTTAAAGCTACATAAAGTGATCATCATTTAAAAAACCCCAAATTGTAGTTTCTAATTCTACAATAAACTCTATGAAAAACTCTAAAAATATGTTTAGCAACAAGACTATATTTGATAAATTATTTTCCCCAAAGATCTTTATTTAAAAACTGTTATTGAGACAAGGTTTCACTCTCATTGCCCAGGCTGGAGTGCAGTGGAACGCTCTCAGTTCACTACAACCTCTGCCTCCCAGACTCATGCGATCCTCCTGCCTCAGTCTCTTGAGTAAATGGGACTACAGGAGCGTGCCATCATATCCGGCTAATTTTTTTTGTATTTTTAGGAGAGACAGGGTTTCACCATGTTGGCCAGGCTGGTCTTGAACTCCTGACCTCAAGTGATCCGCCCGCCTCAGCCTCCCTAAGTGCCGGGATTACAGGTATGAGCCACCAAGTCCAGCCTAAAATTGTTTATCTTTTAAATGAGAATATGTTGAGACATTAATAGATTGTATGAAGACTCTAAAAACAATAAAAAATATAACCTAAAAAAATATATTTTTCCCCTCTATGTTCCCCTCTTTGGGTAGGGTAATAGTTAAGTGCTTGGACCCTGGAATTAGGCAAACTTTATTTGAAAGATGATTCCCCATTAGCTAACTGCATGACCTCAGGTGAGTTATTTAGCTTCTCTAAGCTCAAGTTTCTAATCAGTAAGATGGGAATAGTGACAGCACTTATACAGCAGCTGTGAGGATTAGACATAACAAGGTATGGAAGGCATTTGTTCAGCATGTGGCTAGCTACTACTATGATTTCCTTTTCATTTCGCCCCCGTGTCTTCTGTGTAAGGCCCTGTGACCATCGGTGATGAACCAAAGTCAATGCAGGACAAACTGCCCCAGGTCTATTTGATTCTGAAACCTAGGAATACGGAATATTTGATGTTAAGTATTGGCTTTGTTTTCTTCACATGTAAAATGAGCATATTAAGCCTGACAACCTATGAGGCTCCTTCCTTTTCAAATATTTTATGATTCTTGTCTATACAAAACTAGCATACATACATTCTGTGGTGCAGCATGCCAAAACACATTACTCTGTAAGTAATTACAAACTCTCTGGGAAACATCTGAGCATATTATTCTACCATCATAAATTTATTTCACTGATTTTTTTACACTGCCTTAATAACTCATTTTTAATAATGAGGAAAATTTCTTCAGAGAACTACAAGGATATTAGGAGCATTTCACCTGTTCCTCTTGTTTCTAGTCAATAATGAAACTGAATCACTCAGGAAGAACTGGGGCAGAGATTGAATATAAACAAAAATGTAACAAACCCAATATCCTAGGGCTTTGATGACATCAAGTTTACACATTGGACATGTTCGGTGATCCAAAAGCCATGGGTCAATGCATATTCTATGAAAAATATGCCTAAAAAGATTAAGTATGTGTTAATGTTTTTAAAATCAATGTTTATATAACTTATAAAGGAAATAAGACATTGTACCAACTCATCCTCTCATTACAAGTTAGCTGATGTCAAATAAACATTCTAGTCTACTTACTTATCATGTCATTATTCTCTCTTCCATATGAAACAGAATCTGGCACTTCTAGGGAAATTTTCCCTTCACTCTACAAAAACCATGGCTTATTTATGCTCTCACGCTAGGTTGTACATTTTTATGTGCCTCTGTAAGTTATTTGAAAGCTTTTTGGGAAAAAATGTGGCATAAATCAACTAGTAGTAATAAGTAAACTAATACTAAACTGGAAGTACCTTACATAAGTCCATAAAATGACTCAAATGGAAATAACAACAAAAATATTAACAGATCATCTTGCGGTGGTAGGCTTATGCAACACTTATTTACTCTCTTACACAGTTTTGTATACACTCCATTTTTCTATAATGAACACCTATCACTTTCAGAATAAAAAAAAAGGCAGACATATTTTCTTCTTTTGCTGATTTGTCTCAGTTGGCTAACTTTTCCTCCTGTGTGATAGATCTATTTTCTGCAAGTGATGAAGAAAAGGAGTTACCAGTATAGTATGGGTTTCAGAGCCAGACAGGCTGGACTCAGATACGAGCTCTGCGACTCAATGGCTGGGACTCTGAACTAGGTTCCTACACTCTGCCCCACACCAGGGTTAGAGGGGCACATGCAATGTGCATACAACTGTGCCAGGCACAGAGCATACTTGGTAATTGTTTGGTATTATTACTGTTGTTTGAAGACTTTTTTACAAACAGAAATCTGCTAGTGGAGTTAAAAGTAACAGTACTCGCGGCCGGGCATGGTGGCTCACGCCTGTAATCCCAACATTTTGGGAGGCCGAGGTGGGTGGATCACCTGAGGTCAGGAGTTCGAGACCAGCCTAGCCAACATGGTGAAACCCGCTCTACACTAAAAATACAAAAATTAGCTGGGTGTGTTGGTGGACACCTGTAATCCCAGCTACTCAGGAGGCTGAGGCAGGAGAATCGCTTGAACCCGGAAGATGGAGGTTGTAGTGAGCCAAGATCACACCCCTTGTACTCCAGTCTGGGCAACAAGAACGAAACTCTGTCTCAAAAAAATAAAAAAAACAGTACTTAAGAAATAATTTTTACAAAAACATAAAAGGAACATGTTGGTTTTATTGGGAAATTTGTTACAGAAATAAAGCACAGGAGAAAATAAGGGAAAAGTCAAAAGCCCAGTAAGGAGACCACGAAATGTGCACATGCACCTGTGTTTGAGGGTCAGGTCCAAACTCCAGCTCAGCCACCAGCATGACCTAGTACTGCTCATCTGTGCAGCTTCCTGGACACTGTTTTTAAATCAGAAAGACCTGCCCTAAACCAGTCTGGAGTAAAAACTCTTTTCTCTACTTTAATAACTTTCTACATGACATGATCAACTTATACTGATCCAACCCAATTCATTCAGTACCCATCATACCAATCACATGTAAATGTTTGTAGGTTTAAACCAGCTACCTTTAGTCAGGAAACTTTCATTTGGTTACCCTGATACTCACGCCTTCATTTCCTTCACAGAATTATCAATCTACTATAAAGTACTTGGATATATACTAACGTACTCTGCAAACAAAGCAAAATATAATTATATACTGACTTGTGACTTGCTTCTAGTAGGTGTGAAGTATAATTAAAATTCATCAGACTTAAAACATACAATTTCTGTACATAAAATGAACCCTTTTAGCAAAGCAATTCTTTTAAAAAAGTTATCAACTAAAGTATCCCATTACTTTTTTTGGAGACAGAGTCTTGCCATGTCACCCAGGCTGGAGTGCAGTGGCGTGATCTCAGCTCACTGCAACCTCTACCTCCCAGGTTCAAGCAATTCTCATGCCTCAGCCTCCTGAGTAGCTGGGATTACAGTCATGAGCCACCATGCCCTGCCTTCCTTCAAGCAACTTCCTGCTACTAAAACAAAACCCTTAGTATAACCAGAATAAAGGAAAGAAAAACTTTTTTTTTTTTTTTTTTTTTTTTGAGACGGAGTCTCACTCTGTCACCTAGGCTGGAGTGCAGGTGGTGCAATCTCGGCTCACTGTAACCTGTGCCTCCCGGGTTCAAGTAATTCTCCTGCCCCAGCTACCTGAGTAGCTGGGATTACAGGTGTACGCTACCACACCCGGCTAATTTTTGTATTTTCAGTAGAGACGGGGTTTCACCATGTTGACCAGGCTAGTCTTGAACACCTGCATCAGCCTCCCAAAGTGCTGGGATTACAGGTGTGAGCCACAGTGCCCAGCCAGGAATATTGATTTTAAACAACCTCAGAAGGAACGCAAGCCCAGGGTGCAAATAACAGCAGACTACTGCCCTCCTCAACCTATTTCCCTTAGGCTGTTTCAGGCCCTTCTCCCTGGTCCCTCATTTTCCTTGCTCCCAACACAGCTTACTTTTTGCACTGCTAAATGTATAATGGAATTCCTAGGATTCTGATAAAGCCTTGCTTAGAAGACTAAAAGTCAATCTACGACAAAGATACTTAACGAGTCTTAGTGTCACCTAAGAATCTCCTAGGCAAAGCAATCTTAAAGGGCAGGGAAGATATTATATTTAAAATCCAAGCTGCTTTTCTAAAAAGAAGAGATGATCACAAATTACAAGATCTTCATTATCATAAAAAACAAATAACTATTTTGTCAGACACCTAAAACTTGTCAAGTAATTTTTAACATCTCAATATGTAAAAAGAACATACTTGCATGGCAGAATTCTAATAATATCCTTTACTTTGAAATTTTCAATACACACTGCACAATTTTCAGCATCAACATCAATTCCCTGTAAAAAGAAAAGGAAAGTGTTACTACATTCTTGGTACACAGTATATCCCTTGGTAAACTCACTACATCCGGACTAAAACAATGACGAATTCCCTTCTACAGTGGTACAACCGGTGAAATTAAAACACAAATAACTGTACTTGGTGTTTACCACTATTAGAGGATTATCTAAATACGGTTGAAAAGGAAAAAATTTCATTGTTTGCCTGATCAGATATGAACAGTGTTTAAATACTAATACACTATTCACATGTAATTACTGTATTTCATATATTTAGCCATGTGCACCACCTGTCAATATGGAAGCAGTAAACATTTTATTTATTATTGTTTTATTTATTTATTTATTTTTAAGAGACAGGGTTTCGGCCAGGTGCAGTGGTTCACGCCTATAATCCCAGCACTTTGGGAGGCCAAGGAGGGCGGATCATGGGGTCAGGAGATTGAGACCATCCTGGCCAACATGGTGAAACCTCATCTTTACTAAAAATACAAAAATTAGCTGGGCATGGTGGCGCGTGCCTGTAGTCCCAGCTACTCAGGAGGCTGAGGCAGGAGAATGGCTTGAACCAGGGAGTCGGAGGTTGCAGTGAGCCAAGATGGCACCACTGCACTCCAGCCTGGGCAACTGTTGAGCAAGACTCTGTCTCAAAAAAAAAAAAAAAAAAGAGACAGGGTCTTACCGTGTTGCTCAGGCTGGTCTCGAACTCCTGGACTCAAGCAATCCTCCTGCCTCAGCCTCCCAAGGTGCTGGGATTACCAGCATGAGCCACTGCACCAGACCAAGTTTGATTTTATATGCAGATATTGTTATCAAAGACTGTATTAAAATGAACTTTCACAGCCAGACACGGTGGCTCATGCCTGTAATCCCAGCACTTTCAGAGGCCAAGGCAGGTGGATCACAAGGTCAAGAGATCGAGACCATCCTGGCCAACATGGTGAAACCCCACCTCTACTAAAAATACAAAAATTAGCTGGGTGTGGTGGTGTGTGCCTGTAGTCCCAGCTACTCTAGAGGCTGAGGCAGGAGAATCGCTTGAACCCAGGAGGTGGAGGTTGCAGTGAGCCAAGATCGCGCCACTGCCCTCCACCCTGGTGACACAGCGAGACTCCGTCTCAAAAAACAAAACAAAAAAAGGAACTTTCAACAACATTTAAAATTATATGTTTCAATGAAAGTAAATACTATCATTTATCATACACAGGGCAAGAATGATGAAATAATTTTTAAAGTCTCTAATAATGGTTTGCAAGTTTATCCATTACTGTGAATGAGTCTACAAGAAAATAAAAATTAGACAACACTAGTCTCTCTAGAATGGAATATGATGTAGACTGAAGAAAACACTTTTGTACAGTTTAAAATGTTTAAATACTAAGCAAGTGTTCACGGGTTGTTAAAAAGTATTCATGTTTTAAGTGCTGTAGAAATGCAAATGTCTGCTATATTATAAAATAAACTATTTTTCAAACATAAAACTTATAATAAAAAGAGAATAAATATAAATAAGCTACTAGTTTTCTGGAATCATATAAAGTAACGTATTTACATTTGCTAAAGAATGGAATTACAACTCACAAATGAGAAAATGTAAATGGCTAAATATTTGAAAATAGTTACCTCACTAGTGATTAAAAAGAATGACAAATTAGAGTAAGTTACCATTTTTCATCTAACTACTTAATAAAGGTACAAAGAAACAAAAAGTGCTGGGGAGAAAGTAGTCTTGTGACAAAATTTCCACTTCTAAGAATCTATGGGTCATGGACCTCTTTGGTGGTAATCAGCCCTCCCTACTTCTCTGGCTAACCCCTGGATCTACACACCTGGTCTCACCCATCAACCAAGGCAGCCAGGGCCACAGTGGCCATCTGACACAAGATAGGCCAACAGGATTCTCTTTCCCAGGATGCTGGGGTAGAGACTCAGGGACTACCAATCAGTATCAGCATGTGGCTGCAAATTTAGGCAGTTCATTTTATGGAACACAGTTACACTGTTCTTATGTAATTACTGTATTTAAAAATATATTTAGCCATGTGCACCACCTGTCAATATGGAAGCAGTAAACATTTTATTATTAATTAATTAATTAATTTTTTTTTTTTGAGACGGAGTCTCGCTCTGTCGCCAGGCTGGAGGGCAGTGGCGCGATCTTGGCTCACTGCAACCTCCACCTCCTGGGTTCAAGTGAATCTCCTGCCTCAGCCTCCTGAGTTGCTAGGACTACAGGCTTGCGCCACCATGCCCAGCTAATTTTTGTATTTTTAGTACAGATGGGGTTTCACCATGTTGGCCAAGCTGGTCTCGAACTCCTGACCTCGTGATCCACCCGCCTCGGCCTCCCAAAGTGCTGGGATTACAGGCATGACCCACCACGCCCAGCCTATTTTTTTTTTTTTTAAGAGACAGGGTTTCGCCACGTTGCCCAGGCTGGTTTTGAACTCCTGGACTCAAGAGATCCTCCTGCCTCAGTCTCCCAAAGTGCTGGGATTACAGGTGCGAGCCACCCTGCCAGACCACATTTGATTTTATATGTAGATATTGTTATCAAAGACTGTATTAAAATGAACTTTTAACAACATTTAAAATTATATGCTTCAATGAAAGTAAATAGTATCATTTATCATATGCAGGGCAAGGATGATTAATTTTTAAAGTCTCTAATAATGGTTTGCAAGTTTATACATTACTGTGAATGAATCTACAAGAAAATAAAAATTAGACAACACTAGTCTCTCTAGAATGGAATACAATGTAGACTGAAGAAAACACATTTTTTTGTACAGTTTAAAATGTAAAACTGCAAGAAAATCCATGTACAGCTGCTCTTCAGCTTACCATGGGGTCACACCTCACTGAATCCACTGTAAGTTGAAAATAACATTAAGTTTAAAATGCATTTAATGTACCTAACCTACTGAACATCGCGGCTTAGCCTGGCCTACCATAAACATGCTCAGAACACTTACATTAGCCTACACTTGGGCAGAATCATCTAACACGAAGCCTATTTTATAATAAAGTATTGACTATCTCATATAATTTACTGCATACCATACTGAAAGTGAAAAACAACACTTGAAGTATGGTTTCTACTGAATGTGTATTGCTTTCACACTGTTTAAAGTTGAAAAATTGTTAAGTTAAACCATTGGAAGGTGGGGGCCATCTGTATATACCTCATGGGTCATTTAGAAATCTTCTTAAAAATATATATACCATAAGGCTTTTTTGCAAGGGATCCTCTTTTTTTCAACCATTATTTTGACAACTTTCAAGAAACAGGCCCTGGAAGCATATTTTCAAAAGTGTTCTGTATGGGAAGAGGATAATACCAATTTACTTGTGTTCTCAAAGATTTGATTCAGTAAATTAAACATATACATCTATGTCTTCTCATACTTAAGAACTGCAATTTCCGGCCGGGCGTGGTGGCTCACGCCTGTAATCCCAGAACTTTGGGAGGCCGAGGCAGGTGGATCACGAGGTCAGGAGATGGAGACCATCCTGGCTAACACGGTGAAACTCCGTCTCTACTAAAAATACAAAAAATTAGCTGGGCGTGGTGGCAGGCGCCTGTAGTTCCAGCTACTCGGGAGACTGAGGCAGGAGAATGGCGTGAACCCGGGAGGCGGAGCTTGCAGTGAGCCGAGATTGCGCCACTGCACTCCAGCCTGGGTGACAGAGCGAGACTCCATCTCAAATGAAGAAAAAAAAAGAACTGCAATTTCCTGCTAAGGAGGGTAAGAAGTCATGTTCCAAGAGGAACATAAACCACGTTTGTCAAGTAACTGACTATGCTGAATGTGTGCAGAGTTTGTCACAGGGATTAACTGGAAACTCTATCCCCAAGGACCTTCTGAGTGATCTGCAAATCAGACACTAATCTTAAGCCATGAGATGTGATCTTTTTTTTTTTTTTTTTTTACTTTTTCTGTTCAACACATTTGTATGGAAAGAAAATAATACCTTGCACAAACTATCAAAATTGAACTGTAGTACGAAAACAATCAGCAAAGGAATGGTAGCCACCAATACAATTCTCAAAGTCTCATTAGTATTAATTCCAAATTAAAAAAAAAAAAATCAAAAGTCTGTAAGCTAATGTGTTATTTTTGCTTTAATCCTTTAAGGTCAAAGAAAGAGATATACACCATAAGTGCATGTACTCTTTCTTTCTGAAGGGGAGTAGAGATTGGAGGGTGGAACAGATTTTTGATAACTTAGTGAGATAACATGAAAATCAAAACAGCTGAACCAAGTCATAGCTGCAAGTCAACATAATTATCAACATTTCAGAGCGCACCAGAAGAACTAGGAAAAGAATAAATCCTATGCATTAGCAACAGTTTTCCTTTTAAGGCATCTATCCTCCAAGAATCTGAGCTTCTAGATTCAGGATTTGTCCTATTTCAAAAATGCTTTAAAATTCTGGTATGATTTCGAACTTTTAAGTGTCAGATTAGCCATGTCAAAATGTTTCTTTTTCCAAAAGTAGTTTTAAAAACATCTTTTCCCCCCTCCAGAAATGCCAACATTTTCTCCCTGTAACTAAAGGACTCCAAGGGAGTGGACACATAGTCTCAGATTTAACAGAAATGAACTGAAGCTATCAAGGGTCTGTGAAGACTGTATGTCTTTATAGTTATCTGGTTCTAACCAGTACCACTTTCGTCACTGCTGGGAATGTAAGAGCTGTCCAGGAGGGCAGCAACCAGCCACTGTGGCTCCCAAAGTGCTTGAAGTGTCACCAGTGAGGGGCTCAATTTTAAATTAAATTCATTTAAATGCAAATTGCTATATGCGACTAGTGGCTACCATATTAATGCAGGTCTAGAAGGCCCTTCTCAATGACAAAATATTTCTGCCAATCCTTCTTTAAAATAAACACGTACAGCATATTCTCTACTCTAAACCACAAAACAAAAGAAAAACCATGAAAATATTACCTTTTCTCCATGCTTTACAGTATGAAGTAGAAGCTGGCCAATAACTTTCTTAGTTTCTTTTCTATGGCTCTTGGGTAGGAAAATATTAATACAGTTATTGAAAAATTTAAATTAAATCACTATTTTTCTTAAAAGTCACAAATATAATACACATAAGCATACAGAAAACATTTCATTTGAAAGGCAAAGTCAAATGACTATACTGAAAATAACTTTTAATGGCAAAACTGCGATTACTTTTGCACCAACTTCATAAAAAAGCCCCCTAACAACAAAAGCCATTCAAATCTTAATATGCAGAACAGCCATATGTAACTTTAAGAGGTGTTTCACCAAGAGTACTGATTTTAATTTGTCTGAAGAAGCAACCACTTCTTATGCTTAAATATTGTCAAGAAAGTAAGAAGCTGAGGATAGGGGTACCACATGCTCATCTATTCAAGTACCTAAAAGGTAAAGGCCTCTTCCTAGTCCTCAAGACAGAACAGTCAACTTTCCACAATGACAGAAATAAGTGGACGCTCAAAAGGCCTGCCTTGGGAAGCCACTGGCTCTCTGACGGCCCTTCTCTTTGCTGTCACTGAGAGAGATAAATGGCTTTACTACGGCTCCATGATGGAGACAGAGAGGCCCCCCCTTCCATTCATCACTCCTTTGGGTCTGGCAAGGGACTAAGAGGGTTCCTGCAGGAAACAAATGTGCAAAAGGTAACCCAGACTTAAAGGTATCTAATTTCCCACAAAACAAAAAATTTAACATAGTCCAATTAAAAAGTTACTTCCAAAAAGTCATGTTGAATACTTAAATAATATAAGCGAAAATCAAGATTATGGTCAAATGTAACTTCTAGGAATATATATGCGGCATATTTATGAATTATCTTTTAAAAAGCAAAATTCAGAGTTATCCATCATTACCTGACTTCCAATCTGAGAGCCAGTATATAGGAAACGCTGTATATAGTAAAATATTAGCCAGGCTAACGAGATAATCATCATGGTGATGAAGGCAATGGCCACAAACACCACAGACTGACCGCTGATGAACTCCTGTACATGCCGGGTGCCAACCCCTATGGTCATCGTTACTGGAATTCCTTTTTGCACCAGCTCCAAAATTTCTCTTCCTTTTGGATAGCTAATCATAATGACCACTATATTTCCTGTTCCTGTAGGAAAGAACAAAGAAATCAATGTGAAGAACACAAAATAAGATACAGAGAACATTAAATTAAATATAAGGGTACTATGTTCATCTACATATATAAATACATTAGAAAAATTCCATGGGAAACATAAGTTACCAAACCTGGTTCCAAAAGAAACTGATTACATTAGAAGTAATAGAATAAATCACTAAGAACTATTCCCCTGGCCGGGCACGGTGCCTGCCTGTAATAGCACTTTGGGAGGCCTAGGCGGGCGGATCACTAGGTGAGGAGTTTGAGAACAGTCTGGCCAACATAGTGAAACCCTGCCTTTACTAAAAATACAAAAAATTAGCCAGGTGTGGTGGTGTGCGCCTGTAATCCCAGCTACTTGGGAGGCTGCAGCAGGAGAATCACATGAACCTGGGAAGCGGAGGTTGCAGTGAGCTGAGATCGCGCCACTGCACTCCAGCCCGGGCGACAGTGCGAGACCCCATCTCAAAAAAAAAAAAAAAAGAACTATTCCCCCAAAAGCTAGAGCACTGTTCAGTTTCACAGGTGAAATCTACCACCAAACCTTTAAGGCACAAGAAACACCAACAACATTTAACTTGTTCCACAGCAGATTAAAAAAAAAAAAAGTTTAAAAATTACTTCTAAGATAATAAAACCAAACATTAGTAATAAACAACCAACAAAAGAACCATACAAGCCAGGTATGGTAGTTCACACCTGTAATCCCAGCACTTTGAGACACTGAGATGGGAGGATAGGTTGAAGACAGGAGTTGGAGACCAGCCTGTGTAAGCGAGACCTTGTCTCTACAAATAATTTAAAGAAAAAATGAGTTGGGAGGCTGAGGCAGAAGAATTGCTTGAGCCCAGATGGTCAAGGCTGCAGTGAGCTGAGATCATGCTACTGCATTCCAGCTTGGGCGACAAAGTATGACTGTATCTCAATGAAAAACAAACAAAAAACTATACAGACCAATTCCACTTATGAGTACTAATACATAATACCTAAAGCATGTTCATTAAAATCAGGGAGACAATATGAGAATTTCTACTATGATCACTATTATTTAGCATTGCTCTGAAGGCATAAGCAGACATGAGAGAAAAATTAAGAGACATAGAAAAGAAGGGCTAAAATAAAAAATTTTACATGTATTTAGCTACAAATTAATGCAATAATCATAAAATATCGATAAGATTAAAAAAGAACTAAACATATTGCTTCTAAGTTCACTTAGAAGGAAAATAAGATGATCAGAACAATGTTTTAAACAGTGAAACCTGGACTGGTCTTTAGAGTTAAAGTAATTAAAACATTGTGGCTGTAGCATATGGAGACACCCACAGAATGAGACAGAATAAAAGTCCAGAAATAGACCCAAATACATGAAAGAATTTAGTGCATAAAAGCAGAATTCCAAATGCATGAGGCAAAATGAATTATTTAAAAAATCACGTGGGGCAACTGGGTATCATCAGTGCGGCGGGTCGGGGGAAGCTGCATCCATTTCTCACAACTTACGCCAAAATAAATTCCAACTAAATTAAAGACTTAAGTGTATATATAAAAAAAGAGGAAACATCCAATGGCTAGAAGAAACATGGGAATCAAAAAATACATATTGACGAAAAACTTCTCCAAGTATAAAAACTACCTCAGAGGTTCTTAAAAAAAATTTTTTTTTAATTACATAAAAATGAAAATTTTCACCATGAGTAAAAGCAAAACCAAGTTCAAAAGAGTAAATGGTTGGCCGGGCACGGTGCCTCACGCCTGTAATCCCAGCACTTTGGGAGGCTGAGGCGGGCGGATCACCTGAGGTCAGGAGTTTGAGACCAGCCTGGCCAAAATGGCGAAACCCCGTCTCTACTGAAATTACAAAAATTAGCTAGGTGTGGTGGTGGGCGTCTGTAATCCTAGCTACTCAGGAGACAGAGATAGGAGAATTGCTTGAACCCAGGAGGCAGAGGCTGCGGTGAGCCAAGATTGCGCCACTGCACTCCAGCCTGGGCGACAAGAGCAAGACTCCATCTCAAACAAAATACAAAAAGGGCAAATGGTCAACTTGGAAAAAATAGATGTAACATAACAAAGACAAAAAACTAATTTCCTATAAGAGTAATAGAAAAACAAAGAAAATGAAGTTGATTTGCAGAAAAGAAAATAAAAACGGTTTTTTGTTTTGTTTTTATTTTTAAAGAGATGGGGTCTCGCTCTGTCACCCAGGATGGAGTACAGTGGTGGGATCCTAGCTCAATGAAGCCTCAAACTCCTGGGCTCAAGTGATCCTCCTGCCTCAGCTTCCTGAGCAGCTGGGACCACAGGCACACACCACTACACCTGGCTAATTTTTTTCATTTTTTTTTAGAGATGGGGTCTCACTATGTTGCCCAGGCTAGCCTTGAACTCCTGACCTCAAGCAATTCTCCCACCTCGACCTCTCACAGTGTTGGGATTCTGGCATGAGCCACTCTATGCCTGACCAAATGGATATTTTAAATAGCAGCTTTATTGAGATATAATCCACATACCACAAAATTCACCCTTTTTAAGTGTACAAGTCAGTGGCTTTTAGTGGATTCATAAGGTTGTATGTACAACCATCATCACTATCTAATTCCATAATGTTTTCATTACCCTAGAAAGAAACCCTGTGTCCACTGGCAGTCACTCTCTCCCTGCAAAAGGGATTTTAAACACATGAAAAGTCTTCCTTGGTAACAAATGAAAACATTTCCTGTAAGATTGGCAAAGATCAAAAAGTCTGATACACTATACTGGCAAAAATAGGCACGAATGAGCACTCTCGCACACTGCTGGACAAGGGGGTGAATAAATTATTACACTCTTCTACGAAAGGCAATGGCATTCAAAAAATTCTAAAAGTCCATATCTCTTTGGCCCAGCAATTCTGTGCCCAGGAACTTAATTGCACAGATGTAACCAATGAGGTATCTATAAAGATTTACTGTTGGCCAGGCACGGTGGCTCACACCTGTAATCCCAACACTTTGGGGGGCCAAGGCGGATGGATCAGGAGTTTGAGACCAGCTTGGCCATCATGGCAAAACCCTATCTCTACTTAAAAGAAATACAAAAATTAGCTGGGTGTGGTGGTGCATGTCTGTAGTCCCAGCTACTAGGGAGGCTGAGGCAGGAGGATCACCTGAGCCTAGGAGGCAGAGGTTGCAGTGAGCTGAGATCACGCTACTGTACTCCAGCCTGGGCAACAGAGCAAGACACTGTCTCAAAAATAATAATAATAAAATTAAATAAATAAAAAAGATTTATTGCCAATGTTCTTTCCTAAGTTTTTGCTATCACAATCTAAACGTCCATCGAAAGGAAAAAAGGTATATAAATTACAGTATGTGTATGAAGGCTGAAGTAGCAGCTCTGTAAGTACTGACAGTACTCAAGATAGAAAACACACAACATGTAAACTGTGTGGACAGCATGCAGTCCTTAAAAACAAACAAACAAAAAAACCCCAAAAAACAAAAAACAACGAAAACCCAAAGACCTATATGCTCCCATCAACACATACTACCCTCTGGAAGGTTACCCCAGAGACTGGAGACCATGACTGTTTCTGGGGAGAGGCGCTTCGGGATGCAGGACAGGCTGGGGGGTCTTATTTGCACAGTAAGAATTCTGTACCATGTGCACATATTAGCTATTCAAAAAATAACTTTTAGGCATGGTGGCTTACGCCTATAATCCCAGCACTTTGTGAGGCCAAGGTATGTAGATCACTTGAGGTTAGGAATTTGAGACCAGCCTGGCCAACATGGTGAAACCCCGTCTCTACTAATATTACACATGCAAAAAATTAGCTGGGCATGGTAGCTCATGCCTGTAATCCCAGCTACTCTGGAGGCTGAGGCAGAAGAATTGCTCGAACCCAGAGTTGGAGGTTGCAGTGAGCCAAAATCGCGCCACTGCACTCCAGTCTGGGCGACAGGGCGAGACTCTGTCTCAAAACCAAACAAAAAATAATGTGAAAGGGTATATAAAGAACGTTCCCTGACATTACACTAAAACCACACTCTAACACTATTTTATTGTGGAGAGAAATTTCATCTGCAGCAAATCCACTGTGGATCTCAAGCTTTGGGATTCAGTTACTGAAACACCAGAAGGGCACCCTTCTAAGGTAGCCCCTGTGTGGAAGCTGATCCTATCATCTGATGACCTGCCTGTCTAAAAGGGTCCCTTGGCAAGAACTGTATTTCCGAGGCACCCACACAACCAACCATGTCATCACAAGGGGACACAACAAAGGAGGAAGGCATTTTCTAAACATCTAGTAGTTAAGAAGGATGTATATAGAAAGAATTATGATGGTTATATCTGATATAACTATATGGCACTTTGCAAGCTAGAAGTCTTTTTTGTAAACTTGCTTTTGTGGAAAATTTCAAGCACATACAAAGTAGAAAGAATAGTACAACGAAGTCTCATGTTCCCACCTCAGTTAAAAGCTTTTACACAGAAAACTAAACTATGCTATGATGACAGTTGAATCAATTTCTGGTACTGATACCACGTTCTTTGTGTGGTAATGGGGAAGAACACGTTCACATTTATGTCTCACTTGAAGCAGGCAAAGGCCACACTATCATTCTACAGCTGAGTGTTCAGAAATCCCAGGGAGTTGCTCAATGTCACACACCACCTGAAAAAGCCAGTTCTAAAGTCTGAAGACCCAGCTCCGAGGTAACGTCCCTTCCCCATCCGCCTTCATAGGATCACAGGCTTCACAGCCAGACAGACCTGGGTGCAAAAATCACTGTTATCCACTGCCTGGGAGGTTGGAAAAATCCATGGTCACTGAGAATGCTTCTGCAGCTACAAAATGGGAATGAGAATGACTCTATTTTGGACTAACACTTTTTCAATAAGAAAGCAGAGTAACAAAGAGCTACAGAAGTAAGGAGACAATTTTGCTTGGGGTGGAGGGAAATCTCCCCAGGCACACTGGAGCCACATCTCAAAGGAGACAAAAAAGTTTACAAAGCAAAGGAAGAGGGTTTCTAGACTGTAGACCACAACAAAATATATTTGGGATGGTGACCAGCCCAGTTTGGCTGGTGACTAAGATACATGTAAAGGTACCTTGTTGAATAAATGAACAGATGAGTGGGAGACAGAAGATTAACTGAGATTTAAAAGGTTCTTTAACACCTACAATCTCAAGGCTGGGGGTGGGGGAAGTGATACTGCCGCAACAAGTATCAGGACACCCTGCACAGAAAACACTTGCAATATCAATCTGAAATTTCTCACCTAGGAAATTCATCTTAGCTTGCTGAGTTAAAAGAAATTATTATTTTTTAAAAACTTCCTAGCATTAGCTGGGTGCAGTGGGTCATGCCTGTAATCCCAGCACTTTGGGAGGCCAAAGCAGGTGGATCGCTTGACCCTAGGGAGTTTGACACCAGCCTGGGCAATATGGCAAAACCCTGTCTCTATTAAAGCAAACCAAAAAAACCTGCCTAGCATGAGGGCTAAACATTTTGCTATATTATAATCATAGCAGCAAGATTGCTTCTGGGAATTATTTTAAATTAACAAAACCCAGAACGACGGCTCTTTATACCCTGAGATTTGCTTTTCCAGAACATTTCAGGGGATGAACTGGAGGCAGGGCAGTTGGGTAAAAACATGCTAGTTCAGGGGTCAGTATGTGCACAACTGCAAGGGGTGCCAGGCACGGGCACCTTGCGGGCCCTACTCTTGCCTCCGATGCATCGCCGCCTCTCTGGCCAATGCTAATGAGCTAAGCTGCTCAAGTTATTGTGCACCACCCTTCCTTAATTGGCACATGAGACCAAATCACAGCTTATTTCCAAACTAAATGACTGGATTTCGTCACAGAAACTCAAAAGACTTGGGATGACAGAGAAAAAGCCCTTAGAGGTTATCTCTTCCTTCCTTAGGCCTTAACGTTGTTACCAATATTGCTTGACTAAAAAATGTCACCTTGCACAATCCCTCTTCCCCAAAAGAACCTATACACCTTGGCATTAAGACAGGAAAATTTCCTGAAGGCAATTTCTGTTTTTTTTTTGTTTTACACTTAGCACAATATCTTTGCACATAGTACATAATCATAAATCTACTTGCTGAACAATACTAAATAACAAATATAGATTTTTTTTTTTTTTGAGACAGGGTCTCACTCTGTTGCCCAGGCTGGAGTGCAGCTGCACGATTATAGCTCACTGCAGCTTTGACCTCCCAGGCTCAGGCGAACCTCCCATCTCAGCCTCTCTAATAGCTGGGACTGTGCCACCTCACCCAGCTAATTTTTATATTTTTTGTAGAGACGGGGTTTCACCATGTTGCCCAGGCTAGTCTCAAGCAATCCGCCTGCCTCATCCTCCCAAAGTGCTAGGATTACAGGTATGCATCACGATGTCCCACCTCAAAGATAGTATTTTTAACAAACCAAATTACCCGTAACATAATTTAACATTCTTCTGTGCCAAAAAGTGTTTACTTCTGTTTTTTTGTTTGTTTTGTTTCATTTTTTCAAATTTCTGTGTTCCTCTTATCACCTTGTCAAAATAATAATAAAAGGAAAAAAGTTCTGACTTGGTCAACAGCTTTAAAATTCTTCTGGATGACATGAGTCTAGTGTACTATTTCTCCTCTCAAGACAACTATTTAAAGTAGATTTCAACATTCTCTTGAAGGAGATGGCAGTTACTGAAATATTTAAAGTAGTGGATTAGATTTCTGTTCTAGAAAACTAATTTAGGCAGCAAGAAATCATTTTAAAGTTCCAGAAAGAGAATACTATAAACTTCCAGGTTTTCTTTTCCCCACTAACTAACTGCAACACTCTACTTTTTTTCCCTCCTCTCTGGAGAATTTCTGGTCAAATCTTTAAGGTTCAGCGTAAGCTCAACTTAAGGCTTTTCAGCACCATCTGCCTCTTAGATACCTCTTTTTGCACACCTACTATAATTTATTTATAGGTCTCCCTCACTAGACAAGTATTACCTGTTCTTATTTGTTTTTGTAGCCCTAGCATGAAGCAGTGACGGCCCATAAAAAGGCTGCTACGTGAATGAATCAATCTGAAAAACTGGCTCATCTTTTAGTGCTATAGTTAAAATGGCCCAATAAGGAGAATTCCCAATAAAGAGATTCCCTAGCAGGTGAATTTGGTGAATTCATCAATATGAATGTAAATATCATGGAAATCTGAAGCCATTATGCAAAACAAACGTTTTTATGGTTGGTTAGAGTGAGTTAGGAGGACCCCAACGTAAGTGCAATATTATGTTTTGGACAATTTGTCTTGCTCAAAAATATTTTGTATTTTTGAATATAATACTATATTCAATGTTAATGTAACTTGACAATGTTAAGAACTCTTTTGCAATTTTCCCAAATGCATTGCTTTATCTCAGACCTTCTGCCACTCAGAATGTCCTATAGCCTACTCACCTCTACCGCACACAACACACCTTCCCCATCGACTTTAACTTGTCCTTCAAAACTCAACCTCGGCCAGGTGTGGTGGCTCACACCTTCAATCCCAGCATTCTGGGAGGCCGGGGCAGAAGGACAGCTTGAGTCCAGGAATTCAGAAGCAGCCGGGCAACACACGGAGACCCCATCTCTACAAAACATTTAAAAAATTAGCCAGGTGTGGCAGCATGCACCTGTAGTCCCAGCTACGCAGAAGGCTAAGGTTGGAGGATTGCTTGATCCCTAAAGGGCAAAGCTACAGCGAGCTATGATGGTGCCATTGCACTCCAGCCTGGGCAACAGACTGAGACACTTGTCTCTAAAAAAAAAAAAAAAACAAAAACAAAACCCCAAAACCAACCAAAAAACCCTCAACCTTTCTGGGAAGTGTCCTAGCTAATCCCACCCTCTGTGAGGCTATGAGGTGCCATTTGTCTTCCTATAGCACCAAAATACATTTTATTTTATTTTTGAGACAGAGTCTTGCTCTGTCACCCAGAGCTGTAGTGCAGTGGTGCAATCTCGGCTCACTGCAACCTCTGCCTCCCAGGTTCAAACTATTCTCATGTCTCAGCCTCCCGAGTAGCTGAGACTACAGACACTTGCCTCAACGTTGGCTCATTTTTTTTTTTTTTTTGTATTTTTAGTAGAGACGGGGTTTTTGCCATGTTGGCCAGGCCAGTCTCGAACTCCTGACCTCACGTGATCCACCCGCCTCAGCCTACCAAAGTGCTGGGATTACAGGTGTGAGCTACTGCGCCCGACCCCAAAATACATTTTAAATTCAAATCTAAATTTTTCGATCATTTGTGAGAGTGTAGCATTACAGAGCATCAAGAATTTATTATCCATTCATAAAAGACTATTTAACCTGCTCTGCAAATACAAACTGCACACCCCTCTCAACATGTGAACTCTCTAGAGGTCAGGGATTTCTTTTTTAATTTTATTCTTATACCTCTTATCAATAGGAGGGATTTCTCATACCTCTTTGTAACCTCCCCTGGAGAGTTCAGGGATTTCTTTTTTAATTTTATTCTTATACCTCTTATCAATAGGAGGGATTTCTTATACCTCTTTGTAACCTCCCCTGGAGAGTTCAGGGATTTCTTTTTTAATTTTATTCTTATACCTCTAATCAATAGGAGGGATTTCTTATACCTCTTTGTAACCTCCCCTGCCACCCAACTCTGGCAGATTCCCAAATATAGCTCCAAGCCTTGCCAGTACTTGGCACTCAGTAAATAACTGTTAAAAAATGAAAGTGCCATTCTTAAAAGACCACGCTAAGATTTCAGTTAAAGGATCAGCCTATTTGTTAACAAACATATGTATGTTAATTTAAGGCCAATATCCTGTAAAAGCTTTTGTTGTAGTGCTTTGATGTTTACTAATTTCCACCTACCTTGGTCAAGCTTACTTTGATACTTTTGCAATACCTGCATTAAATCCCTTTCCTTAGACAGGTGTGGTGGCTTACACTCCCAGCACTGTGGGAGGCCAAGACAGGCAGATCACTTGAGCTGAGGAGTTCGAGAACAGCCTGACCAACATGGCAAAACCCCATCTTTACAAAAAATACAAAAATTAGCCAGACACGGTGGCGTGCACTTGTAGTCCCAGCTACCTGGGAGGCTGAGGTGAGAGGATCACTTGAGTCCAGGATGCAGAGGTTGCAATGAGCCAAGATCATGCCACTGCACTCCAGCCTGGGTGACAGAGCAAGACCTTGCCTCAAAAACAAAACAAAACAAAACAAAAGCAAACCCTTTTCTTTATGCTTCCTAAGCACCTGTGCATACTGGAATTATATGAGGTCCAAACCATATTGTCTGGAAAGTTCTGTGTATCACTCCTACTAGACCTCTCAAGGCCTACACCTCTCATGGGCAGGCCTGTGTCCTAGGCATTTCTATCCCTCAGGAGGTATAATACTTAACCCAAAGTGGCTGCTGAATATATGTCTGCTAAAGTAAACAGAATTGACTTTGGGCAACAGCAACAGTCCTTACAGTTGTTCAGACAAAAAAATTCCAGTCACATTTTTTTTAGAGCCACAATAAAATACTGATTTAAATCCCAAAAGCATCTTGTACTGGATTCTAGTAGAGACGAGCAATAGGTTTCAGAAAAACTGGAGACATTCTCCTGAGGCTTGGGAAGAGACTACTAGTATTTTTTTTTTTTTTTTTTTTTTTGAGACAGGGTCTCACTCTGTCACCCAGGCTAGAGTACAGTGGCACAATCTCGGCTTACTGCAACCTCTGCCTCCCAGGTTCAAGCGATTCTCCTGCCTCAGCCTCCTGAGTAACTAGGACTACAGGCACACACCACCATGCCCGGCTAATTTTTGCATTTTTAGTAGAGACAGGGTTTCACCATGTTGGCCAGGCTGGTCTCAATTTCTTGACCTCATGATCCACCAGCATCGGCCTCCTGATGTGCTGGGGATTACAGGCATGAGCCAACGCACTCGGCCTAGTATTCAATTTTACAGGCAGGCCACCTCTACCTATTTCACAGAAAACCAGTGTTACACAGAACAGTGAGAACCACTGAATCAGTGGTCTTTCCTGGCTCTAGTCACACTGACTAAATACAGAAACCTAAGTCTGAGCTGTCTTCAAGGCTGTCTGTACACAGTCACCTTGTGAATTAATTCCATTCTCAAAAAGTTATACCCAATGTGGCCAAATTCTGTAAGGGTCTTTTCATTTCTGCAGTCACGACTATAGTACTGGCCCTTATATTTCTACTTAGACTAGCCCCACAGTCTAAGTGGATTCTGTTTCCAGCTTTTGCTCTGTTTAATCCATGTATCACACTGCTACCAAACTAATTTCCCTTTAATCAGTGCTTCAAAATGTTGGATAATTTTGTCGGCCTCTCCCCTACTCTCTAAACATTTGGCAATATCTGGAGACATCTTTGATTGTCAGAAGTGGAATTTAGTGGGTGGAGGCCAGGGATGCAGCTAAGATATCCTAAATGCACAGGGCAACCCCCGCCCCAACACACACAGACACATACATGGGGTGAGGGGGGTATGAACAGGGAGGGAGAGGGAGAGGAGGGGGAGAGGGAGAGAGAACAAAGAATTATCTGGCCCTAGATTACTAGATTACTGTGTCGTCTCTGGCTAATCTTTTAAACTCCTTGAGCATCAGTTTCCTCATCTGTATGTACTCCGTGATCAAATACCTTCCTTAAAGGCTGTTGGGAAGAGTGAGTCACTCTATGCAGAACACTGAGCTGTGTGGGCTGTGTCTGCAGACTGGACACTTCACACATCTTTAAATTGTTTCGTTGGTCTTTTCTCTCAAACAGAATTATTCTCTCACTAAAAAGGCTAGAATGGACACCGATAATGGGAAGAGAAGCTCCGAAGAAGTGGATTTCTCATGAACATCATGGTTGTTTTTCTGGCCCTGGATAAATTACATGTCAATAACATAAGCAGGCAAGGTTGCTGACCCATGGTTACAACAAGTGCTATTAGCCCAAAAAGGAGTTTCTTAATGCTATTATCAAAAAATGCAGTAAGTAGATTTGGAAAACTGTAGGCTGATGAACCTGCTATTTGAAAAAAAGTCTACATTAAGACGGGTGTATAAGAACCCAGCATCAGAGAATCAATGGCACACTAACCTTTTTTCTTTGACAGAACTACTAAAGCAGGGAACACTGTTGATAGTATGTATGTGGAGTGCTATGTCAAATCTGACAGGACCTTTCATGACATTCTTGTGCAAACGCAGCCTGGGTACCGTGACAATAGATTTGTAATCACTGGAATAACCGCACTGAACGTAGTGCCTAGCCCAGTGCCACCACATGGACATCTGCTCTCATTCCCATGCCCTCCTTTCTGCTGCGACTGAGGAACTGTCCTTGGACCGCCTGTGACCAAGCCTCCAGTGTTCTGGACTCAGCCTTCTTGCCTTCTGGAAGACTCTCGCAGATCACTCCCACACAATTTCAAACACACCCTACCAACTCTGTCCCACCAACCCATACTCCCACAGTTTCTGCCCATTCCTCTGCATCTCCCTCAGTCTTCAATCTTCTTGAAAGAGTTGTCCTAACAGTCCTTACTTCTTCTCAACAGTCTCTCAACTGACTACCTTTCCCATCACTTCACAAAATAGGCAAATCCAAGGTTATTTTTCTGTCCTCACTTCACTGTTAGGACCTGAACTTGCATTCAGGAAGCCAAAACAGAGCAAAAAACAGAAGTATAGGAAAAAGAATGTCTGACTTAGTAGCAGTGGAAACTGAAAACAAAAACCAAAACTAACCACATTAAGCTGAGAATGAGTCAACTAGTTGTGTGATGCATAAAGTGATGTTATCTTACATAACAGAGTATGTTCACTCTCTGTGTACTGGTCGTTATTTTACCCGGAACTTAGTTTCAAGGACATTTTGCAAAATAAGACTTAAACTATGACTACTGCCTGAAGATACAACCTGCTGCCCTAGGGAATGGTATGTGTAGGAAGGGTTGCCTGGCAAATAGCAAGGTCTTTTTTGTCTTTTTTCCTTGAGGTCTTGCTCTGTCGCCCAGGCTGGAGTGCAGTGGCACAATCACAGCTCACTACAGTCTCGATCTCCTGGGCTCAAGTGATTCTCCCATCTCAGCTCCTGAGTGCCTGAGACTACGGGCGGGCGCCACCACGTCCACGCGATTTTAAGAAATTTTTGCAGATATGGGGTCTATGTTGGCCAGGCTGGTCTCACACTCCTGGCCTCAAACGATCCTCCCACCTCGGCCTCCCAAAGTGCTGGGATTACAGGCGTGAGCCACTGTGCCCGGCCCCAAGGTCTTTTCTTGAATGAATACAGTAATTTTAAAATTTTGATCGTAACTCAAGACTCAGGAAATCTGACTGGCAGTACAGCCAGTGTTATAACCCTAAATTTAGCAAGTCAGAAAGCACAGGTCAAGGCTTACTGACTCAGTCAGATGCAGGTTTTCTGACTCAGTTTAGAATATTCAGACATGATTCAAGAAAGTGAAGAAACCAGAGTGCCAACGAGCCATCACTTTATGTTGGTGAAGGGACAACCGATCGTGGGGCGCGCTGGGGGAAGAGTTTGGATTCCTACTCACCCCTCCGACTTTGGGAAGCGGTGAATGGAAAAGAGGCCCATGATTAGGAATCATGAGATTTCCTCACCTGTTAGAACCACAAGCCTCCTTCTGTGGATTTTAACGTCTTTAGTACTCCCTTCACCTCATCGATCAAAGGCGAAGATCACATCTTGTCCGCAGACTTACCTCCCTCCCAACAGCGATCGGGGAGCCGCACCGAGCAAACGAGGGCTTCCCTGAAAGTTCCAACAGCCAGAGGCCTGAGAGCCGTGCCAGGCCCGCTTCGCGGCCTGCGGTTCAGGGCCAACCCTGAAGACCCCAGCCTCGGCTGCCGCGAAGTCCCCCTCCCGTCCTCGCGCCCCGGCCTGCTCACCCGCGTGAGACATGGGCAAGGTGATGTTCCCGTAGCGCTCCTCATTGTAGAGGACGACGGCCGAGGCGTTCCTCCGCGCCGCCACCAGCACCTTGTCCTTGAAGGTGCAGCCCCCACGAGCCACCAGGGCGACCCAGGGCGCGGCCCCTCGGCCGCCGGGCTCGGGCACGAAGAAGCGCGTGTCGGGCGCGCAGCCCTCGAGGTCTCCGCCGGGCGCCCACGGGACGCCCACCAGGCCATGCGCGCCCTCCTTGGGCGAGCTGTCGCCGAAGCGGCCACTCTCCGAGACGCTCCACACCGTCAGGTTGGTCTGCGGGTCCACGTACTCGATGTTTACCACGGCCGAGAACCACTCGAGAGCCCGGCCCCGGGCCCCGGGCACGCACAGGGCCAGGGCGAGCAACGCCAGAGCCAACACGCCGCGAGCCCCGACGCTGGCTTCGCGCCGCCGCCACGCCATGGCAGCACCGCTGAGCTGACTAGGGGGAGTCAGGGTCACGCGCGAGTGCGGTGCAGTCGAAGAGCAGAGAGAAGCGGACACCCACCGCCGCCCTGGAAGACTGAGGCGGGGTCGGGGCCGCTGCGCACGCGCACCTGGCGGAGTGGACGAAGGGCGTGATCGGCCCTGGCTCCGCCCCCGTCCGACCGGCCGCGTTGTGCGCAGGCGTAAGCTCCGCGGAGCCTCGGACCGCGATCCGTCCCGGGATCTCAGGCGCCTGTGGGCCGAGGCGGGGCGCGCAGCCTGTACCACAGCTTGCGCCACGGCGGACCCTGTGGCCAGGGGCCAAGTTTGCGCAATAGGACGTCTAGCACCCCCAAAGTGAAGGGAAGTAACTCCAGAGAAACGGGAAGCTTCCCTGAAAGCAGGTGTGGGACCGCAGTTCTGTAAAATCGCTGAACAGATGTTTGTGGAGAGTTTATTGTGCAAGGCACATGGCAGAGGCCTTGTCTAAGTCGTTTCAAAGTTAATTAGCCAAGCCTGGTGGCGCCCAACTAGAGTTCCCACTCGGGAGGTCGAGGTGGGAGGACCACCTGAGCCCCGGAGGTCGAGGCTGCAGTGAGCCGAGATCACCACTCCACTTCAGCCTGGGCGACTAAGCGAAACCCTGTCAATTAAGAAAAAAAAAAAATCCAAATACATTTTGTGAAAAAAAAAAAAAAAAATCCAAAGCTACGCACACATTATCCAACTGCCTTTTGCTACTAATATTATGATGCTAATTGATTCCTTACAGCTTAAGTATATTTACAACAGCCCTTTTTGTTATAGTATTTTATGCATAATCTATAATTTTGAAATAGGCATAAGCATACAACATAAGTGCTCATTTAAGTAGTCTGATGCCTACTACTGATGACATACAATGTAAGTGCTCATTTAGGCGTCAGACTACCTAAATGAGCACTTACGTTTCATGTCAATAAAAAAGGGAAAAGGATTTATTGTTTGGACATCAATACCCAGTGATAGAGAATCCATATAAAATTACTATTGAGTACAAAAGCCTACTGCTTTCAGAAAGGAAGTTCAGAACATTGATTTCTGATAGACTCATCTTCCTGCGTTAAGGGTCTATAACTGTGGGAAGTAGGTTGTTACTGCCTGCATCACGTGTTTTTTGTTTTGTTTTGTTTTGACGGAGTCTTGCTCTGTCGCCCAGGCTGGAGTGCAGTGGCGCGATCTTGGCTAACTGCAACTTCTGCCTCCCAGGTTCAAGCGATTCTCCTGCCTCAAGCTCCGGAGTAGCTGGGATTACAGGCGTGCACCACCCAGCTAATTTTTGTATTTTTAGTAGAAACAGGGTTTCGCCATGTTGGCCAGGCTGGTCTTGAGCTCCTGACCACAGCCTCCCAAAGTGCTGGGATTACAGGCGTGAGGCTGTGCGACCGGCCTGCACCACGTGTTTTTTGTTGGTCCTTAAACCCTCTCCATTTCCTCTTTGTTGCTGTCTCTGTGCTCCAAAATGCAGTCTGACCCACAACCCGTAAGTTTTCCATGAAGATGGATCTCCTCTCCTTTCCCATCAGGAAACTGAATTTTAAAAGGCCCAAAGGGCCTCAGGCTTAAATTATCGTGGTCTATGCAGGCTGAGAACGGGTTTTAGGAACGCCTCCACCGCCACCCTTTATGCTCCAGCAAAACAAATACTGAAGTTCCCAAAAACGTGTCCTTGCAGTTTCATGTTAGGTCTTGCAAATTCATTTACTTCTTTCTCCCATGACCTGCTCCTGGCTCTTGTTCCAGCAAACACTAAGTTAGTCTTCAAGTGTTAACTCAAAAGCTATTTTTTTGGTGAAACCCGTCTTGGGTAACTATGGGCAAACTTGGGTGCTCCTCCAGTTGTCCATGTTGCTTGTATGTATTACGTTTGTACATTCATGCTGTACCAGCAATACTGCTTTCCAAGTTTTGGGCCTTCTTTTAATGTTGTGAACTTTGCAAGGGCTGGGATTGTGTCCTCGGTCTTTTCATGAGCCTACCTCAACTAGCACAGTGATGTATGTGTAATTGATAATTTCTGAAATAGGCAGAATAGGTTTTTTTTGTTTTTTGTTTTTACTGTGCCAGAGTTGAGTACTCAGGATTGGTTACAGGCTTGTTGAGCAAAGTCCGGCAGGCTAATAGGAACAGACCTTGCAGCTGTTGAGCTCTTAAGTTTAGCACAGTTCCTTGGTCTTTATTTTTTATTACTAGCTCCAGGCCTCAGTTGGTTTTCCCTGATCAAAAGTTGCCACCACTACCTCAAACTTCCAGGACCTTCTTTCCCTACACTGGCTGCCAGGGGCCACCCAGTCTCGTTAATTTCCCTTTCCCTTCCGTATTGCCCCAGAAGAAAAACTAACAAGCCTTCCCCCTCACTCTTTGGTGGGGGGAGGGAGAGAAAGGGGGCGAGAGTTGTCATTATCATTTCTTTTAATCACTTTATTGTAGAAACTTTCAGATACTTTCAAAAGTAGAGAGAACAGTATAATGAAACGTTATGCACTTGTAACTTAGATTCAACAATGATCTGTAACCATAATAGGTCTATTGCCTGAAACACATGGTGAGTCAACACACTGATACACCAGATTGCAGCAGAGAGAGGTTTAATTGTAGAGCTGCTGAACGAGGAGATGGGAGAAACCTCAAATCCATCTCCCAGAGGAGTTTGGGACTAGGGTTCGTAAGAGTTTTGGAGTGGGCTAAAGTGTGGAGATCATTGATTGGTTGAAGAGTGCAGGGTAAAATCATGGGATAGGGAGCTGAAGAAATTGTATTCTCATGATGATTCTGTTCCTCTGTGGGGGTCTTCAGATTGGTTGGCATCATCTGTTTTACTGGAATTAGAGATCTCAAAAACATCATACACAATTCTTAAAAGCCTTCTGACGCTAATGTTAGAAGTCCTATCAATAGGAAGAATGGGTCTACAAACAGTCAGTGTCTACTGCCACATGACTTGTGGTTACAAGGAAGTGGGTCAAAGTGCAGCCTGATTACTGCTTACCTATAACTATTTTTCTATCCAGAATTCTTGTTAACCCTGTGAAGATGGCTTCAGATCAACTCACAGCTAATTTGATTTCAAGTATATACCTGGCCACTTCCTATCTCCTCCAATGGATTGCTTTGAACGTGTGAAATTAAATAATTCAAACTTAAAGCTGTTGGAACTTGAAAGTATTCTGAGCCTTGAGAGCGATGTCGCTGTGCAACCTGAGTCACATGGCATGCAGCTGCAACTTCTGCCTTTTTTCCTGTAAGTAATTGGAAAGGCCAAGCAGCACCAGAGATAGGACCCCCACAGATTTTTACCCCTCTTCACAGAGTAGTAAAGTAAATTAATAAATAAATCCTCCTTGGAATGTAGCAATCAAATATTTGTAGTTATCAAATAACTATAACATATGCACTGGTCTGATATGGAAAATATTGTAATCCTGCTAAAACTTCTCTGTCTCTACCTATACAAGTAAAATCTTAACTTTCCTACTTTGGAACACTGACCCTGCTCATTTGGACTCTGTGTTTCTGGATGGCCATCCTCAAGCTTTGCACTTGAATTATAGAATTTTCTATAATTAACTATATGTTCTGAATCTCATGAGTTAAGGTTGACAAAGGAAATCCAAGATATTATATAATTTTATTTGTAAACATTTTAATGTATACCTTTAAAGCATAGGGACTCTGTAAAAACATGAAAGCACAATATTATTATCACATTAAAAAATGTGACCACAGTTCTTTAATATCATTGAATATCCAGTCAGCACACGAATTTCCCGATTGTCTCCTGAATGTTATTTTACATTTAGTTTGTTTGGATCAAGATTCACACATTGCATTTGGTTGAAATGTCTCTCAAGTTTCCTTTATTTATAGGTTTTTTTTCTTTTCAGTTTTTAAAGGAAGAAATTTGATGATTTGTCCTGTATAATTTCCCACATTCTGTATTTGGCTCATTACATCCTCATGCTGAACACAGTATTACCTATGAGTGTCAACGAGGGTTTCCTTCATAATACGCAAAAACAGCCTCCAATAAAGAAGCACTGTAGAGGGCAAGGCTGATATAGAATGGCACATGTCATTCACAACCTCCAACTGAAGAATTTTGTATTCATCAAAATGGCTTGTTGTCTTATTTATTGACCTTGTAATACACGTAGTGGGGAAGATTCTCAGTCTACAGTCTCAGGTGTACAAGAATTCTCCAGTTCCGTATTCTTTTGGGTGGTGGTATATTTTGTTGTTGTTTCCACTGTGTTGCCCAGGCTGGACTGCAATGGCTATTCACAGGTGCAATCATAGTGCACTACAGCCTCAAATTCCTGGGCTCAAGTAATCCTCCTGTCCCAGCCTCCCAAGTAGCTGGGACTACAAGCCATCATGCCCACCTTGTTTTTAATAAAAATAAATTGATCTGTGGGATACATCCTATGATGGGTGTCTCAGTCAGTATAGGGGCCCCTCAAATGGTGGTAGCCCCCATGGGGTCCAGAGGCCAGGGCTGGGGGTTTCGGCAGGGGCTTCTGGTTAGCAGCCCCAGTTAACACATTGCCACTCCCACTGTCTATGCACTGTTTCACGGCCTGTTGTGGGTGGCATGGGGCAGGAAAAGGCTTTGCTGGGCTGGGATCCTGAGTGCCACCTCACCCGAAATTGTAACACCCCCTCGGGTGCAACCCTGGAGCCTCACATGTACAGGGGGCTTACTCCCTCTCTTGTTTCTTCTCCCCAAAGGTGAGTGCACCCCTCCACCTCTGGAATCCTTCCTCTAACCTGATGGTTTTCACACTTTAATGTGCATACTCATGGCCTGAAGAACTTGTTAAAAAAAGGTTGTTCAACCTCACCCCCAGAGATTCTGATTCCAGAGGTCCGGTGGGCCCATTTGTTCCCACTGCTAATGAGCTCACAGGCCCCTTAGAGGAGTCTCCTTTCTATAATACTGTCTGTGCCCTCTTCAGAGGGTGGAAGAGCCTTAGAACCGCTTTTGCTGTCCACTCTGCACACCTTCCTGGGTCAGAGGAACATCAAACCTGGCACCTGCTCGAACTGGCTGTGGGATGATATGGGAATAGAGGGGAGAACAAACAAATTAGTATTTCAAAATAAATATCACTAATTGGAAATTAGGCTCTACTAATAAAACATCACTTATCTGATTTATATGTAGACTGTATACATACTGGCATTTTGTTGAAATTGGGAAGAAAAAAGTTTCTAAGGAGACTTAAAACCCATTTTCCTGGACAGGGGGCCTTCATGATGACAGGGACTGTGGCTTTTAGATTTGTCTACCCAGATAAGCATAGGGTTGCATGAATGATAACTTATTGAAATATTAAATCACACATTTCACCTTCATAGAACTCACCTGTGTATGAAAAAAGACTCGGTCTTACGTAATTGCTAATAGTGGTCATTTTGGATGTTGATACTGCTCTGAGTGAAAATTTTTCTGAATTTAGTTTTATTTTATTATAAATTTAAAAAATTGGCCAGACATGGTGGCTTACACCTGGAATTCCAACACTTTAGGAGGCTGAAAGAGGAGAATCATGTGAGGTCAGGAGTTTGAAACCAGCCTGGGCAACACAAGGAAACCCCATCTCTACAAAAATAATTTTTTTTTTTTTGAGACAGAGTCTCGCTCTGTCGCCAAGCCGGAGTGCAGTGGTGGATCTTGGCCCACTGCAACCTCTGCCTCCAGGGTTCAAGCGATTCTCCTGCCTCAGCCTCCCAAGTAGCTGGGACTACAGGTGCCTACCACCAAACCCAGCTAATTTTTGTATTTTTAGTAGAGACGGGGTTTCACCGTGTTTCCAGGATGGTCTTGATCTCTTGACCTCGTGATCCACCTGCCTCAGCCTCCCAAAGTGCTGGAATTACAGGCGTGAGCCACCATGCCTGACCCAAAAATATTTTAAAAAATTAGCTAGATGTTGTGCTGTGTGCCTGTAGCCCCAGTTATTTAGGAGGTGAGGCAGGACGATTGCTTGAGCCCAGTAGGTGAAGGCTGCAGCGAGCTATGGTCATGCTGCTATACTCCAGTCTGGGTGACAAAGCAAGACCCTGTCTCTAAAAAAATTAAAACACAAATTATTTTCTGTATTTCAGACATTTTCTCTAATGCACTTACATGATTTTATTGCTGATAAAATAAATATTACAATCCTAGCCAGGCATGATGGCTCATGCCTGTAATCCCAGCACTTTGGGAGGCCAAGGCGGGCGGATCATTTGAGGTCAGGAGTTTGAGACCAGCCTGGCCAACATGGTGAAACCCCATATCTATTAAATATATAAAAATTACCTCGGCGTGATGGCACACACCTGTAATCCCAGCTACTCAGGAGGCTGAGGTAGGAGAATTGCCTGACCTGGGAGGTGGAAGTTGTGGTGAGCCCAGATCATGCCACTGTGCACTCTAGCCTGGGGGACAGAGTGAGACTCTGTCCAAAAAGAAAATTACAATCCTAAGGAAAACCTGGAAAGGTCTACAAAATTTTTGTTCTGTTTGGGGTAGTAGGTGTATACTCAGGGAGGGTTATAGGGTAAGGGACACTTGGAGGTACAAAGAATGGATCTTTTCTAAGCTATTTTGGAGAGTGTGTGAAAGGCACCAGGCATGTGACCTCCCAGATGGATTGGCAGAGAGGCCCCAAAGTGGACTTCTACCGGCTTATATTCAAACCAGAAAATCTAGGGGTGCCTCCTGAGAAGCAGGAGTCTCCCCAGGCTCATCTAGGTCTCCAGTGGCCTAGATGAGTATGGCCAGGCTCTAATATGGGTCAGGAGTGCCTGCAGTCCTCTCAACTTTTTAATCTCTGTTTGAAATGAGTACTAATGGAAGAGCCTGTAAATACGGTATGAAAGCACCTAAGGGGGTAATTTGATAATGTTGCTCATTAGGCCATAAACTGGAACATTATCAAACATCCTTTCCAGGGGTTAAATCAAACTATAATCAGACCCAGGCCTGGGCAGCCCTTTACACAGTAGCCTGTTTTTTGTTTATTTGTTTACATCTTTAGTTTTCTGAACACTAGCAGCATTAAAAAAGTGAAGAAAACCAGATTCCATTGTCCACCAGTTCTCTATGATGAATTTTTCAGGAAGAAAACGTCTGCAGCCATTCCTGGGCATTCCTGCAAGTCCGTGGTGCCAATTCCAGCATCTTCCAGTGGATGTGTCAAGTAGTCTGTGATAGACTAGGTTTTTGCAGTCCAAGAGACCTACAAGATAAGCCACATATATAATTTAGAATGTTTGAGTAGCCACATTAAAAAAAAGAACAGAGGAGGAACAAAAGGCAGCAGAAACTTCTGCAGACTTAAATGTCCCTGTCTGACAGCTTTGAAGAGAGTAGTGGTTCTCCCAGCATGGAGTTTGAGATCTGAGAATGGACAGACTGCCTCCTCAAGTTGGTCCCTGACCCCCAAGTAGCCTAACTGGGAGGCACCTCCCAGTAGGGGCCAACTGACACCTCATACGGCCAGATGCCCCTCTGAAAAGAAGCTTCCAAAGGAAGGATCAGGCAGCAACATTTGCCATTCTGTAATATTTGCTGTTCTGCAGCCTCCATTGGTGATACCCAGGGAAACAGGGTCTGGAGTGCACCTCCAGCAAACTCCAACAGACCTGCAGCTGAGGGTCCTGACTGTTAGAAGGAAAACTAACAAACAGAAAGGACATCCACACCAAAACCCCATCTGTACGTCACCATCATCAAAGACCAAAGGTAGATAAAACCACAAAGATGATGAGAAACCAGAGCAGAAAAGATGAAAATTCTAAAAATCAGAGTGCCTCTTCTCCTCCAAAGGAACGCAGCTCCTTGCCAGCAACAGAACAAAGCTGGACGGAGAATGACTTTGATGAGTTGAGAGAAGGCTTCAGACGATCAGTAATAACAAACTTCTCCAAGCTAAAGGAGGATGTTCAAACCCATCGCAAAGAAGCTAAAAACCTTGAGAAAAGATTAGACGAATGGCTAACTAGAATAAACAGCATAGAGAAGACCTTAAATGACCTGATGGAGCTGAAAACCATGGCACGAGAACTATGTGACGCATGCACAAGCTTCAGTAGCTGATTCAACCAAGTGGAAAAAAGAGTATCAGTGACTGAAGATCAAATGAATGAAATGAAGTGAGAAGAGAAGTTTAGAGAAAAAAGAGTAAAAAGAAATGAACAAAGCCTCCAAGAAATATGGGACTATGCGAAAAGATCAAATCTACGTCTGATTGGTATACCTGAAAGTGATGGGGAGAATGGAACCAAGTTGGAAAACACTCTGCAGGATATTATCCAGGAGAACTTCCCCAAACTACCAAGGCAGGCCAACATTCAAATTCAGGAAATACAGAGAATACCAAAAAGATACTCCTCGAGAAGAGCAACTCTAAGACATGTAATTGTCAGATTCACTGAAGTTGAAATGAAGGAAAAAATGTTAAGGGCAGCCAGAGAGAAAGGTCGGGTTACCCACAAAGGGAAGCCCATTAGACTAACAGCGGATCACTCAGCAGAAACCCTACAAGCCAGAAGAGAGTGGGGGCCAGTATTCAACATTCTTAAAGAAAAGAATTTTCAACCCAGAATTTCATATCCAGCCAAACTAAGCTTCATAAGTGAAGGAGGAATAAAATCCTTTCCAGACAAGCAAATGCTGAGAGATTTTTGTCACCACCAGGCCTGCCTTACAAGAGCTCCTGAAGGAGGCACTAAACATGGAAAGGAAAAACTAGTACCAGCCACTGCAAAAACATGCCAAATTGTAAAGACCATCGATGCTAGGAAGAAACTGCATCAACTAACGAGCAAAATAACCAGCTAACATCATAATGACAGGATCAAATTCACACATAACAATATTAACCTTAAATGTAAATGAGCTAAATGCTCCAATTAAAAGACACAGACTGGCAAATTGGATAAAGAGTCAAGACCTATCAGTGTGCTGTATTCAGGAGACCCATCTCATGTGCAGAGACACACATAGGCTCAAAATAAAGGGATGGAGGAAGATCTACCAAGCAAACAGAAAACAAAAAAAAGCAGGGTTTGCAATCCTAGTCTCTGATAAAACAGACTTTAAACCAACAAAGATCAAAAGAGACAAAGAAGGCCATTACATAATGGTAAAGGGATCAATTCAACATGAAGAGCTAACTCTCCGAAATATATATGCACCCAATACAGGAGCACCCAGATTCACAAAGCAAGTCCTTAGAGACCTACAAAGAGACTTAGACTCCCACACAATAATAATGGGAGACTTTAACACCCCACTCTCAACTTTAGACAGATCAACAAGACAGAAAGTTAACAAGGATACCCAGGAATTGAACTCAGCTCTGCACCAAGCGGACCTAAGAGACATCTACAGAACTCTCCAGCCCAAATCAGCAGAATATACATTCTTCTCAGCACCACATCACACTTATTCCAAAATTGACCACATAGTTGGAAGTAAAACACTCCTCAGCAAATATAAAAGAACAGAAATTATAACAAACTGTCTCTCAGACCACAGTGCAATCAAACTAGAACTCAGGATTAAGAAACTCACTCAAAACCGCTCATCTACATGGAAACTGAACAACCTGCTCCTGAATGACTACTGGGTACATAATGAAATGAAGGCAGAAATAAAGATGTTCTTTGAAACCAATGAGAACGAAGACACAACATACCAGAATCTCTGGGACACATTTAAAGCAGTGTATAGAGGGAAATTTATAGCACTAAATGCGCACAAGAGAAAGCAGGAAAGATCTAAAATTGACATCCTAACATCACAATGAAAAGAACTAGAGAAGCAAGAGCGAACACATTCAAAAGCTAGCAGAAGGCAAGAAATAACTAAGATCAGAGCAGAACTGAAGGAGATAGAGACACAAAAAGTCCTTCAAAAAATCAATGAATCCACGAGCTGGTTTTTTGAAAAGATCAACAAAATTGATAGAGCACTAGCAAGACTAATAAAGAAAAAAGAGAGAAGAATCAAATAGAGCAATAAAAAATGATAGAGAGGCTATCACCACCGATCCCACAGAAATACAAACTACCATCAGAGAATACTATAAACACCTCTATGCAAATAAACTAGAAAATCTAGAAGAAATAGATAAATTCCTGGACACATACCCCCTCCCAAGACTAAACCAGGAAGAAGTTGAATCCCTGAATAGACCAATAACAGTCTCTGAAATTGAGGCAATAATTAATAGCCTACCAACCAAAAGAAGTCCAGGACCAGATGGATTCACAGCCGAATCCTACCAGAGGTATAAAGAGGAGCTGGTACCTTTCCTTCTGAAACTATTCCAATCAATAGAAAAAGAGGGACTCCTCCCTAACTCATTTTATGAGGCCACCATCATCTGATACCAAAGCCTGGAAGAGACACAACAACAAAAAAAAGAATTTTAGACCAATATCCCTGATTAACATCGATGCAAAAATCCTCAATAAAATACTGGCAAACCGAATCCAGTAGCACATCAAAAAGCTTATCCACTATGATCAAGTCGGCTTCATCCCTGGGCTGCAAGGCTGGTTCAACATACACAAATCAATAAACGTAATCCAGCATATAAAGAGAACCAAAGACAAAAACCACATGATTATCTCAATAGATGCAGAAAAGGCCTTCAACAAAATTCAACAACACTTCATGCTAAAAACTCTCAATAAACTAGGTATTGATGGGACGTATCTTAAAATAATAAGAGCTATTTATGACAAACCCACAGCCAATATCATACTGAATGGGCAAAAACTGGAAGCATTCCCTTTGAAAAGCAGCACAAGACAGGGATGCCCTCTCTCACCGCTCATATTCAACATAGTGTTGGAAGTTCTGGGCAGGGCAATCAGGCAGGAGAAAGAAATGAAGGGCATTCAATTAAGAAAAGAGGAAGTCAAATTTTCCCTGTTTACAGATGACATGATTGTATATTTAGAAAAGCCCATCGTCTCAGCCCAAAATCTCCTTAAGCTGATAAGCAACTTCAGCAAAGTCTCAGGATACAAAATCAATGTGCAAAAATCACAGGCATTCCTATACACCAATAACAGACAGAGAGCCAAATCATGAGTGAACTCCCATTCACAATTGCTACAAAGAGAATAAAATACCTAGGAATCCAACTTACAAGGGATGTGAAGGACCTCTTCAAGGAGAACTACAAACCACTGCTCAAGGAAATAAGAGAGGAGACAAACAAATGGAAGAACATTCCATGCTCATGGATAGGAAGAATCAATTTCGTGAAAATGGCCATGCTGCCCAAGGTAATTTATAGATTCAATGCCATCCCCATCAAGCTACCAATGACTTTCTTCACAGAACTGGAAAAAACTACTTTAAAGTTCATATGGAACCAAAAAAGAGCCCGCATTGCCAAGACAATCCTAAGCCAAAAGAACAAAGCTGGAGGCATCACACTACCTGACTTCAAACTATACTACAAGGCTACAGTAACCAAAACAGCATAGTACTCATACCAAAACAGAGATATAGACCAATGGAACAGAACAGAGCCCTCAGAAATAACACCACACATCTACAACCATCTGGTCTTTGACAAACCTGACAAAAACAAGCAATGGGGAAAGGATTCCCTATTTAATAAATGGTGCTGGGAAAACTGGCTAGCCATGTGTAGAAAGCTGAAACCGGATCCCTTCCTTACACCTTATACAAAAATTAATTCAAGATGGATTAAAGACTTAAATGCTAGACCTAAAACCATAAAAACCCTAGAAGAAAACCTAGGCAATACCATTCAGGACATAGGCATGGGCAAGGACTTCATGACTGAAACACCAAAAGCAATGGCAACAAAAGCCAAAATGGGATCTAATTAAACTAAAGAGCTTCTGCACAGCAAAAGAAACTACCGTCAGAGTGAACAGGCAACCTACACAATGGGAGAAAATTTTTACAATCTACCCATCTGACAAAGGGCTAATATCCAGAATCCACAGAGAACTTAAACAAATTTGCAAGAAAAAAATCAAACAACCCCATCAGAAAGTGGGCAAAGGATATGAACAGACACTTCTCAAAAGAAGACATTTATGCAGCAAACAGACACATGAAAAAATGCTCATCATCACTGGCCATCAGAGAAATGCAAATCAAAACCACAATGAGATACAATCTCACACCAGTTAGAATGGCGATCATTAAAAAAAGTCAGGAAACAACAGGTGCTGGAGAGGATGTGGAGAAATAGGAACAATTTTACACTGTTGATGGGACTGTAAACTAGTTCAACCATTGTGGAAGACAGTGTGGTGATTCCGCAAGGATCTAGAACTAGAAGTACCATTTGACCCAGCCATCCCATTACTGGGTATATACCCAAAGGATTGTAAATCATGCTGCTATAAAGACACATGCACACGTATGTTTATTGTGGCACTATTCACAATAGCAAAGACTTGGAACCAACCCCAATGTCCATCAATGATAGACTGGATTAAGAAAATGAGGCACATATACACCATGGAATACTATGCAGCCATAAAAAAGGATGAGTTCATGTCCTTTGTAGGGACATGGATAAAGCTGGAAACCATCATTCTGAGCAAACTATCACAAGGACAGAAAACCAAACACCACATGGTCTCACTGATAGGTGGGAATTGAACAATGAGAACACATGGACACAGGGTGGGGAACGTCACACACTGGGGCCTGTCGTGGGGTGGGGGGACGGGGGAGGGATAGCATTAGGAGATATACCTAATGTACATGACGAGTTAATGAGTGCAGCACACCAACATGGCACATGTACCCTAGAACTTAAAGTATTAAAAAATGAATAAAAGTAGTAACTACTTCATAAAAAAAAGAACAGAGGAAATTAATGTTAATAATGTATTTTATTCATCCAGATTTATGCAAAAACAGTTCAACATGTAAGGAATATAAAAAATTTGAGATCACTTACAAGGTTTTTTTTTCTTTTTCTTTTTTTGAGACAGAGTCTCCCTCTGTTGTCCAGGCTGGAGTACAATGGTGCCATCTCGGCTCACTGCAACCCTCACCTCTGGGTTCAAGCTATTCTTGTGCCTTAGCATCCTGAATTGCTGGGACTACAGGTACGCACCACCATACCCCACTAATTTGTGTATTTTTAGTAGAGACAGGGTTTCACCATGTTGCCCAGGCTGGTCTTGAACTCCTGGTCTCAAGTGATCCACCTGCCTCGGCCTCCCAAAGTGGTGGGATTATAGGCGTGAGCCACCATGCCCAGCCCTACAAGTTTTTTGTACTAAGTCTTTGGGATTCCGTGTGTGTCACACTTACAGCACATCTCCATTTGGACTAGCAACATTGCAGGTGCTTAACAGCCACATGTGGCTTATTGAACAATGCAGGGCCAGGTAAATGCAAGCAGATTTCCTAAGACATTGCTTTTGTGTTTAGCAAGAACATATTATTTGTTAATGAACCCAAAATACGACTGTGCCTTCACGTTACACTCAAAGTCTTCAAAGATCTTTCCTGACATTTGGTGAATAATCAATCTTCTTTTTCAAATACCAAAGATCTTAATTCCCAGGAATTTTATGTACCTCATATTTTCTGTGTTTAAAATGTGACTCTCACAAATATTGCAGAATGGATCAAAGAAAAATTTGCCTTACTACCATTTGAAAATTTAGCTCTAGTATATGAAAAAAAATTTACCAGATGATGAAAAATTATGGGGTTATATATTTACCAAAACATTTGTATTAACCCTTTCTTATCCTTATGGAAAAAGCAGGCTATGACGTCCTACAAATCCTATAAATACACAGATTTGTAAATGGTTTTGGAAAGCCCATAAACAGGGGCTATGGTATTACCCGCAGGTACAGGCTGCAATTTATAAGTACATTAGTACACTCCTAGCACCAGGTCGTGCAGTGAATATAGCTTGTCTTGGCAGAGCCTGTTACATAATGATAGCCCACCACAGTGAGAAATTCTTCCATTTCCTCAAGTTTGTGGATTGCACTGCTCTCCTGGAAAGACGTAGCATATTCTTTTATACTCATACAATGAGCCACTCTCCTGAGGTTATTTCAAAGAAAAGCCAATATTACTCAACTGTACTTCATTCATCTTATATAATCAGTTGTAGCTGTAGAGCTCTACAAACAAAATAAAAAAATTAAAGAAGACATGTGACAGACTCATCTGCCAATATTCAAAATGCAGCTATCTCCTTCCATAGTTTTCAGCTAATCCTTGGAAATATCTATTTATTAACAGGTAAATAAATGTAGCTCCCTTGTGTAGACAACTGTGTTATATTTGTCTTTCTAAGAATTTGTTTCATCTAAGTTATCTCATTTGTTGGCATATAATTACTCATAATATTGACTTATAATCCTTTTTATTTCTGTAAGGTTAGTAGTGATGTCCACCCCCCACCCCCCCACTTTTTTTTTTTTTTTTTTTTTGAGACAGAGTTTCACTCTTGTTGCCCAGGCTGGAGCGCAATGGCATGATGTTGGCTCACTGCAACCTCTGCCTCCCGGGTTCAAGCGATTTTCCTGCCTCAGCCTCCCAAGTAGCTGGGATTACCGGCATGCGCCACCACGCCCAGTTAATTTTGTATTTTAGTAGAGATGGGGTTTCACCATGTTGATCAGGCTGGTCTTGAACTCCTGACCTCAGGTAATCCACCCACCTCGCCCTCCCAAAGTGCTGAGATTACAGGCGTGAGCCACCGTGCCTGGCTGATGTCCTTTCTTTCATTCCTGATTTAATAAAGTGAGTTACCTCTCTTTCTTCTTGGACAGTCTACTACAGTCTTGGACAGTCTACTGAAGGTCTGTCAATTTTGTTCATCTTTTCAAAGAGCCAACTTTTGTTTTAATTGATTTCCTCTATTTTTTTTTTTCTATTCTCTAGTTTATTTCTGCTCTAGGTTTTGTTGTGGTCTTCTGCTTGCTCTGGGTTTGGTTTGCTTTTCTTTTTCTAGTTTTTTAAGGTGAAAGATTAAGGTATTGATTTGAGATATTCTTTTTAATAAAGGTGTTTGCTGCTATAAATTTCTCTTTAAGTAGTGCTTTAGCAGTATCCCAGAAGTTTTGGCATTTTTTTCATTTTAATTCATCTCAAAGTATTGTCTAATTTTCCTTGTTTTTTATTCTTTGATGCATTGGTTATTTAGGAATGAGTTTTTAAAATTTTCACATATTTGCGACTTTCCCAAACTACTTTTTGTTGTAGATTTCTAATTTTTTTGTTTTGTTTTGTTTTGTTTTTTGAGATGGAGTCTCACTCTGTCGCCCAGGCTGGAGTGCAGTGGCATGATTTCAGCTCACTGCAATCTGTGCCTCCAGGTTCAAGTAATTCTTGTGCCTCAGCCTCCTGCGTAGCTGGGATTACAGGCGCACGCCACCACACCCAGCTAGTTTGTGTGTGTGTGTGTGTGTGTTTTAATAGAGATGAGATTTCACCTTTGGCCAGGCTGGTCTCAAAATCCTGACCTCAAGTGATCCACCCACCTTGGCCTCCCAAAGTGCTGGGATTTCAGACGTGAGCCACTGCTTCTGGCCCTAATTTGATTTCATTGTGGTTGGAGAACATACTTTATATAATTTTAATACTTTTAAATCTATTCGAATTTAAAATTCAATTGTTTTGTGAGCTAACATACAATCTATTCTGGGGAACATTACATGTGCACTTGAGAAGAATGTGTACTCTGCTGTTGCTGGGTGGAGTCTTCTATAGATACCTGTTAGATCTAGTTGGTTTACAGTGTTATTCCAGTCTTCTGTTTCCTTGTTGATCTTCTGTTGTTTTTCTCATTATTTAAAGTGGGGTATTGAAGTCTTCAATTATTATTATTATTTTTTTCGAGACAGAGTCTCGCTCTGTTGCCCAGGCTGGAGTGCAGTGGCACTATCTTGGCTCACCACAACCTCCACTTCCCAGTTTCAAGCGATTCTCCTGCCTCAGCCTCCCAAGTAGCTGGGATTACAGGCACGTGCCACTGTGCCCAGCTAATTTTTTTAGTAGACATGGGGTTTCACCAAGTTGGCCAGGCTGGTCTTGAACTCCTGACCTCAAGTGATCCACCCACCTCAGCCTCCTAAAGTGCTGGGATTACAGGTGAGAGCCACCATACCCGGTAAAGTCTTCAATTATTATTGTTGACTAATTAGCAACAACAGAGTCCCAACATACATGGAGCAAAATCCAACAGAACTGAAGGAAGAAATATCGACCTTTTAAATTTACATTTAATGTAATTACTGATAAAGTAGGATTCACATCTGCCAATTTGCTGTTTATTTTCTATATGTCTTGTTTTTCTTGTTTCTTCTGGTTCTGCTTTCTTTTGTGTTAGGTAGATATTTCTAGTTTATAACATTAATTCACTTGTCATTTTTCTTGTTATCTATATATATGAGTTATATTCTTTCTGATTGCCCTAAGGATTGCAAGTAACAACTTATATCCATCTAGTTCTCAATAATTCCAACTAAATTTCAAAAGAATACAAACTTTGCTTTTATATAGTTTTGTTTCCTTCACCCTCCTTTTTTCCTATTATTGTCATACAAGTTATATCTTTATACATTATAAGCCCATCAACATAATTTTATATATACTGGTTTATGTGGTTGTTTAAAAATCTATCAGGAGAATAAAAGAGTTACAAACAAAAAAATACAGTTAAACTGTCTTTTATATACACCTCTGTAGTTAACTTAATCAGTGTTCTTTATTTTTTTGTATGGATTAGAGTTACTGTCTGATGTTTTTTCATTTCAATCTGAAGCATCTTTTTTAGTATTTGTAAATACAAGGGCAGATTTGCTAGCAACAAATTCTCCTATTTTTTTTTTGTTCATCTGAGAGTGTCTTAATTTCTCCTACATTTTTGAAGTATAGTTTTGCTGGCATAGAATTCTTGGTTATCAGTCTTTTTCTTTTCCCAGCATTTTGAACATGTCATTCCCACTGCCTTTTGGCCTCCATGGTTTTTGATGAGAAATTAGCAGTTAATCTTATTGAGGATCACTCGTATGTGGTAAGTCACTTCTCTTTACTGCTTTCAAGATTCAGTTGCTGTTTTCAAGATCCTCTCTTTGTTTTCCAACAGTTTGATTATAATATGTCTAGATGTAAATCTCTAAGAGTTTATCCTACTTGGAATTTTGTTTAGCTCCTTGGAATTGTAGAATAATGTTTTTCATCCAATTGGGAAGTTTTTGGCCATTATTTCTGTAAGTACTTTTTCTTTCCCTTTCTCGTCTCAACATACTCCTACCGTATGATCCGGCAATTGTGTTCTTTGGTATTTATCCAAAGATGTTGAAAACTTATGTCCACACAAAAACCTGCATATGGATGTTTATAGCAAACAGCTTTATTAATAATTGTCAAACCTTGGAAGCAACCAAAATGTCCTTCAGCAGGTGTATGGATGAGTAAACTGTGATATATCCAGAAAATGGAATATTATGAGACTGAGCTCTTCAGTCATGAAGGGACATAGAGGCTATGTAAGTGCATGTTGCTAAATAAAAGAAACCAATCTGAAAAGACTACTGTATTATTCCAACTATATGACATTCTTGAAAAGGCAAAATCACGGAGACAATAAAAAGGCCAGTGGTTGCCAGGGGTTAGGGAGAAGGAAGAGTAGGTGGAACACAGAGGACTTTCAGGACAGTGAAAATATTCTGTATGATACTATAGTGGTAGATACATGTCATTATACACTTGTTCAAACCCTTAGAATATATAACACCAAGAGTGAATCCTAATGTAAACTATGGACTTTGGGTGATAATGATGTGTCAATGTGGGCTCATCAGTTGTAACAAATGTTCCACTCTGGTGGGGGATGTTTAGTTGGGGAGGCCTGTGTCAGGGCAGAGGGGATATGGGAACTCTCTGTACCTTTTGCTCAATTTTGTTGTGAACCTAAAATAAGTCTTTAAAAAAATCTATTGAAAGGTACTGTTCCTAAGGCAATACGACTTAACATGTGAGCTGTGGTCTGGTGCCAGTCAATGAACCGTTTGGTACTAATCTGCCATGAGATAAGGAGCTTGTTCCAGAATGTACATCAATCTACTGTTGACTTTATCTAAACAGCCTTGCTATAGAATTAAAAAAAAAACTTCAGCTGAATTGAACACTGTGCTTAATGATGTAGACCATACTTTGAGTATGAGGAGATGCATACCATACTGTATGAGGAGATGCAAAGAGAAATCTGACATAAGCTCATTTACAAATGAGTAGCAGAGATAAGACCTTCACTTCAGTGTGTCTTGTTATTAGGTAAATTGTAGTAAGTACCATAAGATGCTCCAAACAATAAGAGAGCTTCCAAATGGAAAAATTGGGCACTGTTTCATGGAAGTAGTGAATTTGAAGTCAACTTTGAATGATAGTTAAGATTTCAATGGGGTAGGCAGGGTGAAAAGGAAAGGCATTTGAGATAGGACACAAAATAAGGCAAGGTTTGGAAGTGGGAAAATGGGGGTTGTGTTTGAGACTAGTTAAATTTTGAATGAAAAATAGGGTATACAGGTTAAATCAAGTAAGGCAAGGTCAGAAAGCATTTGAAGCCATACTACAAAGGACTAGGATTCTACACCATGGAGTTTTTCTTCCATTTGGTAGATAATAGGGACAGGAAATGACATGGTTCTACTGTGATGTAAAAGATGTACCTCGGCCAGGCGCAGTGGCTCAGGCCTGTAATCCCAGCACTTTGGGAGGCCAAGGTGGGTGGATCACCTGAGGTCAAGAGTTCGAGACCAGCCTGGCCAACATAATGAAACCCCATCTCTACTAAAAATATAAAAATTAGCCAGGCATGGTGGCGGGCACCTGTAATCCCAGCTACTTGGGAGGCTAAGGCAGGAGAATCATTTGAACCCGGGAGGCGGAGGTTGCAGTGAGCCGAGATTGTGCCACTGCACTCTAGCCTGGCCAACAGAGCGAAACTCTGTCTCAGGAATAAATAAATAAATAAAATAAAAATAAAAGATATACCTCATATCATTGAGAAGAAGGCACCTAAAGAGGAAAAGACTAGTGGAAGGAGACTAACTAGGATGCTATTTAAATAATAAAAACCCAATAATGAGGCTCTGAATCAGAGTGGTGGCCTGAAAGGGATCTGAAAGGAATGACAGCATGTAAGGAGAGATGATGGAGGCAACACTTACAGGTCCTGAAAACTGCTCAAATAGGCACAAAGGAAACGAAGGATGCCTGAAAATAATGATGATGCAAAAACTAAGCTAGGTAGGGCAGCAGGAAGAACCGGTTTGGTGGGAAGATGATGAATTTGGCTTGAGGTGCTTGGCAAGACATGCAAGTCTGCTGCACAGGCAATGCAGGTCAGCAATTTGAGAGAAAGGTAAACTTTCACAATCCTAATTTGAGAAGCAACAGCACGGAGATGATTATGGAGCCATGAGGGCTGAGACACTCAGCGGGGGAGACAAAAGACTAAAGAGACTCTTAGCCAGGAGAGAACTGTGGTGGTGGGAGGGGAGAGAAGGAGTGGGGGTTGGGAAGGGCAAGGAAGTGAGGAGGAGCCACTGACAATGGCAGATAAATGTTCAGAGAAGAAGACCCTAAAGACTACAGCTTTATGGCACCCAGGGCTGGACAGGCTCAGAAGACAATGGGAATAATGTCGTGTGCTGCAGAGTCTTGGTATTGGCCTAAGTGTTGGGGGCCATAAGAATAGACCACTTTAAGTTGTTTGAGAAGAAGCAAGATCAGTAATTCCAAGAAGTAGAAGGGTTGAGGGAAGTGTTTTCTTTCTTGGGGAGTGGCAGACAGTAATGTTTGTCAGCTGAAGAGAAGGAACCAGGGGTAAGGGAAGATTGAGGCTGCAGAGTAGAGGAAGTGGTTGTGGGAACAAGTTTGCAAAATGAGCTAAAAGGGTGGGGTTGATGTACAGAGGTAACGCTGGGAGGAAGGAAGTGTATTTCCTTTTTTGACACAGGGAGAAGGATGAGAAGGTCAGTGTGGACACAGACATTTTTGACGTGCAGAGGCAGGAAGCTGAAATCGTTCTGGGCAAATGACTCTTCTCTTCTCAAAAGAATAGGAAGTGAGGTCACCAGAAACTAAGATGGGGCAAGTGTTGGGATTACAGAATAAGGGAAGGAGCAAAACAGCTGCTAGGAATGAGACAAGGAGTCCACCAGAAATGGGTAAACAGATTTCTGAAGACCTCTGAGAACTCCACTGAGTCTAAATTCCAGAATGTGCAGTAAAAACCACTGGTGCCATTACCCCCATGAATCAGAGGAAGCAGATGGTGGGGTCTCCCTGAGATACAATCTAGTCAGCCATCTGGATATTTCACATTATTGCTGCAAATAAAAAGGAGGCTCATACCTTATTCATCACTGTGTTCCCAATACCCAAGACAATTAACCACACTCATACTTAACACATATTTATTGAATAAATAAATGAATTGTGCAGCAAGATCAAAGTTCTCGTTAACTGCAGAAGGAGATATTAGAAGGAGAGAGGCAGTGTTATTACTAAGGCTGAGTCAGTACCCTGTGAGCACCTGCCAGACAGAAGGCCCCAGAACCTTGCATCCCTCTCCTTTTGCCTGCAGAAGCTCACCCTGCCTGGCCTAGGCCACAGAGGAGATGCATAAAAGCCCTCCACCCTCTTTCGTATGTCGCCATGCTTATCTTGCAATCTTGAGCTATAATCTGGCTGCCTGAAAATCTAACAGGTGTAACATTAAGGCCACAATCGTGGTGTGCTACAAAGATTTTATCTGCTTTTAACATTAATAAATTGTGATGATGGTGTATAAACCAGTCGTGTGAACTCAGTTCATGGGAGGCATAGTAACTCATGGGCGAGTTAATAAAACAAGTTCTAAAGCTGCATAGCTGGGCATCAGCATCAGGATCAGAGGCAATTTTCTGTAATTATACTTCTTCCAGAAACTACCTTTCTACATTGCTGAGGCTGAAGTCAAGAAATATAGAACCTAGAGCTCCTATTCATAAATATCTTGTATTTTAGCAAAAGATAGGTGCTTCTCTCAAAACAAAAACAAACAAAAAACAAAAAACAGCAGAGACCCCATAAGGAAGGCATAAAATGAAATCAATTATCATTTATATGTTGTATGAATATTTGTAGTCTGCAGACCTAAATTCTCAGAATTTCATATTTCTGGGCAGAATACACCCTTAAGGTTAAGTGACTTTGAACTTGCTGTGCTCATAGAATGCATCTTATAGACCTCAAACTACAGGGGCATAAATGACCAGGGCTGCTGGCTGCTCTAAGTCAAAGACTGGGCACTTTAACCAGGCATTTTAAGGCAGTTCTTGGAAGATGGGGACTTCTTCTGATGGCCAACTTTGTCTTGAGGGCTTTCCTTTGGTCTTGTGGAAACTTCTTTAGTTCACATAAGGGTCTAGGACACCTCCAGCTAGTCTTTCTTCCCTTTCTCCTTCACTCAAGTCAGACTTGCATGGGGTCTAATGTTTCTCTCAACCTTTCCCAGCTTCCTCTCTGTTATCTCTCACAGGCATAATAAAATCCTTGCCCTATTCATTCCATCTTGGAGTCTGCTTCTTGGAGGACTTGGACGGACGTAGAACCTTTGCATCAGAGCCCAGAGGCCGAGAGAGGCTGATGGCAGGTGAGAGTTTCCGTAGCATTGCTGTAGCCACTGTATAGGCTTATGCATTTGGAAATCAGCAAAACATCATTAGCAAACAAGCAAATACGTCTGCACACCCAATTTCCCTTCCCTCTGACTGAGAAATAGATATTCCTAGAGTAGTTGGCCTGGAAGCAGAGACTGACCAAGCTGAGGAGGGCTGGGCTGCCCCACCAGCCTTGGAGCCCTGCTCTCTGAACCTGCTCTGAGATCAGTGGGAGAATGCAGCCTTTGTTCAGCCCATTTGCAAGTCTCCCCACCCCCGCCGGCAGGACCAGGCGGGTGAGCTCAGCGTGCTGGGTGTCTGCTAGGCGTTCCTGGCCAGGCCTATTTCCTTTTCTTCTGGTACGAGCATGACTATTTTGCTTTGTGGAAATAGTCTTCCACACAGGACTAGTTTTGATGGATAGCACTCAAGTGCTTCCTTTTCTTTTGGTCAAAGTTTGGGTAAGTAACTCAGTGTAGTGCAAAGCAGGGCCCTCTCTCAGAACCTGAACTAGAGCAGCACAAAACTGGAAATTGTTGAAGAATCATGCAGGGGCCAGAACCCTGAAGCGCCACTCCCTGTGCTCCTGTGTAAAGCTAGTTGCTCTGCTTCTGCCCTTCAGAAGCCAGGAATTTCAGCTCGCAAGATCGTCCTCCTTCTCCTCCCCAGGGGTAAATAAAGCTTGCCCAGAATTACATAGGTAGGGAGTGTCGGGTTAGCACATATAGTCAATCTGCCAGACTCAGCAGTGCCATGCTAGGATCTCCCAAACCACTCCTCAGAAAGCTTACCCTGGCCTTAGATGATCTGCATCCCACCATTTATACTCTGTGGTACCTGGGCTTCCTTGTCCATGTCTCTAGCATGAAGATGTTGGCTTCCCTGCCTCCTAATAGCTACTCATTCCCTCCTCAAATTTTCTCTTTCTGTGAGAAATTGTGGATAGAAAATAGAATGTAAGACAAACTCACATTTCCTCTGTGCTTAAGATGTGGCAGGCCCTATTCTAAGCACTTTATATGCATGAACTCATTTAATCCTCATAACAACCTGAGGCACCATGTTGACCCATTTTACGGGTGAGAAAACTGAGGCACAGAAAGTCCTGAGTAACCACATGGCTAGTGAGTGGCAGGTCTGCTAAATGCAGCACATTCTGCTGCAACAGAGGCTCCTTGAGGGCATGGGATTCGTTTGGCTCACAACTGCATCTACTGTGCATTTGGCATAAAGTAGATGCTTGATAAATGTCAGAACACATGAATAAACATGTTTAAAAAATAAGATAAAAAAAGAAGCAATGAATGAATGGATAGGGATGGGAAAGAAGGTCTAATTTTCTCCAAGTCTAATTCGGTGGTGTTTTGGTTTTCTTGATGCTTATTTGTTTTTATTTATTTTTCTTTTTTTTTAATCCTGCTCCTTCTGTAGATGCTCATTTGGGTTCTCATTACTTCTCAGGTAGGCTCTGGGTGTTTTAAGGAAATTCCTGAATTAGTCCCCCTTTTCCCAGCTGATGTAAAGGTATGATTTCTGAACCTGCTTCATTACAGTAACTATGTAAGAGCCCAATGGTGCAAGCACTTAGATGAAAAATAGATGTCGTTTATTTCACCAGGATTTAGATCAGGAAGCCTCTAAGGGTTGTGAGATGATGTGTTAGGGCCCACATAACCTAGTTCTCATGGGGAGTTTTCCATTCTTATGGGGAGTTTTCTATGATCAGTTCATTGAGGAAAAACCCAAACAAAACTTGGGCTTAGTTTACAAAATGGGCACAGCTGCAGAACATCCCTGAAAGCCAACAAGCAAATTTTTTTTTTTTTTTGAGACGGAGTCTCGCTCTGTCGCCCAGGCTGGAGTGCAGTGGCGCGATCTCGGCTCACTGCAAGCTTCGCCTCTCGGGTTCACGCCATTCTCCTGCCTCAGCCTCCCGAGTAGCTGGGACTACAGGTGCCCGCCACCGTGCCTGGCTAATTTTTTTTGTATTCTTAGTAGAGACGGGGTTTCACTGTGTTAGCCAGGATGGTTTCAATCTCCTGACCTCGTGATCTGCCGGCCTCGGCCTCCCAAAATGCTGGGATTACAGGTGTGAGCCACGGCGCCCGGCCTACAAGGAAATCTTAGACCCAGCTTCCTGGATGGAGAAGTGGCCAAAGAGATGGTCTCCCCTGATACCAGTGTGGGTGGTGGCTAACTTTACAATTTGGTCTTCAGTTTACAGAATACCGAGGCAGGAACTAATATTACCTAGAGTAGGATACAGTGGCTGATGGGACGTCTGGTTTCCCCTTTTCAGGGGGAAAGTGAGAGTATCTTTATTTCTGCAAAGTATAACTGCATCTTGTAAGGCAGAGCGTTTGGCTTGTTAGGTCTTTTAGCTGTCTGTACCTTGAAGGGTGCAGGTGCTGAGTAGTCAAAGCAGTGGGCTGTGCCCGTTATTGGCCAATTGTCTCCTACAGCCACAGTGGATCTTTTCTACTTGGCTCTGCGGTGTTAAGGCTGGGAGTTTGCAAATTCTCTTGGGTGTGGGATCTGGGTGTCCCAGGCTCTCTTGCCAGCAGACTTACTGTTAGATTCTACCAATAGGAGGTACTAGTGGGAGCTCCAAAGGTAGGAAGGGAGAAATTGCACTTTTTAAATAGGTGAAATCTAATAAGTGTTTAAGAATGTTTATCTTCAAATGAACCATTTAACTGGCTTTTTTTTTGAAACAGAGTTTTGTTTTTTTTCACCCAAGCTGGAGTGCAATGATGCAATCTTGGCTCACTGCAACCTCTGCCTTGCAGGTTCAAGCAATTCTCCTGCCTCAGCCTCCCAAGTAGATGGGATTACAGGCACCTGCCACCACACCTGGCTAATTTTTGCATTTTTAGTAGAGATGGGGTTTTACTACGTTGTCCAGGCTAGTCTCAAACTCCTGACCTCAGGTGATCCTCCCACCTCGGCCCCCCAAAGTGTTGGGATTACAGGCACATGCCATCGGGCCCAGCCAGCTTTTCCAGCTATTTGAGTCTAATATTTGAAGCTGCTAATTAACCAAGGAACTATAGAAGACTAAGCTACCCAGTACTAAAAAATACAAATGCCAGCATGTAATCATTACTGCTAAAGTCACTTAAAACCTATCAAATTTACTCTGGAAATTCTGAGTGTTCTCTCTCAGAAAGCCTGTGTAACATTACCCACCCTGTAGGTCATTGAACTTTCCTGACTTTTTCAAATGTGTAAAGAGAGCATCAGTTTTTTCTCAGCAGCAACGTTAACCGCACCTTTGATTTCTGTTGACTTTTTCTACTGAAAAGAGTTGAAAGTCTTTGTCAGCATCAGAAAAGACAAAGAATTGTCACTGTAAGATAGCTGTTTGATATTTGGCCTCTTGTAGCTGAAACAATTGAAGTCTTTATAGCAATCATGTACTAATATTTGGTGGATAACTCTGTGCTTAATGGTCTGTGAAAATAAAGGTGTTTTAAAAAGACCATTTTTGGCTGCACAATATTGTGAAAGTACCAAATGCTACTGAATTGTACACTTCAAAATGGGTAATTTTCTTTCATGTGAATTTTACTTGAGTAAAAATTATTTAAGTGTCTTTTTCACATTGAAAAACTTATTTAGCTGTAATTTCACCAGATTGAAGAATGCTTAAAAGATTTCTTACTGCCTGCGTCAGCTTATCTTTATACCCAGAACCATTTGATAGCTTTTAGATCATGGCAGTTTTTATTTTCAGTAAAGTTTATGATTTTTAATCACATAATAGATGAAACGAGATGTGAAGGACGCACTTGCACTGGTTACTTTTTTTTTTTTTTTTTTCCTGAAACAGAGTCTTGCTCTGTTGCCCAAACTGGAGTGCAGTGGTATGATCTCGGCCTGCAACCTCTGCCTCCCAGGTTCAAGCAATTCTCATGCCTCAGCCTCCCGAGTAGCTGGGACTACAGGTGCGTGCTGCGCCTAATTTTTTGTATTTGTAGTAGAGATGGAGTTTCACCATGTTGGCCAGGCTGGTCTTGAACTCCCAACCTCAGGTGATCCGCCCTCCTCAGCCTCCCAAAGTGCTGGGATTACAAATGTGTGCTGGTTACTTACTGCACTGGTTACTTAACCTAACTACTTCAAAAGGATCAACTATGAAAAATGCACAAAAGTCTCAGGACACTTTTTTATGAGCACTCAGAAAAGTTGCCTATTTTAAACTTGCATGAAATCATTATAAAGGGACTTTGGAAAAGAACTAAACTCTGCAAAGATTTCTTAAAATAGTTACAATGGGCCGGGTTTGGTGGCTCATACCTGTAATCCTAGCACTTTGGGAGGCTGAGGCAGGTGGATCACCTGAGGTTAGGAGTTCAAGACCAGCCTGGGCAACATGGTAAAACCCCAACACTACTGAAAATACAGAAATTAGCCAGGCGTGTTGGTGCACACCTGTAATCCCAGCTACTCCGGAGGCCGAGGCACAAGAATCGCTTGATCCCGGGAGGCAGAAGTTGTGGTGAACCGAGATCATGCCCTTGCACTCTAGCCTGGGCGACAGAGCGAGACTCTGTCTCAAAAAAAAAAAAAAAAAAAAAGTTACAATGAAATAATAAATTATATTTTTATTTTTCACAATTCTCGCCTTTATATATAGCTGATTGTTCTTTTTACAAAATAAAGCTATTTAGAAGAAAACAAATGTCTACCAGAATTAGCATTGCTCTTCCTCATATGTTGTTAATGATTTCCTAATGTCAAATTATGAGAACCATCATTATAAGTTTGTTTGGAAATTTAAATTCTCATGTATTGGAAGAATATATCCTTTTTACTTTGTATTTTATCTTTAATCTAGGTTGTGAATTTCAAAACAGATAGTCCTGTTTTGTTTTATCAAAAAAATCACATTTTTATAGTAGTGATGCCAATTTATAGCAAGAAGAGCTCTTTTTATTGTATGTGGGGATCCTGGCTACATCAGACTTTCTCTCATTTCTCCCCATTTTTACTATTTAGGCCTCTGGCATAAAGAATAAAAGTCAGCTTGTAATCCTAGCAGTTTGGGAGGTCAAAGTAGACAGACTGCTTGAGTCCAGGAATTTGAGACCAGCCTGGGCAACATGGTGAAAACCTATCTCGGCTGGGCACGGGGGCTCATGCCTGTAATCCCTGCACTTTGGGAGGCCGAGGCAGGCGGATCACGAGGTCAATAGATCGAGACCATCCTGGCCAACATGGTGAAACCTCGTCTCTGTTAAAACCACAAAAATTAGCTGGGCGTGGTGGCACGCGCCTGTAGTCCTAGCTACTTGGGAGGCTGGGGCAGGAGAATAGCTTGAACCTGGGAGACAGAGGTTGCAGTGAGCCGAGACTGCACCACTGCACTCCAGCCTGGCAACAGCAGGAGACTCTGTCCCAAAAAACAAACAAACAAACAAACAAACAAACAAACAAAAACTATTTCTATTAAAAAAGTGCAGAAATTAGCTGAGTGTGGCGGCACACACCTGTACTCCCAGCTACTGGGGACGCTGAGGTGGGAGGATCACTTAAGCTAGGGGAAGTCAAGGCTGCAGTGAGGTGTGATTAGGCTGCTGCACTCCAGCCTGGGTGACAAAGTGAGACCCTGTCTCCGAAGAAAAAAATAATAATAATAAAAGTCAATTAGCATTATTATTTAAAAAAAAAATCTTACAGGGCATCTTATTCAATTGAATTGAGCAAGGTCTAATTTATTCATGTGAACTGAGTTTTGTTGTTAACTGGATCCTATCCTCCAGCTTTTATTCATTTTTCATGAGAACGAATTTGTCATCAATATCTACTGCACTTGGCTGGGCATGGTGGCTTATGCCTGTAATCCCAGCACTTTGGGAGGTCAAGGCAGGTGGATCATCTTAGGTCAGGAGTTTGAGACCAGCCTGACCAACATGGCAAAACCTTGTCTCTACTAAGAATACAAAAATTAGCCGGGCATGGTGGCACACGCCTGTAATTCCAGCTACTCGGGAGGCTGAGGTGGGAGGATCTCTTGAACCTGGGAGACAGAGGTTGCAGTGAGCCGAGATCGTGCCACTGCCCTCCAGCCTGGGCTACAGGGCGAGACTCCGTCTAAAAAAAAAAAAAGTACTGCACTCATTTCCTACTGCTTCTGTAACAAATGACCACAAAATCAATGGCTAAAAATGACACAGATTTATTGTCCTACAGTTTTGGAGGTCAGAATTCTGAAACTGTTCTCAATGAGCTAAAGCTGAGGTCTCTCAGCACAGCCTCCCAAGTAGCTGGGACCACAGGCACACGCCACCATGCCTGGCTAACTTTTTAATTTTTTTGTAGAGATGAGGTCTCACTATGTTGCCCAGGTTGGTCTTGAACCTCTGGGCTCAAGTGATCTTCCTGCCTTAGCCTCCCAAAGTTCTGGGATTACAGGCATGAGCCACCACACCTGGCCCCCTTGTACATTTTAAAATTCACTTGCTCCCCTGTTTTCTTGCTTAATTTTTACTATCTGGTTTATTTTTTAAAATCAGTATCTTTTTTTTCCTTTTTTTTTTTTTTGAGATGGAGTCTTGCTCTGTTGCCCAGGCTGGAGTGCAGTGGTGCAATCTCGGCTCACTGCAACCTCCGCCTCCTGGGTTCAAGCGATTCTTTTGCCTCAGCCTCCCCAGTAGCTGGGATTACAGGCATGCACCACTATGCCCAGCTAATTTTTTGTAATTTTAGTAGAGATGGGTTTCACCATGCTGGCCAGGCTGGTCTCGAACTCCTGACCTGAAGTGATCCGCTCACCTTGGCCTCCCAAAGTGCTGGGATTACAGGCATGAGCCACCACGCCTGGACTCAATGAGCTAATTCTATTTTCCTCACTCTCACTCCTTTCTCCCATATGTTACTTGTCTTATTTCAACTTTGTCATAACATATAACATTTGTACATTAGTCTTCCACATTTGTCTCATTTTTGTTTTAATCTTAGATGTATACTTCTATGTTCTTAAATGCTCACCATCAGTCTGATTGCTAAAGTTTTCCCAGTCATCATTTGGTTAGATAACAGTGATTCTTGGCCAGGTGCGATGGCTCATGCCTGTAATCCGAGCACTTTGGGAGGCCGAGGCAGGTGGATCACCTGAGGTCAGGAGTTCGAGACCAGCCTGGCCAACATGGTGAAACTCTGTCTCTACTAAAAATACAAAAAATCAGCTGGTCATGGTAGCGCACGCCTGTAATCCCAGCTTGTCAGGAGGCTGAGGCAGGAGAATCGCTTGAACCCCAGGAGGTGGAGGTTGCAGTGAGCTGAGATTGTGCCATTGTACTCCAGCCTGGGTGACAAGAGCGAGACTCTGTCTCAAAACAGAAAACAACAAACAAACAAGCGAAAAACAGTGATTCTCTAGTAGATTCTTCAAGAAAGGTAGATAGGTACAGATTTCTCTCAGTTATTATCTAGTGAAAACTATGCTTCTTTAGCCTTGATATTTAAAGGACAGTTTGGGTATAAAATCCTTGGATCATACTTTCTTTCATTTTTTTTTTTAAATAATGCCCATTGTTGCTTTGTTTGTATTTTGGCTTTGAAATGTTTGATTCCAGACTAATTCTCTTGCTTTTCTAAGTTATCTAATATTTTTGCCTGGGGGGCTTTGGGATTTAATCTCTGTCTTTGAAATCTAATCATTTTCTTGGGCTATATCTCAGAGTCGATATTTCTGGTTTAGTTTTCCCCTTCCCCTGGCAAGCCCGTTCACTAGGCATTTTTTTCATTTCTTCCTGCCATTCCTGTGAGTCATAAAATTAGTACTCAGATCCTGTAACTACCCAGATAGTTAGCTTTTGGAATCAGAAAAGAGCAATTCTTTGAACTAAGATATCAATGTGCATGCTAAACACTAGATTATATTAGTTCCAACTAGCAACCTAAATACTGTATAGAGAAGCTGACTATAATAAATGTTATGAAAATAAGAGCCTGGAGTGGTGGTGCACACCTGTAATCCCAGCTATGTGGGAGGCTGAGGCAGGAAGATTGCTTGAGCCCAGGAGTTTGAGACCAGCCTGGGCAAAATAACAAGACCCCTGATATGGTTTGGCTGTGTGTCCCCACCCAAATCTCATGTTGAATTCTGATCTTTAGTGCTGGAGGAGGGGCCTAGCGGGAGGTGATCGGATCATGGAAGTGGATATCCCCCTTGCGATAAGGCAGGGGGTCCGTTGAGCTGATGAACACACAAGCCATCTGCAGACGGCAAATCTAAAAGAGCTTGGTAACACACGCCCACTTGGGCGTTAGGAGTTGAAGACACCCATCCTTAGATGCTGCTGTGGGGCCAGAGCCCAAAAGGGCTTGGGTGGGCCTCTGCACCTGCCTATCTGCATGCTGCCTTTAGGGTTTTGAGCTGCAGGGCAACCAAGCAGGCGACACCCCTGTCACATGTCCTATGAGGGGAATCAGGGAATTCTCCTGTTTCATTGGAGCCTAACATAAATCCTATTTGTATTACTAACCTGAGGAATGTGAATATGCTGTTACACTAAAACACACAACAACAAAATCTTCCACAAGTTTGCATTCATATGAACTTACTGAAGTAGATAATATCTTCATTAAATAAGGAATAGTATTGTTATACCCAAGCAAGTTAGAGAAAACGCCACACTTTGAGATGAATTAAGAGTCCTTTATTTAAGCCGGTGGCCAAAGAGACGGCTAACACTCAAAATTCCCTCAGCCCTGAGGAAGGGGCTTGATTAACTTTTATACCTTGGTTTAGGTAGGGGAGGGGAGCTCAAATGCAATAATTCTACAGAAGTAAAAACATGCAAGAATCAAAAAACAAATGGTTACAGAGAGATAAACAATTTAAAAGACAAATGGTTACAAAAAAAGCAACGGAACAGTTGCGGGGCTCTAAATCCTTTATTAGAGTTAGATATGGATGCTATGCCGGACACAGACTCAAGGCTTTATGTTGTTATCTTTTGAGCAAAATCCTGGGAACTTCATACATGTTGTTCGTTCCAGTACCTTATCAGTTAATTGGGCTCCTTTGAAATGCTGAGGATCTGCTTACACAGGTTAACTCCTTGAGGAAGGGGGTTGGGTAAGTAGCCCTTAATGTCTTGTAAATCAAGGGGCCAAATGTAGTTTGTCCGGCTTTCCCAGCTAAGGGAGAGTCTTACTCATATGAGAAACAAGGCTAGGTAATTAAGGAGACAAAAAGGGAAATTTGAAAATAGGGTTCGTAAAAAAACAAGGTTAGGCATTACAGTATCATATTTATTTTTACCTGGATTTGAACTCCCTAGAAATTCTAGCAATGTGCATAATATGCATTGCTGGCCTTAGAAACTATATGATGTAATACATGTTTGTTGTTTTAAGCTGTTACATTTTTGGGGGTAATTTGTTACACAGCAATAGATAATGAAAACAGTTAGATATAATCTAGATTACTTAAGCAGAGTATTTGGAAATTGTTGGTTGCCATGGCAGGACATCCCGGGACTTAATGAGTAGTTATAATTAAATCAATATATAATACATTGTTGGAGATAGAGTATCTTATGGCTTATAGTACAATGTCTTGAAATACAGCTTCATCAGTGATATTAAGCATTTCCCCATCCCTGTCTCCTAGCAGGAGAGAGGCACTACGTCTGGATTATGAGAGCAACTTGTCTGCATTGTCTGTTGGAAAATAAAGATGAACTTACTTGCCTGTTTCTGAATTTAGGTGAATAGTACCTTCTGTTTGCATGCTCATCGAACAACTCTGAATAATCACTTGGCTTTCCTGGTGGCTAGGAAGGTGTGTGGGGTGCCCTGGTTATGAAGTGCGAGCATTTAGGTCTGTGGATGCTGTCCTAGCCAAAGGCCATCAGGACAGATCTGATGGACAGGACAGAAGTCCAATGAAATCAGGCTTATTGGCTCTTGGAAATGAGGGAGACTGCATGTCAGTGGAACTACTGGGCATTTCACCAAAGAAAGAAGAGACAAGGTTCTTTGATTTGGGGGAAGGGAGGCCCTTAGGTAAAATTTAAATGAAGCAATGTTTTGATGGAGTCCAGGCAAACAGGCTGTGGGTTAGGGTTCAGCATTGGGCCTAAACTGCAAAGTTCTCTGTTTCTTGGAAATTAGGAAGTTAAGATAGCTTTGCTGTGTTGTGTTTAGAAGCCCTTGTCTGCAGCCTGCATCTGAGTGGGAGATTGAGGCTGCTTCTCTATGTTGAAAGACTTGGATCCTCCAGGCAAAAGTGGATCATTTCATTTTTACTGATTTGATTTTAAGCAGCTAAGTTTCTGAGTGCGTAAGACTTCAGAACAAGGTTTCTCACTGAGGCAGAAAGCAGAAATCACTCAAAACTGGGTTGGTGACATTTTACAGATGTAGCATGACCCTGGGACAAACATTGTTTCCAGTTAACTTTGCAGCAGCCTTTGTCTGTGTTAGGCTAGCCTGATTCATAGCAGGGAAGATTTTTCCTTTCTCAATCTGACTTGATTTTTACTTTCTCAATAAAATGTCTGGAAGGAGAATTGCTTGGGTCTTTATAAAAATATCACCAGCTGCTTTTGCAGAATATAGTACACCACTGATGAATACAATAAAAAAATTTTCTGTTAAAAACCAAACAAAAAACCCAAAACATTCATACTTTTTTTTTTTTTTGTACCCAAACACTTTTAGGTCAACTACATGATTCTTTCAAAAATATCTTGGCCAGCTGCGGTGGCTCACGCCTGTAATCCCAGCCCGAGGCTGACGGATCACTGGAGGTCAGGAGCTTCAGACCAGCCTGGCCAACATAGCGAAACCCCGTCTCTACTAAAAATACAAAAATTAGCCGGGCGTGGTGGTGGGTGCCTGTAATCCCAGCTACTCCAGAGGCTGAGGCACGAGAATCGCTTGAACCTGGGAGGCGGAAGTTGCAGTGAGCCGAGATCGCACCACTGCACTACAGCCTGGGCGACAGAGCCAGATTTTGTCTCAAAAAAAAAAAAAAAAAAAAAAAAAAAAAAAAAAAAAAAAGGATCTATTAAAAATGGCTCTCATACTAAGACAGATCCAGAGCCTGGTTTCAGAAGTAATTAAAATATAATAAGATGACACAGGAAATGTGAAATGTGGTTATGATAGAACAAATGCCTTCATTCCATGAGAAACTAAGAGATCAGTGCCCTGAAAATGTCTGTTAGGAGGCATGTCAGTCAGCGTCCAATCAGGAAACCAAACACACTATTTCAAACAGAGAGAGATTTAATCCAGGGGATTCGCTATAGAGAGGTTGGTAGGGACGACAAAGCAAAAGACCCAAGAAAGGAAGGGGCGGAGCCGGGGCGGGGCCAAAGCTCCCCAGCCTGGCTAGAGGCCATCATGAGTCCCACTGAAGTTATGGTTCTTGTAGGTATCATTGAATTAAAATCAAAATTTCAATCACAATAGAATACCAAAATATACATAAATACGCCAGGGTAAGACTATTGGGTGGTAGTTGAGAGCATGAACCTGGGCTCACAATGGACCAGTTATTACCTGTGTGATTCTGGGCAGCTTCTGAGTTGGCAATTAGCGAGAATAGGAGGACTTGCCTCACAGGGTCGCCGTGAGGACCAGGGAAGACACGGCTTGTGAAGGATGCAGATGGAGCCTGGTCTCGGTCCGCTGGAGCTGCTCCTCCCTGAGCCTGGGGCCATTGCCAGGGACAGCCACTGTCGAGAGCAGGGAGAGGGTGGGGTGCTGAGAACGGAAGGAAGAGAGGGAAAACTCAAGGAGGGGAAAATAGGTCTGACTGCGTTCTGGAAACCCCCAAAGCATTGAGAGGAGAGAAAGGAGGTTGGAGTCAGTCATGGGTTTAATACCTGCTCAGCCTCCTCCCTGGCCCTGGAAGCCCAGGAGCGCAGGTCTGTGAGTTTGCTGAACCTCAGGTTTAGCATGTGAAAAACTGAAGCATTTCTTTCTTGCAGGGTGGATGTGAACACCAGATGAGGTTAATGTCTGCACCTAGCTCCTGGCAGGATGCTGGGCTCTGGGAAAGGCGAGGTTTCTAAGATGGAGCCACCAGGGGGCGCAGTGGTTCTTTTCCTTGGCTGCAGTGAAAAATTGCCAGGCTTGCAAACCCGGGAGCTGATCAGAAACTCCGGGAGGCTCAGGGGCTAATCTGGAAGTGGTTAGAAGGGTGGGAGACCTCAGTGAGGCGGGGTAAGAAGGCGAGGGAGGGAGTCGCGGGGGAGCAGGAAAAAATGAAGCGTGTCCGTAAGGCTACCCACTGAGACCTGGGCAGGGGCTCCGGCCCAAAGCCCTCAGAAAACGAACTCATCCGTTCTTTCTAGTCATTTGCTGAGCACCTACCAGGAGCCATAAATGGCCGTGTGCAAAATCAGCCCCTCTACTGGCTCCCAGTCTTGCTAAGGCGACTGACACGTGGACAAATGTCATCTATACGATATGCAAATGAGAAGTCCTATAATGCCACCATATCCTATAATGCCGTAACCTTTACGGCATGCCAGGCATTGCATAATAATTATCCCATTTTACACGGGACGAAACTGAGATTCGAAGGATTCACTCAGTCCCGAAATTCACAAAGCTAAGAAACAGTGGATTCAAGCTACGTTAGTCTATTATAAAGCTATGTTCATGCTTTGCAGATCATTCCTCCTCCGGTAAAGCAACACGAAACACGAAACAACCCTGCTCCTTGAAAGTTCACATCAGTAGCCCTCAGCAGTAGCCGACAAGCAGGATGGCGGCACCCTCCCCTACCCGCATGGCTCCCAGTCAGCCTCTTCCCTCCTCTCTGCTCGTCTCGCCCCTCCTGCTCACCTTCACTGTGACTGCGGCATCTGGCTCACCCCAGCCACCATGTTCCCGGTCACCTCCACCGTCCATTGCCACAGCTTCAGCCTGGCCTTGTCATCGCTGTCATCTCTCTGGAACTGGGCGTTCACATGTCTCACTGTGGACAATGGTGGGCCTTCCAGATCGTGGTCTCAGGTCCCCCACTGCGGCTGTCACAGCCGCCTGCTGCCTGCACTACCTTCCTTCCCACCCTATCCGCTCTTAGAAAACACCCTAAACGGCTGGGCGCAGTGGCTCACGCCTGTAACCCCCGCACTTTGGGAGGCCGAGGCGGGTGTATCACCTGAGGTCAGGAGTTCGAGATCAGCCTGGCCAACATGGTGAAACCCCGTCTCTACTAAAAATATAAAATTAGCCAGGTGTGGTTGTGCGCAACTGTTATCCCAGCTACTCGGAGGCTAAGGCAGAATTTCTTAGGCTAAGGCAGAGGTTGCAGTGAGCCGAGATCACGCCATTGCACTCCAGCCTGGGTGACAGAGCAAGACTCTTGTCTCAAAAGGCCGGGCGCGGTGGCTCACGCCTGTAATCCCAGCACTTTGGGAGGCCGAGGCGGGTGGATCACGAGGTCAGGAGATTGAGACCATCATGGCTAACACGGTGAAACCCTGTCTCTACTAAAAATACAAAAAATTAGCCGAGCGTGGCGGCGGGCGCCTGTAGTCCCAGCTACTCGGGAGGCTGAGGCAGGAGAATGGCGTGAACCCGGGAGGCGGAGCTTGCAGTGAGCTGAGATCGCGCCCCTACTCCAGCCTGGGCGACAGAGCGAGACTCCGTCTCAAAAAAAAAAAAAAAAAGGAAAAGAAAACACCTTAAATGCCCCCTTGCTTCCCCTTCTTCCATCACACCTGTCTCTACCTGGGATGAGTCTGGACCCCGGCTCCTGCCCACATCCAGGCCGGGGAACCCTGCCCTGGAAAACCATCCAGCAGGGCAGGCAGGAGGAGGAAGGGGCTGCAGCCACTGGAGGAATTCTCCAGGGAGTTGAGGGAGTGCTCATTGGAGAGAGCCCATTTCCCCGGGAGCATATAGGAGAGGGTGGGAGACAGCTGCAGGGAAAGCCCTGCTACAAGGAGGGCCTAGTCAGGGATGGCAGCCCTTGGATTTAAGGCCAAAGCAATCCTTGTGAATGTTATTCAGCTGCAGAGATGAATGCTGAATTTATCCAGGCTGGAGTTTGCCACGTGGTTCTGATGAAAACAGTGGGGATGCTGAGACTACTGGCTGAAGGGATGGGGCACTGAATCTACATAATGATGACCTGGGGTCCAAGCGTGCTTGTTTACTTACTGTTTAGAAACCATTTGTATCTTGAGTGCAGGGCATGGCCGTGTTCTCCACTGCAATCCCATCCTGTTGTCGGTCACCTTCCTGAGCAAGTGCTCTGGCGGCAGGGGAGAAAGGCTGGAAGGACAGAAGTGTGGGTGGAGATGTCTGAGTGCATGGTCAGAAGTGGGTCACCCTGGAGATGGCCTGCTCCAGGGGGTGGCCCAGGATGTGGGAGACTGAGAGGTGGCGTCAAGGGAGGGGTACCAACCTCTTTCAGTATGGTAGTATTTTCCTGACTTTACCACTGAGAGCCCCACGTTCCAGGAACCTCCCCATTCCTAGGTGAACCAGGCCAGTTTGCCACCCTAAGTGGAGGACAAGAATATCCTGGAGAAGCCAGGGTGTTGGCAGGTGGTCTGTGGAAGCTACAGTCACACAGGGTTGACCTCGTGGGCACACATCATTTTTTGCCACACTTTGTATGTGTGACCCCTTGTGCATGTTTGTTCATCTGTGGGATGGGGCTTTTTCCTAGCCCTGAACTCCAGGAATAACAACTATGTTGAAAATGGCAAATATTTTCAAGAGTGGGAATACCAAAGCATGGCTACATTGGCATTTTTGAGTCTGCAAATTAGGTGCATTTTATGCAGAGCCTTAAGAAATCAACAAAAGTAACCTGGCTAATTCTTTCTTTTCTTTTTCTTTTTTTATTTTTTTGAGACTGAGTTTCGCTCTTGTCGCCCAGGCTGGAGTGCAATGGCACAGTCTCGGCTCACTGCAACCTCTGCCTCCCAGGTTGAACCGATTCTCCTGCCTCAGCCTTCTGAGTAGCTGGGATTACAGGTACCCACCACCACCCCCGGCTAATTTTTGTATTTTTAGTAGAGACGGGGTTTCACCATGTTGGCCAGGCTGGTCTCCAACTCCAGATCTCAGGTGATCCACCTGCCTCAGCCTCCCAACGTGCTGGGATTACAGGCGTGAGCTACCGCACCTGGCCTAATTCTTTCTTTTCTATTGGAAAATTAACTGCTGATTCTCTGCAGTCGTGTCTATTTTCTTAGAACTTCTAGTAATGGTAATTTGTAGTATGACATGAAAGGACTATATATCAATATCATAAATTCATTTAATCAAGCACACAAATCATATCAGGAATGAAATAGTCTTTGGTTAAATAGATCTAGTTTTGAAAACAGATTTTACATTTTACATGCATTACATGGCACAAATAATCACATCATTACAATTCAAATTGTACAATAATTGACTTTCTGTTATAGCAATCAAATAAGCATCAATAAATTATCCTAGAGAGGTTTTATTTTCAGAACAGTATTTGATAGTTCAATTATTTAAATAAATACAGACTTTTTGGAAAAATTGTAGAAATACCTTTTTTTTTTTTTAAGAGACAAAGTCTCACTCTATCACTCAAGTGTGGTGGCATGATCACAGCTCAGGAGGTCAAACTCCTGGCCTCAAAGCAATCCTCCCACCTCAGCCTCTTGAGTAGCTAGAACTACAGGTGTGCACCACCATGCTGGGCTTTTTTTTTTTTTTTTTTAATAAATATTTTTTGTAGAGATGAGGTCTCACTATGTTGCCCAGGCTGCTCTTGAACTCCTGACCTCAAGTGATCCTCCTGCCTTGGCCTCCCAAAGTGTTTGGATTACAGGCATGAGCTACCTTGCTCAGCCTAGAAATACTTTTCAACCAAAAAGCGACTCTCTTATAAACAGCTAATATATACAAGGCATATTGAAATAAGTAACATCAGAATTATACTCTATGTCAAAATCATGGATATATATAGTCACTGTAAATAAAAACATGGTGGTCTGGATAGACTTTAATTAGCTTATTCACTAAAACAGAATTATTTCCCACAATATTTAGGGGAAGATTACTGGAAATATAGTTCTTCTCTATAAAATCAGTGGAGAATCATTATATACACACTTGGATACTTATATACACCTATAGCTTACTCAACGTGTTTATATCAGAAATTCGAAGATGTCCTCTCCTCCTAAGTGACCCACTTAAAATCTATACAGCAGATTTGTTGAATTCTTGTTAATTTGTATTTAACATTAAATTGAACATATTTAGGAAAATTTTAAAGAATTTTACACCTCTTCTGCAAATGGATATATTAACGGTTAACAAATGAAATGCTGTCTCTTTGTACTAGGTTTTGGCTTATAGCTCAGTTCCTCATTTTATTAGGGACTAATAAGAGAGAGAGTATAAATGCTTTATTAAGCTAAGCCCTAAATCTTGTTTATGTTAAGCTTTTTACTCAGAGATAATTGTAGATTCTGAGATAGTTGTAGATAACTGTAGATTCACATGCAGTTGTAAGAAATAATACAGAGATCCTGTGTTCTTTTTACCCAGTTTTCCCCAATGGCACATCTTGCTAAACTACAGTACAATATCCCAACCAGGATTTTCACATTGATTTGGTCAAGATACTGAATATGTCCATCACCACAAGGATCTCTTGTGCTATCCTTTTATAGTTATGCCCAACTCTCTTGTTCTCCCCACTCCTCCCTGGCAACCCCTAATCTATTCTCCATTCCTATAATTTTGCATTTCAAAATGTTATGTAAATGGAATCATACAGTGTGCAAACTTTTATGATTGGCTTTGCTCACTCAGCACAATTCTCTGGAATTCATCCCAGTGGTTGCCCATGTCAGTAATTAGTTCTTTTTTATCGCTGAGTAGTATTCCGGGCATAGAGGCACCATCCACTGTTTCACCAGCCACCCGTTAAAGGCCATCTGATTTCTCCAAGTTTTTGAACATTATGGATAAAACTGATATGAACATTCATGCACAAGTTTTTGTGTGAACCTCTTTTCATTTCTCTTGTATAAATGCCCAGGAGCAATTGAGGGTCAGTATGGCAGTTGTATGTTTAGTTTTATGAGAAACTGGCAAATGGTTTTGCGGAGTGGCTGTTCCATTTTCTATTCCCACCACTAGTGTATGACTGACCCGGTTTATCTGCATCCTTGTCAGCGTTTGGTGTTATCATTATTTTTTATTTTAGCAATTTTGGTAGCTATGTAGTGATATCTCATTGTAGTATTAGTTTGCAGTTCCCCTAGTGACTAGTGCTGTTGACTGTCTTTTCATGTCTTTTCATGCGCTTATTTGCCATTTTTATATCCTCTGCAGTGAAATGTCTGTTCATGTGCTCCATTTTCTAATTAGAATTTTTTAGCTGTTGAGTTTTGACAGTTCTTTATATATTCTAGATACTAATCTTTTGTTGGATATGTGGTTTGGAAATATTTTCTCCCAGTATGTGGCCTGTCTTCTCGGCCTTTTAACATGGTCTTTTGCAGAACAAATGTTTTAAATTCTGATGAAGTTTAATTTATCAAATTTTCTTTTATGAATTGTGCTTTTGGTATCAAGTCTAACAACCCTTTGCTTAGCCCTAGTTCCAAAAGATTTTCTATATCCTATAGTTTTATAGTTTTACATTTTATTTTTACAGATATGATCTGAGTTAATTTTTGCATAAGGTATGAAGTTTAGTCCAAGGTTCATTTTATTTTCCTATGGATGTCCACTTACTCCACACTTATTGAAAAGGCTATCCTCTGTTGAATTAGTTTTGTACTTTTGTAAAAGAAAATCAGTTGAGCATATTTGTGTGGGCCTATTTCTAGATTCCCTATTCTGTTCCATCAATGTGTTTCTATGCCTCCACCAAATACCACACTTCTTGAATACTGTAGCTACATCATAACTCTATATTAAATAGAATGATTTCTCCTACCTTATTCTGCTTTTACAAGACTGTTTTAGCTATTTCAATGCCTGTGCCTTTCCATGTAACTTTTAAAATAAGCTTGTATAGGTCTACAAAATCCTTGTTGAGATTTTGATAGGAATTGCATTAAACCTAGAGATGGAGATGGGGAGAACTGATATCTTTACTGTTTGTATCTTCCAATCCAAGAACATGGTATCTCTCTTTCTTTGTTTAGGTCATTAATTTCTTTTCTTAGCATTTAAAAATTTTCACTACATAGGTCCTGGGTAAGTTTTGTTTATACGGAAGTATTTCACTTTGGAGTGATTGCAAATGGTATTGTGTTTTTAGTTTTTTTCCCCACATGTTCATCGTTAGCATAGAGAAATGCAATTGACTTTTGTATGCTGATCTTGTGTCCTGAGACCTTGTTGCACTCACATACTAGTTCCAGAGTTTTTTTTTAAAAAAAATAGATTATTTGGAATTTCTATGTAGGCAATCCTCTCATCTCTAAATAGGGGTACTTTTTTTTTCTTTCGATCTGTATGCATTTAATCTCTTTTTCTTGCCTTATTGCCATGTCTAGAACTTCCAGAACAGCCTCTAACATTTTAATCAATGTAAATTTCTAGAGATTTGCTGAAACACACTTGCCTGAATGGAGACCATCAAACTTAAAACTGTGAATTTTCAACACTATTCTTACCCAACCTTTTCAGGTTTCATTTCCTGTAATTTGGATAAATAGCTGATAACATTCATCAGTGGTTATGAATGGCATCCACTGGGCAAAGTCCTTTGAAGCAGCAGTGACCTTTAATGAGCTAAATGGAACCTGACTATAAACGCAAACCTAGCCAGGGGACCTTATCTGCAAGACAGGATCAGGAGGCAGAGAAGCTCCCAGTATTAAGGTGTGAGGTTGACTTATGCAATACATTTGAGCATGTCATTTGTTCTTCCAGCTTTCTCCCCATTTTTCTAAATTGGGAGTAGCAATAATTTTAAACTCTGAAAATATAAAATTCCCTCAGAAGTACCTTATTCTTATATATTAGAAATCACTACTGTTAGGAACTCTTTTGAGGACTGGCTTATGACAAATAAAGAATTCTCTGCATCTTACTATGTTTTTAGCAATAGATAATTAAAATATATTTTGACAACTCAAGCTCTCGTCGTATGTTATTTTGTTAAGCAAAAGTTCATAATCATTAATAACACTCTTATTTACTTGAAAAATGTATATTTCCTACATATAGTGATGTGTTTTTTATGTTATACAACCTCCCTAACCTACCAAAGAAAGTTTGTAGCCATTACAGAAAGACAGAAAACTTGGGACAGCTCAACCCTTTATAGGTTTTAATGATCAGAGGTCTTAGATATATATACATAGGTCCATGTAGACCTTAGAAGTGTACACAGGTACAGTCTAATTTCTCAAAAACACTAGGAGCTCCTACATATAATATGTAGAAAGTTTTAAATCTGTAGTAAGAATCAAATTTCAGAGACTTTTTTTTTTTTTCCAAAAGCAAGAAACATCATCTCCAGGCAAGCTAGTCCTTCTTTTTTACAATCACTTTACTGATTTTCCTGGTTCAATTTCTACCCATGCATTTCAATAACTCTTTTGTTGTTAAAACTGGATGTCTTGTAGGAACCACTCCACCTGTGTCTGCAGTGAGCTGTCTGGGATGTGGACTCAGCCCCTCTGAGTCTAGTTTTCTTGTCTGTAAGAGCCAATGATGACGTGCATCTCATTGGTTGCAGGGCTTAAATGAGATGGCTTCTGTTGAGGGCCTGGCCCAGGGCCGGGCAGGCAGTGGGCCCTCAGTTACTGGCTTCCTTTCTTCCTTCTGTAACGTGCTGCCTTTACTTTCCCAGCTTCACCCACTCCCCTCTCCGCTTTCCCCACCACAGAATGGAGAGCTTCTTATTTTGGATGCCCCTGTTCATGCATGAGAGAGGGGAACCCTTGCCAGAAGTATGAGCAGCAGGGATCTGGGGAGCTTAATGTCAAAGCTACTCCTTTCTCTTTAATGACTGCCATGGCTGCTTACATAGAGAAGGGCTATGCACAAAGCACCCTATGTTCTTACACTGTTTTCATGTTATGGTGGGAGAAAAGCTGCATTCTAGCCAGTATGACCTAATAATGCATCTGCAATCCACCAGCAGGAGGAGTAATCCACGGACACACAGTCCTCCACCCTCACCCTAAAAACAATATTGTGACTGCGTGATGCACAGTCAGCTGCTTCGTGGTCACAGTGAACTTAGAACCAAGACTGCATTTGGCAGAGCAAGCAACAAAGATACTCTCACAATACAAAGCAATCACATTGTAGGTACAGGCATTTTTTTTTTTCCTTAAACAATGAAACAACAATGATCTCAACATGTCATTTTGACCACCAGCTATTATATGATTTCTGAATCGATGAGTCTGGATTGAATACAATGGAATAAAGACTATCTACGTGAAGTATCTGTGTGAGTTGGAGATCTGCAAATGACCACTTTAATCTCAAATCTAGCATAGAGTTCCCTGTTCACCCTCTCTCATTCTGCTGCAGGGATGGCAGGGCTGCTATGAACCCTTCAACAAAGAGACAGTGGTCAATAGCTGTCTGGCTGCATCACTGAAAAGGTTTTCATTTAAGTGCAAACACCAAGGACTTTCTTCTCACTCCATCAGGCCTTTCTGGGAACTGCTTTGAAATATTCCTCCCTTGAAATACTGGATGCGCCTCCATACCATTTCTGAAGCCAGATATGTTCTATCCTCATCTTCATAAAGAACCATTCATATTGACGAGGCCACTTCCTCATCCCTGGGTGCCTGCAGGAATAAAGAGAGACCACAGTAAAGCTGCTCTTATCAGAGAGGTGCACCCTGGGCCAAGTCATAGGACCTCCAGAGTCCAGGCCTCATTTGGGCTGACAGCTGCTCACATCAGCCAGAGGCAGAACCAGGGAGCTGAGTGTCAGTGCCTGGGACCACCGTAGGAAGCCAGGGACTGTAGACCTTACCCCATGTGGCTAGAGGCTCAAGACGTGGGCCAGGCTCCTTGGTGTGAATCTCAGTTCAACTGCTGATGAGCTGTGACGCCAGTGGGCTGTTGGCACTCACAAGCCTCTGTCTCATTACCTGTCACGTGGAGTGATGCTGATGCGGCTCTTCATAGGGCTGTGTGGGGAAGCAGGCAATGAACCACACAGAAAACACCTGCAGAGAGTGAGTGCTCAGTGGAGGCTGGTTACCATTCTTTGGAAACATAAAGAAAGGCTTTATGCATCTCTATATGAAATGTTAACAAAATGGTGAGCTTGTGAAACCAGTTCGTTCATGGGAAGATTTCCAGTCGTGCAGCAGGCTGAGAGCTACTGAGGCAGGTGAGAGCCAGCTAGAGTTGACAGGCAACGTCACATCCCGTCTTGTGCTGTTGACTGACTTGCCTCTCCCCGATGCATACCCCTAAACACGCTGCAGTATCGTTGAGGGCAGGGGCTGTGGCTTACTTCTTTTTTTTAACTTCATAAAAATTTCCTTTATATCTAAAAAATGTCATAAACATAATTCAAAGACCGAGTCCAAACTGGGAAAAACATTTATTACAAAGCAAATGCAATAATAGGTTGATGATCTTTATTTATTAAAAAATTTTTTTTTTAGAGATGGAATCTTGCTCTGTTGCCCTGGCTGGAGTGCAGTGGCGGGATCATAGCTCACCGCAGCCTCGATCTCCTGGGCTCAAGCGATCCTCCTGCCTCAGCCTCATGAGTAGCGTGCCACCATGCCTGGCTAATTTAAAAAAAATTTTTTTTTTTTTTGTAGAGATGCAGTCTCACTATGTTGCCCGGGCTAGTCTTGAACTCCTGGCCTCAAGCAATCCTTCTGCCTCAGCCTTCCAAAGTGCTGGAATTATAGGTGTGTGCTACCACACTCAGTCAATCATCTTTTTAAAGAATAATTTATTTTGAAACAATAATAAACATACAGGGAAATTGGAAGTACAGTATCCAAAACTATTTTATTTTCTTAATCCATTTGAACAAAAGTTGCTGATCTGATGCCATAACACCCCAAATATTATGCAGCCAAGATAATAACATGATTGTTGTTTTAAGAAACCTACTTTTGTACTGATAACTGGAACAAAGTTTGATACCTGGAAGTGGTGCTGGTGCAGCAAACCCTAATCCATGGGGCACTGGCTCTGGGCCCAGGCACTGGGTGGAAGCTGGAAGGACCCTGAGGAGACTGACAGTGAGGGCTTATAAAAAGGTAGTGCCTGGCTGGGCGTAGTGGTTCACGCCTGTCATCCCAGCACTTTGAGAGACTGAGGCGGGAGGATCACATGAGGCCACGAGTTCGAGACCAGCCTGGACAACATGGCAAAACCCTGTCTCTACTAAAAATATAAAAATTAGCCAGCCGTGGTGGTGCACACCTGTAATCCCAGCTACTCGGAAGTCTGAGGCACAAGACTCACTTGAACCCAGGAGGCAGAGGTTGCAGTGAGCCGAGATCATGCCACTGCACTCCAGCCTGGGCAACAGACCTGGACTGTCTCCAAAAAAGGTGGTGCCTGTGGGTAGTCCTAGCTACTCAGGATGCTGAGGCAAGAAGATCCCTTGAGCCCAGGAGTTGAAGGCTGCAGTGAAATATGATTACGCCACTGCACTCCAGCCTGCACAAAAGAAAAAATCCTTGCCTCTAAAATTAAAAATAAAAGCAGAAAAAGCTACTGAAAGCTGGAGGTAAAGGGATCTACATTATGTAGTGGTAGGCAAACTTGGCAATGCTGTTGTCTGTAGTTAGGTAGAAAATAGGAAATGTTCACATCTTTCACCCACTTTTTGATGGGGTTGTTTGTTTTTCTCTTGTAAATTTGTTTAAGTTCCTTGTAGATTTTGGATATTAGACCTTTGTCAGATGGGTCGATTGAAAAAATTTTCACCCGTTCTGTAGGTTGCCCGTTTGCTCTCTGATGATAGCTTCTTTTGCTGTGCAGAAGCTCTTTAGTTTAATTAGATCCCATTTATCAATTTTGGCTTTTGTTGCAATTGCTTTTGGTGTTTTAGTCATGAAGCAAAAGAAGACATTTATGCGGCCAACAAATATATGAAACAAAGCTCATCATCACTGGTCATTAGAGAAATGCAAATCAAAACCACAATGGATACCATCTCATGGCAGTTAGAATGGCAATCATTAAAAAGTCAGGAAGCAACAGATGCTGGCGAGGCTGTGGAGAAATAGAATGCTTTTACACAGTTGGTGGGAATGTAAATTACTTCAACCATTGTGGAAGACAATATGGCGATTCCTTAAGGATCTAGAACCAGAAATATCATTTGACCCAGCCATCCCATTACTGGGCATATACCCAAAGGATTATAAATCATTCTGTTATAAAGATACATGCACACGTATGTTTATTGCAGCACTATTTACAATAGCAAAGACTTAGAACCAATCCAAATGCCCATCAATAATAGACTGGATAAAGAAAATGTGGCACATATACACCATGGAATACTATGCAGCCATAGAAAAGGATGAGTTCATGTCCTTTGCAGGGACATGGATGAAGCTGGAAGCCATCATCCTCAGCAAACTAACACCAGAGCAAAAAAACCAAACACTGCATGTTCTCACTCATAAGTGGGAGTTGAACAATGAGAACACATGGACACAGGGAGGGGAACATCACACACCCGGGGCCTGTCGGGGGGTGGAGGCAAGAGGATGGAAAGCATTAGGACAAATACCTAATGTATGGGGGACCTTAAAACCTAGATGATGGGTGCAGCAAACCACCATGGCACATGTATACCTATGTAACAAACCTGCATGTTCTGCACACGTATCCCAGAACTTAAAATAAAAATAAAAAAAGAAAATAGGAAATGAACCTAATGAACCCACTGATCTAGGGAAGATTTTGGCCTCTTCTCATTGCTTATAATAACATGTGAGAGGAGAAGAACTAAAGAACTAGAGTTGAGTTTAAAAGCTAGCAATAAAAAATAAAAATAAAAAATAAAAACGTTTGTGCGCACACACACACGCACACTGACATCTGTTTCTTTAGGTATTGAAAGCCATGAGCTCATGTGAACATATCCAATCCCAATCATTCTAGTTTTCTCCGATTGTGCCTTTAGCCCTTTTCTGTGTCCTTACAAGGCTTGCTTATTCACTGCATCCCTGCGTGCAGGATCTTCTTCCCATGGGGTTGTGGATCGCCCCTCCAGCTCAACACTTGCCTTCGTGTTACTCTCCCTCTACTGCAGACCAATGCCTTCTAGCCTGTTTCCATTGCTGCACCAGCCTGCACCCCAGCTCCGAGCCTGCACTTCCGGCGGTCCCTGCATGGACACCTGTGGAAAGGCCACCCCCGCGTGCATGCGCGGTCCTCTGCTTGCACAAGCTCTGACTCCAGGCTGGGCCCCCCTCTCACTTGTGTGGACCCCTACAGCAGTAGTTCTCAAACTTTAGCATGCATATCAATTTCCTGGAGCATGCCTTTCACAATACAGATTCCTGAGCCTCATTTCCGGAGAGTTTGATTCAGTAAGTAGGTTGGGGTTGGGCCCATAAAGCTGCGTCTAAGTCAGCAGCCTACTGATGTAAGAGCGAGAGCACCACACTGAGAAACGCTGCGCTGGCATCCCCAGCAGGCAATGGGCTTTGTTTCAAGTGGATGCTTGAAAACGTTGTGTTGACGAGGAAGGCTCAGCTATTTTCACGGCAAGGCAGGGCATTGTCAAAGGTTGGAAGTAGGTAGGAATTGTACCTGGAATAGCTCAGTGCAGTGCTCTCCAGAGGCATTCACCCGGCTTCTGCTGCCACTGCTAGTGATCTCCATAGCCAGGCTGAGCTTGGCCCTATTCCCACCGAAGGGCAGTGGAGACCAATCACTTATTGCATCAGAGGCATCTAATGGCACAGCCTGACCTCTGCTTATTAGTATTGTGTATTTCTGGGCATATAAATTTTAAAGCATTTACACACCTTGAAAACATGGCTTGCTTGGCAAATTCTACTTCTTCTGGAGACACTGCGATCATCTGGCCAGTGAGCGTTAACTGGACACATCGGGGATCTTCCGGATCAACGATGTTTTTTCTGCATGTGAAAAACATTTTTTGTATATCAGAACAAGGACAGAACATCAGCCAGCAATTCTAACGATTTTATAAACTTAAAAATAGTAGTCACATTCCTGGTTATATCATTCAGGTTATGGATATTCCTGGTTATATCATTCAGGTTATGTTACGGATAGTTACTTTAAAATACTCAGGCCTTGCAATAGGTGTGCTTATGTAGGTTAGATATCAGTCTGCATTCTGGGGCAGTGAGATAACATCTGAAGCGCCCTAGGCAAAAGTGCACATTTGAGGGTGGAGGAAATTGAGACGGGAAAGTTCCCTGACCCCCTCGAGGGACTTGCGACAGTGGGGTAGGGTGGGGTTCGGGGGGGTGGGAGTGCTTGTTTTGCTTGCAGGAGGGGGAGTACACAGGTGAGCAGGTTCAGGAGCTGGGGTGAGTGCCTTTTTAGGCAGGAATGAACCCTGTACCAAGTTGCCCACAAACTCTGGAGTCCCAGAGGGCATGTATTACAAACAATGCTCTTTTAGTGGTTGCCGTCAGTGATGGCTAAGTGTTAATCAGCTCAGTGGCGAGTCAGGGTGACGTACACCCTGCCCTCTTGGTACCCAGGTTCTTGTCTGGCATCCAGGAAGAATCAGGTCATACAGACTTAAAGGCTGGTGAGTGCAGAGGTTTTATGAAGCAGTGGAAGTGGCTCTCAGCAGAAGAGCTGAAAAGGGGCTGGTGCAGGAAGGTGATCTTTCCCTGAGGCCTGGCCATCTTCAGCCAGGCTCCTCTCCAAAGTCATGCCGTCTGAAGTTAAGCTGCATCTATCCATCCTCTCCGACTCTCAGTTGCTTCTTCGCCTCTCGAAGTCCAGCTGCTTTTCCCTCTGCCAGCTGCGGTCTGGGGTTTATATGGGCCCAGGATGTGGGGGCAGGGCAGGCCAAAAATCAACATTCTGGCTCAAAAACAGGAATGCCTGTTCTCATTTAGGGCTGCCGGTCCAGGCTTGAGGGTGGAGCCCTTGCCAGGGGCCCTGCCCTCCTGCCTCCCATTCCTATCAAAATGGGGAGTTATTATTCAGAGGGAACAATGTTTCAGTTCTGTTGTGAATATGTTCTAGAGATCTGCTGTACAACATAAGAGTTCACAAAATAATATTGTGCACATAAAAATTTACTAACAGGGTAGATCTCATGTCAGGTGGGTTTTCTTTCTTTTTTTTTAACTGCAGAAACAAAACACATCAAATGGACACAAGAAAATTTTGGCAGGTGTTGGATGTGTGTGTAATAGGAATGGCATCCCTGGAGTAGTACAACGCTTCTGTCTGGATCCAGCAGTGACTGGAATAAGGGCTTTCAAATATTGCTGTCAGAACCTGCACTGGAGGGTTCCTTAATCAGCAAAAAGCATATTAGAAATAATAAGAACAGTAGTGTGATCATATTTGTGACTGCTTGCTAAGAAATGTTTCTGTGGTGACAGAATTATCCTAAGACTTGTTTCCACTGTAAAGGTCACCTGGCAGTGACGATGTGGGGAAGGGAACTTTTTCTTCTTTTTTTTTTGAGATGGAGTCTCGCTCTGTCACCCAGGCTGGAGTGCAATGGCGTAATCTTGGCTCACTGCAACCTCCGCCTCCCGGGTTCAAGCAATTCTCCTGCCCCAATCTCCTGAGTAGTGGGGACTACAGGAATGCACCACACGCCCGGCTAATTTTTGTAGTTTTAGTAGAGACGGGGTTTCACCATATTGGCCAAGCTGGTCTCAAACTCCTGACCCTGTGATTCGCCCGCCTCAGCCTCCCAAAGTGCTGGGATTACAGGCGTGAGCCACTGTGCTCAGCCCAATTTTTGTATTTTTAATAGAGATGGGGTTTCACCGTGTTGGTCAGGCTGGTCTTGAACTCCTGACCTCAGGTAACCCACCCGCCTCAGCCTCCCAAAATGCTGGGATGACAGGCGTGAGCCATCGTGCCTGGCCTGTGGGGAAGGGAACTTAAAGCTGTCACCTCCTACTAATCATGTCAGGGTGCCTATTTCTGGAAGAAGCATAAACAAGAGAATCTGATTCTCCAAATGTCATTTAGAGACTGGCTTCATGTAAATCCACAAGAGAAAGCTCTTCTTGGCCACAGCTTGTGCCTTATGCTGTTGCAAGCTGTGTCCATAAGTGTTTGGGAAGATGGTTCAAGGATGAGGCAGCACAATGATAATATTAGTCACTTACATTCACATAGTGTTTTCAGTATTTCTGAATGGCTTTGATGTGTATTCCATCATCTGCTGCTGTAGTAAGATTTGTTAATTTTTATACCAAGGACATTTGTACATCACCTCATTTTGTTTGATCTTCATGACAACCCTAGGAGGTTTTATTATTAACCCCTGTTTAGAAGTAAGAAAAGTGAAACTCAGAGGGGTTAAGTTGTCCAGGGCCATGGAGCTCACAGGGGTGCAGCCAGGCCTGTAGCACCCTACCTGAGGTCCTCTGGTCTCAAGTAGAAAGCTAGGCTACCTCCCAGCTACTTGGGAGGCTGAGGCGGGAGAATGGCGTGATCCTGGGAGGCGGAGCTTGCAGTGAGCCACGATTGCACCACTGCACTCCAGCCTGGGCGACAGAGCGAGACTCCGTCTCAAAAAAAAAAAAAAAAAGCTAGGCTACCTGTCATCTGGTCAGAGTCTCACTCTGTCTCCCAGGCTGGAGTGCAGTGGCGCGATCTCAGCTCACTGCAACCTCTGCCTCCCAGGTTCAAGCGATTCTCCTGCCTGTTTCCCAAATAGCTGGGATTACAGGCTCACACCACCATGCCTGGCTAAGTTTTGTATTTTTAATGGAGGTGTGGTTTCACCATGTTGGCCAGGCTGGTCTCAAACTCCTGACTTCAAGTGATCCACCTGCCTTGGCCTCCCAAAGTGCTGGGATTACAGGCGTGAGCCACCGTGCCCAGCCCCATCTGGTCCCTTATATCTGGGTATATCCCAGACTCCACCTCTCCTCTATCTCCCAGATCCAATCAGTCCCCAAGGTTTATGGATTCTTTATCCCAATATCTGATTATAAACTTTTAAATATCATGCTGGGACATTTTCTCAAAAGCTTGCCTTGGGGGTAAAAAAATACTACCACATGGGAAAAAAAAGAGCCTGTTGCATAGAATTGTTTATGATGGCAAAAATTGGAAGTAACCAAAAAGCTTAGCAGTGGGGAAATACAAATAAATTAAGTTTTATCAATACTATAACATACAGCCTTTAAAATAGATGAGATAGAGCTATAGGTGTCCATGACAAAGATATAAGTAAAACTGTTACAAGCAGTGAATCTGTATGGATCTGTAGCAACCTCAATTCCTGCCTCCTCAGAAGAAAGAATTCAGCTGAGGGGGGCATAAGGCAGAGTGAGAACTGAGGTGGCCGGGCGCGGTGGCTCACGCCTGTAATCCCAGCACTTTGGGAGGCCGAGGCGGGCGGATCACGAGGTCAGGAGATCGAGACCATCCCGGCTAAAACGGTGAAACCCCGTCTCTACTAAAAATACAAAAAATTAGCCGGGCGTAGTGGCGGGCGCCTGTAGTCCCAGCTACTTGGGAGGCTGAGGCAGGAGAATGGCGTGAACCCGGGAGGCGGAGCTTGCAGTGAGCCGAGATCCCGCCACTGCACTCCAGCCTGGGCGACAGAGCGAGACTCCGTCTCAAAAAAAAAAAAAAAAAAAAAAAAAAAAAAAAAAAAAAGAGAGAACTGAGGCAAGTTTTAGAGCAGGAGTGAGAGTTTATTAAAAAGTTTTAGGGCAGGAATGAAAGGAAGTAAAGTACACTTGGAAGAGGGGGCCAAGCGGGCAACTTGAGAGATCAAGTGCATGCTTTGACCTTTGACCTAGGGTTTTATATGTTGGCACACTTCTGGGGCCTTGCATCCCTTCTCTCTGATTCTTCCCTTGGGGTGGGCTGTCTGCATGTGCAGTGGCCTGCCAGCTCTTGGAGGTGAGCATGCACAGTGCATTTATGGGACTTGTACACATGCTCACTTGAGATGTTCTTCCTTTACCAGTCAAGTCTTCGTATAAGGTCACATACCAGTTAAACTCCGCCAGTTTTCGTCTTGGTGCACACATGTGAGCCCACTTACCCGGCTCCTGAGATATTAGTAGGAAGTCGCTGATCACCAACTTCAGGTTTTTTCTATCTATTGGGAGACTACCTTTCCCTGGCACTGGGTGTGACCAATTATTTTTTTAGAGAGACAGTTAACAACCACCTGACCACCACCTGATAGTCACCCGACATTCCTGGTGGGGGTGGGATTGGGCCCTCTCCTGGCCTGCTCATGTCTGACTAGCTACCTACAGTAATAAAAACAGTTGAAGAAATTTTAAAAATCTCTGGACCTTCAAACTCCTTATGCCAAAGGGAAGGTTAAGCCTAGAGGTTGAGTTATGCAACTCCCTCTTCCAAATAAATCGCTGTTACCAGCATTATGCATCAACCAGACTCCCTGGGAAAAGATGAAAGGCTTCAGGGGTCTCCAAATGACTGCCCGTAGAGACCATTCATAAGAATTTTTTGCTGGCCTCCCATAAACAAGGACATGCCAATTGCAACTTTAGGTCTGCAATCTAAGTCTGGCTCCTGAAACTAAAGTCTGTTTGATTCCATGCTGATAATGGAATTGACATTCAATTGCAAGCTTATCTTCCCAGGTGCAGAATAAAGACAAGACTAGATCAATCATTCCTCTGCTTACCCAGAGACATCTGCATAATAAATTCTTCCTTTACTCCCTTTTTTTCTTTCAAACATTCACCTTATCTTATGTAAAATGTTGATTTACTGGGCACTAACTAAAGTCTCACAAAGATATAACCATTGCCTTACCACCTACCTGCCTCTCTTCCTACATGCCTTTCTCCCCTTTAAGAAAATGTACAAATACTAAACCTCCTGAAAACCTCTTCAGGAAAATAGCCACAGATAGGTCTGTGGCTTGCGTGTTCCTGGACATGCACTGAGGTTACCTTAATAAATCTCAACTGATTGAGACAGTTGCTTCAGTGACTCATTTTGGTTATCAAGAAAAATATGTGCTGTGTGGCTCCATTAAAAGAAGAAAGAAAGGGCTGGGTGCAGTGACTCACACCTGTAATCCCAGCACTTTGGGAGGCCAACGTAGGCAGATCACCTGACATCAGGAATTCGAGACCAGCCTAGCCAACATGGGTGAAACTCTGTCTCTACTAAAAAAATACAAAAATTAGCCGGGTGTGGTGGTGGGCAGCTGTAATTCCAGCTACTCAGGAGGCTGAGACATGAGAATAGCTTGAACCTGGGAGACGGAAGTTGCAGCGAGCAGAGATTGTACCACTGCACTCCAGCCTGGGCGACAGAGCAAGACTCAGTCTCAGAAAAAAAAAAAAAAGAAAGAAAATTATAATCTGTGGTAGTTTTGATACTGGAAAAATGTGGTTGTTAAGTTGTAAATTTTTCTTCTGAGTTAAGATGAAAGAATGATGGAATGTAATCTATGTAACAAAAGCCAAATCTATATCTTTGTAAAAATAACTGAGACGCATAGGAGAAAAGAAGTAAAAATTGTAAGAAGAAACTGAATTCACATATATGAAAAATATTTAGAATTTGTGTCTGAATGATACTGTCATTAGTTGCACCCAATTTATTTGTTCACTATTAAAGCTAATTTCTTCATTAAATTGTTCTGTGATGAAAGCAATGAAATTAACCTTCAGATGTAAGTCATTATAGAATAATAACACAGTACATTTACATAGGGAGCATTTTTGCTTCTCTACTGTGGGTAATTACATAGAAATAAAAAGGAGATTATATATTTTAAAAGGCAAATAGAAAACTTTGCATTTACACAGTGGAAAACCCAGCTAAACTTGGTATCACTTCCTTCTACATGTGGTAGACAGGCTAATGGCCCCCCAAAGATGTCCACATCCGAATCTCTGGAACATGTGAATATGTTCCCTTACATGGCAAAGAGGAAGTCGGTTGCTAATCAGCTGATTTTGGATGGGAAGATCATCCTGGATGATTTGGCTGAGCCCAAGGCAATCACAAGGATCATTAAGTGGAAAGCGTTGAAGTGATTTGACTGAGAAAGACCTGCCTGGCCATGGCTGGCTTTGAATACAGAAGGGGCACGAGCCTTGGGTTGCAGGCAGCCTCTGGAAGCTGAGAAAGGTCAGGAAACAGACTCTGCCCCAGGGCTTCCAAAAAGGAACATAGTTCTGCCAACGCCTTGGTGTTAATCTGGTGAGTCCTCTTTTGGACTTCTGACCTCCAGGACAGTAACATGATAAATCTGGGTTACTTTAAGCCAGTAAGGTGTGGTAATTTTTTGCAGCATCAATACGAAACTAATACACCATCTAAAGGAAGTTGGATGGCAGCCCCACCCTTAGTCACAGGAGTGCAACACAACTGTGGTTACTGGCAGCTGCACCCCTGAAATGGCCAGCAAATGCAGCACCAGCTAGGCAAGAGGGCCCTGAGCACCCTGGGGACCCTGATGCATGCTGTCAATTGGTGAGAGGCTACTTTGGTAAACAAGGGCTGTAGGAGGTGTTGCCCCTCCTCTGGGTAACAGATCTCATCTATTGTTGAGGCATCCACTTCCCTCTCACACGCAGCTTCAGGAACCCTAGTCCATCCCCAGGTCCCGAGAACCTGGATTGCCTAAGCCAACCAGCATATTCCAGTCCCTGGCTATAGTGATGGATTCAGGGACCGGCACAACAGCAAATTTGGTCACGAAAGCTCAAGGAGCTGCTTGCTGAGGACTTCCAGAGTGGAAATCCCCCTAACTCTTCTTTGGAGTCTACCTGGAGAGATGCTCACTTTTGTTGGACATAAACAGGGGAGGATCCGTACCTGGGGGGCAGCCACACTGGATTACAAAGGAGCCACCCTTAAAATGAAACAGACACCACAGGAGAGAGGGAGAGAGAAAAAAAATCTCATTTCGTTGACATTGTTTAGCCCCTAAGAAAATCCTTCCTCTGAATTTTTCAGTTAAGTGAACTGTTAAATTTCACAATTCTTTAAGTCCATATGAGCTTACTTTTCTATTTCTTTCAACTGAAAGGTTGCTCACTAATTACAGGGCTTCAAGTTTCTGGAGCTCTGTTTGTCTCTGTTCTTAGATGTGGTGGAGGCGTGCCCACCTACTGTTAGATGTGTTAATAGCAATCAATGAGCTATTTTTCATAAAGGCAATAAAGAAGCACCCTGGGGTGTCCCTTTGGGCTCTCTACCTCCTGCAACTTGAGCGAGCTTACTTATTTCATTTGTGTTTCACTGGTGTGGGTGACCCTGGGAGCTGAAGGACATGGGCTGTGCTGATTGCATCTCTCCTTCAGGCCAGTGGACATTCTTTTGGGTATTTCTCCCCCTTTCACCTGACTTTAGAGTCAGCTACCCATGCCCTGTGAGGATGGGCAGCTTGTAAACCAAGAGGATTCAGGTCTCAAGGGTAGGACCAGAAAAGCCTGATCCAGGCTCTCAAAGTGGCCATCTGGGGAGCCCAGAGGGATGTCCTTCCTGCCTGAGGACCCTGGTGGAGAGTGGCAGGAGCTGTCCTGGACTGTGACGTCTGCCCTCCGGACCCTGACTGTGCTCACTCATCGAGGCTGGCCTGGTCCCCACCCAGCACTCAACAGGTGGCCTCTGCTGGGTGAAATGCTTGCATACCCAGCCAGGAGCTTCTTTTAACCTTTTTATTTTTATTTTTCCTATAACAGGGCCTATAATGGTATGTGAAGATTCAATCTAGGGAGTCAAGGGATCAAATATCTGTTCTTAGCGGGTGGGTTTCATGCCCAAGGCATGGACGCCATTGTACTGGGGATTCCAGAATGCTTCTGAATTGGGAGAATGATCAGTCACAGCACTTTGTATGCAGCGGAGTGGATTACATGGACCTGAGGAGTCATAAAGGACACAATAAGGCAGTGCTCTTGTACTCAAATGATCTCCAATTAAACGTGAAGCTTGCCTTCTGGATAGTTAACCTTCTCGGAGATAAGTAGTCCTTCTCTTGCTACAACAATTTCTTTTACACTCATATTTTTATGGGCTACAATTTTGTAAGAGCTTCACAAGGGATGCGTTTTTCTAAAAATACATGTAACCTTCCCAAACACTTTATGTCTTGATAGTATATTTAAAAGTCTGTTTTATTTTTATGTGTTTGTGTTCAGTGGTAAAGAAAAATATTGGAGGAAAGGATGTATTACGTTTTTTGAGGATTTCAGAAATTATACCTATATATAAACATACTGAACAAATGACATTAAAATATTTGTTTAACCTTTGATTTTTTTATAATATAGAGAAAATTGGCCGGGCGTTGTGGTGCACACCTGTAGTCCTAGCTACTCAGGAGGCTGAGGCAGGAGGATCACTTGAGCCCAGGAGACTGAGGCTGCAGTGAGCTATGATCATGCCATTGCACTCCAGCCTCGGTGACAGAGTGAGACCCTGTCTCAAACACACACACACACACACACACACACACACACAGACACACACACAGGAAGAAAGGAAGTGGATTGGACCACCCAATCCTGCAAATGATAAAATCACCATCATTGTACAATGGTTCTCAACTGGGAGAAGTTTCCTCTCCATAAAAGGCAACTGGAAATCTGGGGAGCATCTTGGTTGTCACAGAAACCGGGTTGAGGGGCTCTATCTCCTTGCACTTGGTTGGCAGGGGTCAGGAATTCTAAATGTCCTGCAATGCATGGGACGATCTTACACAAGGAACTGTCCTACCCCAAATGCCAATAGAACCCATTGAGATATGTCACAAGGCTTTGTCTCTCCCTGATGTATCCAGCCAGATAGTAACAGAAGGAAGGTAGGTGTAGACCAGGCTTTCTCAACCTTGGCACGGTTGACATTTTGGGCTGGATGATTTTTTGAGGTGGAGGGCTGTCCTTCGCATAATAGAGTATTTAGCAGCATTCCTGGGCTCTACCTGCTAGATGCCAGCAGTACCTCCCACCCCAACCCAAGTTGTAACAACCAAAAAGGTCTCCAGACATTGCCAAATGTCCCTGGGGAGGAGTCTCTCAGCTCCCTGTTTGAGATCCACTGGTGGAAATGCAGGTAAATTTTTCGACTTAGTGGAGGGAGAGGAGTGAGTTGCCTCGTGTGATTTCGTACTGTGTCAAATAAGTATGGGTGTCATCTGCAACTGAGAGAGAATGAAGGGGAACGTTTAGGTTTGTTCTTTAAAAAAGGGCTCTTACTGGGGAAATGAAATGGGATGTTCTAGGCGTGCTGAGAATGCATGTGAGGATTCTTTTCATGAATTGAAAGGGGCAGCCTCAGTTTGGCCACATGGTTTCCCTGGGCAGACCTGAGCCACCTGGGTGCAGGAACAGAGGAGGTGGAAGCAGGGCTTAAAGGGGCTGGGTATGGCCAGGCAGGAGGCAAGAGGGTCAGAGGAGGTGTAGGTGGTCTCAGGGCAATCGTAAAGATAGACCATGGAGTCTAACCTGGGCAAAGAGAAAGGGGAGCCAGGACATGCTGACGGGTGGGAGGATCGTGATGGGGGCAAAGGGTTGGCAGCTCCATGTGGTCCAAGCATGTTGCAGGAGGGTTGCACAAGCAAGAAGCGTAGGAGGCGTGGAATGGAAATTCTGGATGTGGTGCTTTTGCTAGCAAATCTGGAGTGTGGGTGGTGAGAACCTGGCTGGAGAAGCTGGAGTGTAGGATGCGCCTTCCACACAGTGCTGAAGGCAAGAACAAGAGGATGGCAGCAGAGAGGAAAATGGTGAGGCCTGCAGCTTCCACTGCCAGTTTTATTCCTGTTCCCTAGGGTAACCCTAGAACAAATAGGATTCTCCTGTTCGGTGCTAGCCTTTCCGGCATCTGCAGAAAGCACTGTGTTGTTCCTGAGACTGCTCCTTTCCAGGCTGGCTGCTTTCAGACATCCCAGCTTGTCAATGTTCCTGTTAAATTATGGGATCCAGAACTGCCCTTGAAACTCCAGCAGGAGGTGAGCAAGGTTGGGGAGGCGTCTCACCTCCACCACCCTCTACTCCATCCTCCTAGGGATGCTATCCACAATAGTTCCCTGATTCATCATCACAGGAAACCTATCAAAGAAAGGAATGGTCTTTGGTATGACATCCTTCCCAACCAATATTGTCTGTAGGTGGTCACTTCTTCCTATTCTTAGGGCACAGAAAAAGCTTGTCTATTTTATTAATATCTTGCTTTTAGTTTTTATTTTATTTTACAGCATACCAGTATAATGCCTCATACTGTCCTAGTTAATTTTTTTCCCAGTTTTGTTCATCCTTCTTGGCACCATTTTCCTGGTTATGACATTGGCTTCTCTTGACAAATTTCTATGTCTCCCATATATGTATTTTTCAGTGTCTCTCACTGTATCAAGCTTCCAGTTGGTTCAACCCCAGAATCCTTCCTCTGGCTTCCAGAACCCTTCCCCCTACTTTTCAGGGTATTGTGAAAGGTCAAGGAAGCAGAAACCTCCTACATAGAGTTCAGATAAAACCCCGCCCTACCAGTAGACCCTTTTGGTCATTCACCCAATTGTTCATTCATCCACAGTTTCACAACCATTGTGAAATTAGATATAAGAGAAATAAGCAAATATAAATCTGCCCAAGTTATTATTCCCCAGTTTACGTTATTCCATCTTGTCTATGAGAATATGACCATGCAAGTTTCTTCGAATGCCTCAGGGAAATCCACAATAGTTTCCTAATTCATCATCTTAGGAAAACCATAAAAGAAAAGGATGGTCTTTTGACATGACATCCTTCCCAACCAATATTGCCTGTAGGTGGCCACTTCTTCCTACTCTTAGGGCACAGAAACCATCTCTTCAACAGCCGTTCCAGAATCACTATGTAAGTTATTTGTGTTTACCCACAGATCCTCCCAACCTCTGATTTTTGAGACTCTGAATGACGCTTGCCCATTTTCAGGCTGTTGATGTCTCTTTTACTCCTCAATTCAATGTTCCCATCCATGACTTCCCTGATTTCTCTGAATGAAATGTGTATTGTTCAGAAGCCTTGGACATACAGTTGGCCTTCCACATCCATGGATTTTTGCATCTGTGGATCCAACCAACCACAGACTGAAAATATTTAGGAAAAAAAAAGCTACAGTACAAAATAAGAAAATAATACAAATAGGCCAGGCGCAGTGGCTCATGCCTGTAATCCCAGCACTTTGGGGGGCTGAGGCAGACGGATCACCTGAGGTCAGGAGTTCAAGACCAGCCTGGTCAAATGACAAAACCCCATCTCTACTAAAAATACAAAAATTAGCCAGGTGTGGTGGCATGCACCTGAAATCCCAGCAACTTGGGAGGATGAGGCAGGAGAATCGCTTGAACCCAGGAGATGGAGGTTGCAGTGAGCCGAGATCGCGCCACTGCATTCCAGCCTGGGCGACAGAGTGAGACTCTGTCTCAATAATAATAAGAATAATAATAATACAAATACAAAACCAATATAGTATAACAACTATTTACAGAGCACTTAAATTGTACTAGGTATTATAAGTAATCTAGAGATGACTTAAAGTACGCAGGAGGATGTGCGTAGGTTATATGCATAATATCCCATTTTATATCAGGGACTTGAGCATCCACGGATTTTGGCGTCTTTTGGTGGGGGGCTGGAGGAGGGTTCCTGGAACCAATTGCCCATGGATACCAAGGGATAAATGTATGTGTTTAACTGGAAGAGTGGTCCATTACATTTCCTTACTCATCTTGGGTTAGAATTTTCTCTTATCCAGTGTCAAATGTTGTGATTCAATAGACACTGGCCAGCCACACACAACAGATGGCACCAGAAAAGGGGGGATGTGGACCCACTTCCTGGACAGGAGAGCAACAGGCGTGTTCGAACAGTCCACTCTTGAGAGTCAAGGAACTGTCTAGCAAGACGGTTCAATGTATGATGACCCCTTTCCTTTGAGTTTTCACATTTATGTATAACTTTGATATGCTGAGATTATATTAAAATTTATCTTCATCAATTGAATCTCACATGTGTTTGAGCCATTTTAATTTCTATATTTAAAACATTTGTATTATAAATAAGTGCAATCATGACACCTCTAACATACCAAAGAGGGCTGTAGCATACATTAGAATAAATCACCATGTTTCTATCTCCAGTTGCACATCCATTTAAACTGTTACTTCCATCCTGAGGTAGGTGGAATAGCAGCTCGCCCAAAGATGTCTTAATCCCCAGATGCCAAAGAAGTCCTAATCCCCGGAATGTGTGAATGTGACTTCATATGGTAACAGGGACTTTGCACATGTGATTAAGTTAGGGATCCTGAGAGAGAGAGATTATCCTGGATTATCCAGTGGGCCCAATATAAACAGAAGATCCTCCTAGAGGGAGGCAGAAGTTTCAAGTGAGCAGTAGGAGGTGGGATGACAGAAGCAAGCCCTGAGATTGAGGTAAGCAAGGGGCCACAGGCCAAGGAATGCACGCGGCCTCTAGGAGCTGAAAAGGCAAGGAAACGGCTTCTCCTCTGTAGCCTCCAGAAGGAAGCAGCTCAGCCCACACCTTGGTTTTAGCTTTGTGAGACTCATTTCAGACTTCTGCCCTCTAGACCTTAAAAGAATGCATCTGTGGCCGGGCACGGTGGCTCAGGCCTATAATCCCAGCACTTTGGGAGGCTGAGGTGAGCAGATCACGAGGTCAGGAGTTCGAGACCAGCCTGGCCAACATAGTGAAACCCCGTCTCTATTAAAAATACAAAAAATTAGCTGGGCATTGTGGCGTGCACCTGTGTTCCCAGCTACTTGGGAGACTGAGGCAGTAGAATTGCTTGAATCCGGGAGGCGGAGCTTGCAGTGAGCCGAGATTGCACCATTGCACTCCAGCCTGGGCAACAGCGTGAGACTCCATCTCAAAAAAAAAAAAGAGGGAAAAGAAAAAAGAAAAAAAAAAAGAATACGTCTGTGCTGTTCTAAAGCACGAAGTCTGTGGCAATTTCTTACAGCAGCAATGGGAAATGAAAACGCTCTTCCTTAATGCCCCCATGAATATTCCTCATATGCAACCAATAAATGGCCCCACACTGTGCTCAAGGCTCTGCACTTGTTGAGGGCTGCAGACAGCAAGAAAGACGTGGTCCTGGCCTCTGGGGAGCTGCACTCCAGCAGGAGACACAGACACCAGACGGCTTGCCACGCAATTAGTGATTTCATCACCTGCTATTACAACATGGAATCCTGAGAGTCAATGAAGTTCTGAGGGTCAATGAAGGCTGAACCCTAGAAAATGAGTAGGAATCAGATAAGGTGGTGGGCAGGGAAAGCACGCTAGACAAAAGTGCTTCCAACCCTCCTGAATGGGATTAGTGTCTTATAATAAAAGAGGCCCCAGAGAGTTCTCTGGCCCCTTGCCCCAAGTGAGGGCACAGTGAGAAGATGCCACCTCTGAACCAGAGAGCAGGTGCTCACCAGACACTAAATCTGCCTCAGCCTTGGCCTTCCACCCTCCAGAACTGTGGGAAATAAGTTTCTGTTGTTTCTAAGCCACCCAGTCTGTGGTATTTTGTTACTGTTATTTGCACAGACTGAGAGCCAAAAGGCCACTGGGACCAGGATAAAGACAAGGCAAGAGAGTGATGTCCGAGGCTGGAACTGTGCCGGGGTGGGCCATTTAGGCTTCGCAGGATATGTTAAGACTTTAGAACTTTCTCCAAAGAGCAATGGGAAGGATTGAAGAATTTTAAGCTGGACAGTAGAATGATGAGACGGGTGTTTTGAAAATATCCCTCTGGCTTTAGAATGGAGAATGGGTTGATCCAGGGAGACCTAGTTGGGAGAATTTAGAATACAGTGAGTGATGCCAAGGGCTTGGGCCAGGGGGTGGAGAGAAGCAGTGAGTCGGGAGAAGCCTGGGAGGTAGAGCAGGTGAGCCCTGCAGACTGGGTGGGGGTGTGAGAGGGAGAAGGAGCCACAGCTGGCAGCTGAGTCTGCCATGCAGACAGGGAGCCCAGGTAGAGGAGGCCTCTGGGGAGGAGAAGAAGCGGGGTTCGAGGTGCCCAGGAAGCAGGTGGACTTGGGTCTAGAGCTCAGATGAGTGGTCTCAGCTGGGACTATACATTTGGGAGTCACTGGCACATATGAATGGAGGTTTGAGGGTAGACTGGATAGAGCAGGAAGAGGTGTAGACAGAGAAGACACCACTGGCTCAAAAGAGCTTCTCTCTCCCACCAATCTTCTACAGGCCGATAACTTGTAGGGGATTTAACACAAGCAGCTTGAAAGATGCGTATTTCCATGTGCGTCTTATACCTTCTCCCTCCCCTCAAAGGCAGATGCTCTCTTTTTTTCATATTTATCCGTGACGGTGTTTAGCATGGCTCGTTACCCAGCAGATGCTCAGTGAGTATTTGTCCACGCGAATGCTTTATTGGAATAGGTGGCCTGCATGGACCTGCGTGCACGTATTTAGAGCAAGTTTCATGTCTTGCCTCTGTTGCAGTGCAAGCCTATGATGGACATGATATTCGAACAATTCAAATCAACTTAAAAAATACTTCTGTGTTTTTGTTGGTTCTGCATCAGTGCTTTCTGAAACGTGGTGGGGGTTCTCACTGCCTCTGGGATGCAGCTGATTCCACAGAGGCAGGGAATACAGTGGGTAACAGTCCGGCTCGGGAGCCAGGTTGCCTAGGAGTGAATCCCAGCCCTATGAGGATTTGGCCTGTGGATCCTTAAGCAAGTCCTTCACACCCTCTGTGCCTCAGTTTCCTCATCTTTAAAAAGGTGCTAACAAGTGTACCTCTGTCTTGGGACTCTTATAAGAATCAGGTGAGTTATTTCTATAACTCTTCATGTATACCATATACTGTTCCTCCCTTTATACATAGGAGGGTTAGAGTATAAATAGGGCACTATTAATTTCCATCTTTTTTTCTGGTCTCTGCCATCCCAGTCCTGTGCAGAAGAAACACCTGTTACTGACCATAGCTACCATTTATTGGTGCTGAGAGTGTGCTCAAAACTTTACACAAATTGAAACGTTTCATCCCCACAGTGGACCTAGGGTACTATTATTCCCATTTTAGGGTGAAGGAGATTGAGAATCAGACAAATTAAGTTTCTCAAAGCCAGGCAGATATTAATGGGAGGGCTTAGGACTCAAATTGATGATCCTCAAATTAGAAGCCCTTTTCTCTAATGTCGTGATCCTCTTATTTAACTGTGGATCAGGAGTACTCTGGCTGTTCCTTGAAAGTGCAGATCCGAAGGCCCTTATTTTCAGAGACTGCTGGAGCCCAGAATTGGCATTTTCAACAGAATCAGGTGGCTCTCCTGGGCTCAGGCTGCTCCTGAGCAGGGTTTAGTCATGCTGAAGCCCACCAAATGGTTCCAGAATCAAGCCCAGCAGGGTCAGGCTGGCCTCAGACCTGCTCCCAGGCCCTGAGCTAGCAGCCAGGCTGAGAAAGCAGGTGTCAGGGTCACCCCAGGGCCCTCTTGGCTCATCTTCAGGATCAGGTGATCCTCTGGGACTGAAACGGGGCACGCTGGCAGCTCCCCGCCTGCTGAGGGTCTTGCTGCAGTGCTGACCTCTGATTGGAGGCCACTCTGAAACCACGTCTCAGATTCCTTCTGAGTTCCCTCTGCCATTTCTGCAGACACTGCCAGGACCTGTCCTGGGCAGGCAGATCTCTTGCTACTCAGCCCTGGGTCCCTGTGCCTCAGCCTGGATGGCAGATGTCAAGAATAGACCCATGACCCCTGCCCCCTCCCCGTAGAGGCCTCCATGGACCAAAGGAAGCCTCAGGGGGTGCTCTGCCTTTTTTCTTTTTCTGCATCACGGAGGATCCAGGAGGTGCCCCCTAGTCTAATATGCGACACATGCTATGGAGTGACGCCCTCCCTGCAGTGCCTGTTCAACTGTCCTTTCCAAAAGCCTGCTATTCATCTCGTTAGAGATGCACCACAAACAATGCATTTAAAAAGGGACCTGCCTGCCATTTGAATGGGTGATTCATTTAAAGGGAAGAAGGTGGCTACAGGGAGAGCAGAGGCCAAAGGGAAAGGGAGGCTGAGCCAGGATTGGAACTGTCTGTAGAGACCACGCAGCAGAGAGCAGGATATGGTCATGAAGACTAACTGCTGCACTGTCCATTTTTCTGTCTTGCTATTCTCAGCCCCTCAGCCTCCTAGTCTGAACGATGAAAGGCAGGAGTGGATGGCCAGGGCCCTTCCAGGCCATAAATACTTCTAAGCACAATGGAGTCTCATCTTATTTTACAGGGGAAGCTTTGCTGCTTCGAGGGTCACACTGGCCAGCAGCCCCAGCTGGCCTTAGCTCTCCCCGTGCTGCAGAGACCTCAAGGACAAACAAGCAGGATGGAAGTGGCTGCACAAACCAAGGTCAGCAAGGCTGTCCTAGAAGACCAGGGAATGGTATGGGCTTTTCAGAGGGAGGAGCCTTGGACTGGGAAGTCCCAGGAGGCTGAGTCACAAGAGAGGAAGACAATGAAATCCTGGGGAATAAATCGGTGAGGGAACTCTAGTCCGTAGGACTAGAAAACTGAGATATAGTCTTAAGATGAGAAGAAAGAGGTAAAGAAGGGAGGGAACACCAAGGAGGAGCTTAGTGTCTTATTTTTGAAGGCCAGGTCAGGTTGGGCAGGAGCTGGAGATGATGGGTAGATGGATGGAAGGACTTACAGATGGGGAATGAGGATGTCAAGGTGGGGGAAATGGCAGCCACGCTGTGGAACCCTACTCAGCTCCCCTATTGTGGACAGCCTTGGTGTTAACTGTTAGGGGACTTTGTATATGTGGTCACGTGTTACACCTTGTTGTCTTGATTCAAATGATGGTGACAAGTAAGCAAGGAGGCAAGAAGAGCCTGTGCCTTTAAGTGTTCACGCCTACGCATGCCTGGCTTATAGTAAGTGCTCAGTAAATCTCATCTGAAGGAAAAAAGTCTTATTTTCATCACAATATTTAATACGTTGTCTTGTACTCAGTATGCTTAATTGAATTGAGTTTATCATTAGTATCTCCCTACCTCGTCTTTATACGTTTGGAGTAACAGCTTTCCCTCCCAAATTCCTTTCAGTTAATTGAAATCTTTTCTCATGTTTAGACACTTTCTTACCATTTCTACACACTAGAGAACTTAGGTACACTTCTTTGTCATCTCAGGAATGTTACTTTAATTATTTGCTTATCTGATGGGAAAAGCCCAGCCTATAAGCACAAAAGGACATTGACAGAGAACATGTGCAACTGGAATGTCAATATTGAATCCTCAGCAGTTTTCCTGCTTCTTCCAAGACAAAAGAAGAGAAAATTAGAGAAAGACACATAAACACAATATTTGCAAGTCATATATCTAAAAAGGTTCATATCTAGAATATATAAAGACTCTTACAACTCAACAATAAAAAGATTACCAAATTTAAAAATGGGTAAAGGGTTTAAATAGACAGTTCCCCAAAGGAGACATACAAATGGCCAATAAGCACACAAAAGGATGCTCAGCATCGTTAGTCATGAGGGAAATGCAAATCAAAAACCACATCAAGATATTACTTCACACCCACAAGGACAGGTATGATAAAAAAGACAGACAATAACAAGTGTTGGTGAGGACAAAGGGCAATCAGAACCCTCATACATTTAGGAAAACAGTTGGGCAGTTCTCCAAAAAGTTAAACACAGTTACCATAAGACCTAGCAATTCCATTCCTAGGTATATACCAAAGTGAAATGAAATCATATACCTGCACAAAAACTTGTCCATGAATGCTCATAGCAGCATCACTTATGAGAGCCAAAACATGGAAACAAATGTTCATCAACTCATGACGAATGGATAAATAAAAATGGATAAATAAAATGTGGTATATTCATGCAATGGAATATTACTCAGCCATAAAAAGGAATGAATTATAGACACATGCTACAACATGATGAACCTTGAAAACATTATGCTAAAGTGGAAGAAGTCATTCATAGAAACCCATATATTAATGTCCAGAATAGGAAAATCCATAGAGACAGAAAGAAGCTTAATGATTGCCAGGGGCTAAAAGTCCTGAAATGAAACCCTTATGTCCATCTTAACAGCCCTGAAAGCTTTTTGGTGGATGTATATTTATGGGTGTCACATCCTCATCACTTATTTGTGTCATTTCTGCTTAAGATGGAGTCATGTCTAACAGATAAATAAAACATTGATAAGCTGGATGGGGACAGGTGGTCAGAAGATGGAGGAAAAGGATAGTGCAATGGCAGAGGAACTACAATCATTAGTGAATTCATGAAATAGACAGGAACCACAGAGACAAAGCTCAACAGAGTTGAAATAAAATTAGGGAGAAAGAAGTGACTGCAGGTTACTATGATATATGACCTCGGAAACCAGAGGAAGGTGAAAGAGAATACTTGAACACTGGCTCATCAAGCTTTCTCTTTACAAAGTTCTCTGACTCTTCCTAGACAGCTGTTTTATTTATTTTTATTTTTTGAGAACAGGGTCTACACTCTGTCACCCAGGCTGGAGGGCAGTGGCACGATCGCTGCTCACTGCAGCCTCAACTGCCTGGGCTCAATGGAGCCTCCCACCTCAGCTCCTGAGTAGCTAGGACTATAGGCGTGCACCACTACACCTGGCTAATTTTTTTATTTTTTGTAGAGATGGGGTTTCACCCCATCGACTCAACGGCCTGCCCTGAGTCGTTTTTAAAAGAGCTATCCGCCAGGTGTGGTGACACACTTTGGGAGGCCGAGGTGGGTGGATCACTTGAGGCCCAGTAGTTCTAGACAAGCTTGGCCAACATGGTGAAACCCCATCTCAACTAAAAATACAAAAATTAGCCAGGCATGGTGGCGCCTGCCTGTAGTCCCGTCCAACGGGAGGCTGAGGCAGGAGAATTGCTTGAATCTGGGAGGTGGAGGTTGCAGTGAGCTGAGATCGCACCATTGCACTCCAGTGTGGGTGACAGAGCAAGACTGTCTCAAACAACAACAACAACAAAAATGACTCAGGTTAATGTTAGCTCTAGGAATACAGGAAGGTGCAGCAAAGAAGAGGTAACATGAATCAGAACACAGAGCAATTTATTTAAACTTATATGTTCCTTTCAAAAGGAATGAACAAGATTCAGTGAAGAGAAATTGGATTCAGTTTCTATAACCGATTAGGTCTGGGCCCTGGGCTTTGAAATGCACATTCTGTCTCAGGTGGATATAGACTCCAGACAGAGATACGTCTTGGCTCTTAGCAAGCCAGCTGCTGCAAGCAGGTGCTCACTGTGTGTTCGCTTGATCCAGCTCATCTAAAAATGACTGAATGAATAGAGTGCTAAATCCAGTTCTAGGGGAACAAATCCCAGGCCTGCCTTTGGAATTAGATTGGTTTGAGGTTTTCATCTATCATTCCACATTTTCTTCCTACCAGTATAGTTAAAAAGATGGAGGCTGGGGGAGGAGTGGCCACAGGCCATTTTCATTTCCAGAATCTCTTTTTACTTTTCACACAGAAGAAACAATTAAACTTGGTGCACCCTCATTTAGTTGTGTGCACTAAGGGTTTATCTTGAACCCACAACATAAAGGCAAACTGACCCGCCTGCTGACACCCTCCCCTCAGTTACTCTGCTTCACAGAAGCAGTTCCTCTTCCTGTTGATGTGTCTGCAGTATAAGGGACTGCCTATGAGATAGGGCAGGGATTACATCTACGTCCCCGCACACTATCCCAGTTTCTCTGGTGTGAGCAGTCCCTCTCTGGTGTGTGATTCCTCAGTGCTAATTTGCATCTTCAATATGCGCCCCTACAAGCAAGTTGTTCCGAGGGATCCTCATTTCTGAGAGGCTTCCATTCTAGGTCTCATTGAGGCCCACTGGGCTTCAATCCATTCCATGGTCTGGCACCTCCCCTCAGAAACTAGATTCCTTTGCAAACTGGAATCTATTCAGTTTGCAAAACCACACCGAGGCCTGTCAATCAAAGGGCTCTGCCAAGAGCCACTGGTCATGGTGGGGCAGGGACGCCTTCATCCTGGGGGAGTAAGAAGGGGTGTGGCCCATGGCCATCTTTCATTAAGAGCCTTTGGAGGAAGAGGAAAAAGTACTCCTGGATCCTCCTTTCTTGATAATCAAACCAGTCTACCTAGGAAACTAGCATGTGTCCAAAACTATCAATAGGAATGTTTTCAGGAGCCCTCAGGAGTGAGGTGGCTGAGTGCCCTCTGTGGCACCCCAGGAGGCCGAGCTCTGCTTCTCCAAACTCCAGTGGTCAGACCTGCTCACGTCTAGGCATTTCCTCGGGACCACCCTACCCCAGGACGGGGTGGGGTGCGGCACATTCACCTGACACCGAGCCACCATTCTGGCTCCAAGGCTGTGTCTCTCCCCTGAACTAGTGAAAGGGCTGACAGTGTTTTACTCCTGGACCTGCTCCCAGCTGCTTATCTGAACCATTGCTCTGCAAGGGCCTATGCTGCGGCTGCACCCCTTCCTCTCCACAGTCACTGGGGCCTTGGACAAGTCGTTACTGACTGTGTTCAAGGGGGTGGATCTCAGAAGGCTGTCAAGGCAGGCCTGTCGGCAGTTTCAGCTTTCAGCTTTGCTGGGCTGTGCTGTTTCAACTGTCACGACATGGGCATCTGCAAAGCTGCTGTCATGCTGTGGAAGCTCTGATCTTTTTGATGGAATACTTTAAACCCATGCATACATTTATGTAGTCGGGAGACACCTGTCCATGCTTATGTTATTGAAGGAAAGGGAAACTGGTGTCTGCCTCTTCGCCTCTGCTTTCTTGTGCCATTCAACTTACAACAGGGAGGAAATAACAGAGAAGTCCGTTGAACAGACATCTTCTCTTAATCACGTGGTTATTTTCCGAATTTAATTTTTTTCTTTTTCTTTTTTTTTTTTAACACAGAGTGTCACTCTGTTGCCCAAGCCGGAGTGCAGTGGCCTGATCTCAGCTCACTGCAACATCCACCTCCCGGGTTCAAGCGATTCTCATGCCTCAGCCTCCCAAGTAGCTGGGACTACCGGCCCCCACCACCAAGCATGGCTAATTTTATTGTATTTTTAGTAGAGACAGGGTTTCACCATGTTGGCCAGGTGGGTCTTGAACTCCTGACATCAAGTAATTTGCCTGCCTCGGCCTCCCAAATTGTTGGGATTACAGGCATGAGCCACCTCACCTGGCCCAGAATTTAATCTTTGAGGAAAAAGGTTTGAGAAGAATCTTACCCAAAAATTGTGAGACCGAGTTCTGTATTCTGGTAGGGTTGCCTCCCAGCTTCTCACAAGACTCACAGTATAACTCAACATGATACGAGCTTTTGCCTTTTAATTTAATAATCTCTTAAAGAGAATCCAGCTTTGTTACCATCACATGATCAAATTTCTCCTTTATTTGCCCCGGGAATAATGGACAGAGGGAAATACTGTTAATTCATGAAGAAAAACTTTGCAGAAAATTAGACAGTGTTTAATTTTAGAAAACTTCCCTCTCGTCAGTAGACACCAGCTAGACTAGGGAAACTGTAAAATTAGGAAATGCTGATTTCCTCTCACATCATGAATTTCTAAATCCTAGGAAGAAAAGCTTGGAGAGCTTCTGAATATAGAGAAGTTCCATTTAAAGATTAGGCCCCCCCTTGGAGATGTATCAAAATATTATAAATTCTAAACTGAGACTTAATTCCCAAAGATGTTTTACTTGTACTAAAACGATCTGTCCACAAATATAAAACTCTAAGTGATAAATTGTTATTTTTTTCCCACTGTGGGAATCTCTAATGTGAAAATATACTCTATGAAAAGAAATTTTTTTAAACCACACAAACTGTTGTATAACAAAAATGTATTCTACTCTTAAAAAAAAAAAGAAATGTTTTTATTTCAGGAAAAGCATCTGATAAAACCTCTTTGGGTTTCATTTACATCCTGATCTTCAAAATGAAAATTGATCCAATACGATCAGGGAGAATATCACCCCACAGACGAGTCCTCCCCGGTCCCAAAGGCTTGCTGCCCTGATTCACCAAGAAGGTGCGAACCTAAAACTCATGCTATTCAAGGCTGCATGCTCTGTAAGGGAAGATATTGCAGGGAAAGAGACATTTTTGGGTGGCCTTTCTTTGTCAATCAATATTGATTGAATTTTCACAAAGTAGATTTCTTGGCTGAGCACAAATTCATTTGGTCAAGGGGCATGCGTCCATGCTTATGCCATGGAGGGAGAGGGAAATAAAGAGGAGAGGGCGTTGCTGATTGCAAGTGACTCTTTTAAACTAGACAGTTATTCTCCATTTGCCATTTTAACCTGAGCTGGGAAATAGATTCCCACCCCTAATTCATCTCATTAATTAAATGAAGGCATCACAGCACCCAGGAGTAAACAGAATAATTGGATAAAACAGACTTTAAATAAACTAACAATTATTAGGCAAGACATGTTGGTAGGCTCCGACTTGTATGGGTATGATGCCTGACAAGTGGAAAAGCCACCTTCCTTTCATGGCTTTTTAGACTAATCTTTTAGTATTTTAAAAATATTTAATTGTCAAATAAAGATTGAATATATTCAACATATGCAATGTGATGATTTGATGTTCATATATATTGTGTGAGCATGGCCACAATCAAATGAATTCACACATCCAACCCATGCTGTACGTTAGATCCCCAGAACGTGTTTGTCTTCTAACTGAAAGTCAGCACCCTGTAATCAACATTTCCCCATTCCCCTCTCTCGCCTGGTCCCTGGGAACCACCATTCTGTTGTCTGCTTCTATGAGTCGACTTATTTAGATTCCACATATAAGTGAGATCATGCGGGATTTGTCTTTCTGTCAGACTCTAATCTTGACTTCATTTTACAAATGACTTAAGCCATCCTGGGCCTAAATCACAGTTCTTAGTAGCCTTTACTGGAAACCCAGGAAATGCATATAAGACCGGCTTAAATGTCCTCATTATCCTAAAGCAGCGTTAGCATCACTTGGGTGCTGCTTCCCCTAAGAGGTCCTAGGGGAGGGGCAAGCTGTCCAGGCCAATAATACGTCCCTCTCATCCTTGCCCTTCAGGCAGTTGGAAGTCACTCTTCTACTCTAAATTTGCAGGAGTTCGCACTTTATAACAGTCTATGTAGAAATCTATATATCAAATCTATATCAGCCGTGATGGCTGTGCTCACCTATTCCTTCTTCACCATTCTTGGAGTATCCTACCTCCAGTCAACCATGGAGCCAGAGGGCCCTCAGATATCCGCCTCTCCCCTCTTCGTCATACCAGTGGGAAAAGTGACACCCTGAACCGGCCGGGTATTTCATTCTAGCCCAGCAACTTTGTTCCACAGAAATCGCCAACCTAGCTGGGTGCAGCACTTTGGGAGGCTGAGGCGGGGGGATCACGAGGTCAGGAGTTCAAGACCAGCCTGGCCAAGGTGGTGAAACCCATCTCTACTAAAAATACAAAAATTAGCTGGGCACGGTGGTGGGTGTCTGTAATCCCAGCTATTCAGGACGCTGAGGCAGGAGAATCGCTTGAACCTGGGCAGCAGAGGTTGCAGTGAGCCGAGATTGCACCACTGCACTCTAGCCTGGGCGACAGAGTGAGACTCCATCTCAAAAAAAAAAAGAAAAAAGAAAAAGGAGAGATCACCAACCTAGTACTTTTCCAGCTGAAAGTCACATTCTACTTATCATCCAGTCAGATTCACTTTCCAAATTATCTCCTCCAAAAAGAAGGGCAGGCCAATAATGCCCAATTATTATGCCCTGGGGTGGGAGTCAGGACAACTGCGTCCCATTAAATCTAGGAACTTTATTGTGACATTTTAGGGAAAGTTCAGGGAACTGTGGATCAGGGCAATGAAAATATCTGGAAAAAATCCCTAACTAGGTGGGATGAACTAGCCCAGGCTGGACTTGACAGATTCATTTAAAAACTCTTTAAGGTCCCTAGAAAGCTGTAAAATATGAAGAGCTGTTCATTCCTTTCATCATTCTCAAGATATTGGCTTCTCACGGCTGTGGTTAAGGAAATTACATCTGCTGAGCATTTTCTTCATTAAATTTCCTGAGACTTCTGGAGCCATGGATACTCAATGTCCTTCACCTATTTCAACTTGGATCTAACTTTATCTTTAAGACACAGGCCTGTTAATGGATCTAAATATCATTTTTGAGTGACATGACTTGTCAACCTACATGCAGGGATTGCTAATGGAAAAGCACTTTCTTAACTCCATGCCAAAGAACATACATCAGCTTTGACTACAACAAGCTATCAGGTTGATGCTTTTAATTTGATAAAACTAGGTATAAATCAAATATTAAGTCAATCAGTAAAGAGGCAGACACCGCTATTTATTCTGAGAGGGAGGCAGGCCCCTGGCCATGAAGGGCCTCCTAGGCCATATTAAGGATTCTGTTGCTTTTCCTCAGGATCTGATTTGGATTTTAAGAGAGTATCCCAGCTGCTGGATTGGGGATGAATTCAACATGATGAAGAGTGGACTGGGGAGACCAAGCAGGGGCAACTGTAATATTCGCTCTTTTGAATAGAGAAGAGTTGAATGTGTGAAAGCTTCTATCTATCTATCTATCTATCTATCTATCTATCTATCTATCTATCAATCATCTATCCATCCATTCATCTATCATCTATTCATCCATCCATCCATCCATCATTCATCTATCTATTCATCCATCTATCATCAATCATCTATTATCTATGTATAATCTATTTTTCCATTTATGTATCTGCTTATTAAACACGTACACATTATAGATACAATTGTTTGGCACCAAAGGGAGCTCTGAAAGTAGCCTGTCCTCGGAATAGTCTCAGACTTGCATTCCTCCCTCCCTAAGCCTGAGCTGTTCTTGCCCCAGTTGTTGGAGGCTTCTTGCTCCCGGGCTGTATCCTTGGTGGAGATGGCGCTCACTAGCCCATGCTGGTGCAGAGTCTGCAGTAACCGGGGCTAACTTGATGAACGCAGAGGCAGGCTTGCAGCTGAAATGCCCCCTCTCCCAGGGATGCCCAGTAGGCTGTAGGAAACGGCCGCGAAGGCACCCCTTTTCCTTCCTCAGAAGTCAGTGGCCTCCCAACTTCCTCCCTGTCAGGACTTGCTTTATGGTCCAGTAAAGCCCAGTTCTGGCTTTGTCTTCCCCCTTGGGATGAAACAGGGATGACTCACGCCCTCCCCAGCTGCACAGACTAACAGAGGAATAGGAGCGCCCAGAAGACACCACGTGGGATGGTTAAAAATGCTGTTGCAGGCCGGGCGCCGTGGCTCATGCCTGTAATCCCAAGCGTGGGAGGCTGAGGCAGGTGGATCACCTGAGGTCATGAGTTCAAGACCAGCCTGACCAACCTGGTGAAATCCCATCCCTACTAAAAAAAATACAAAAATTAGCTGGGCATGTTTCATGTGCCTGTAATCCCAGCTACTCGGGAGGCTGAGGCAGGAGAATCACTTGAACCAGGGAACTGGAGGTTGCAGTGAGCTGAGATTGAGCCACTGCACTCCAGCCTGATGACAGAGTGAGACTCCATCTCAAAAAAAAAAATGCTGTTGCAAGTTTTCCAGTGCACAGGCTGGAAGGCAGTTTTCATTGTTCTGAGTATGAGCTGCCTTCTGAAGCTGAGAGGAGCAGGTGGCCTTGACCTGTCGTTATCATCGTAAGACATGGGCGCTTTCTTGAATCTCCCCGCTCCTGTGGGAGATGCTGTGAAGCTCTGAAGCACGTGACGACGATCTCTGCCTTTGCTGGAGACCTCTTCAGGCCCGGCGACAGGCAGGAGGGGCACCTTGCTGGTACCTTGCCGGGCTGTCCTTCGAAGCTCTACCCAGGTGTTTGGGTAGCTGCGGACACTTCTACCAGATACCTCGCTATATTCCAGTGGCCCTAGGAACCCCTTGCTTGGCTTGTTTATTCGGGGCTCTTTTTCAATGCCAGCCACATGGCTTTGACTTGTTAAGTCCCTGTGTTCAGTATTGCCAAGATTCTGAAGGTGAAACCTAAAATGTAAAGCTCCACTTGGAATGCGAACCTCACACAGGTGAGTCACATCTGGGCTTACGCCGATTATGGGAAGTCGTAGACCCTAGGGTGACAAAAGCCCCATTGCTTGGTAAGCTTTGCATTGAAGTGTGATGCTTACTAAGGCCAAACTTGGTTTTGTAGGCATTTATTTACATCATATTTCAATACTTCAGAAGCTTAAACAGTGTCAGGGGTATAGCAGTTCTGAGAAACAGTTTTACAAGAAGACATAAACTAAGGGGTACCCATGAGTGCGTCTCATCCTTCCTCTCCCAGGCCAGAGTAACAGGTATGCTGAGATGCTCTTGCCCTTGGCCCCGGGGTGCTCACCTCCAGCCTCGAGCTGCCTCACCCAGTTAGCCAGGGGGCTGCACAGGTGTTTGCGTGTCCTACATGTGGCCTGTCATGAAGAAGGTCCGCATACGTGGCTCTAGGCTGTGCAGGCAAGTCTTCCCAAGGGACTGAAGGAAGTCACCCTGAAATCCTCTCCCCATGAGGACCTCTCCTAAGTCAGATTTCTCACTGCTCCTCGCTCCAGCTCCTGCTGCCATTTGCCTGGGGGTTGCCAGTTGACAAATCCTCCCCCAGCTGGAGTGCTGCCGCAGCTTTGTCCCAAGTATATATTCTGTTGCCTGTCCCCAGAGCGGCTGTGCTCTGGGTTCTGGGAGCCACATGCTCCAGCACGACTGCTTTCAGGATACCTGAATGAGGAAAGCCTGGGAAGCTTAGAAAGGTATCCTGGATTGGAAGGCCGAGGCAGGTGGATCACCTGAGGTCAGGAGTTTGAGACCAGCCTGGTCAACATGGCAAAACCCTGTCTCTACTAAAAATACAAAAATTAGCCAGGCGTGGTGGTGGACACCTGTAATCCCAGCTACTTGGGAGGCTGAGGCAGGGAGAATTGCTTGAACCTGGGAGGCAGAGGTTCACGGTTGCAGTGAACCGAGATTGCGCCACTGCACTCCAGTCTGGGAAACAAGAGCGAAACTCTATCTCGAAAAAAAAAAAAAAAGAGTAAGAAAAGAAAAGAAAGGTATCCTGGAAATGTACTTCTAGTAACAGTAAGCTTGACTGACCAAGAACAGGGAGAATATTCCATGAGAAAGGAAATGTTTCTTTTCCTGGCTTCTTGCTGTAACCTGGTGGGGAACAGGGTCAGCTGAAGTGTCTCCATGTGGTCTGTCGTGGCTGAGGGGAAACAATGGCTTATCCAGGATGCATCTTGCATTGTATAGTTGCTTTGATTAGCCTCTGTAAGAACTAATACATTGTTTGGTTATTATGTTTTCCGTGCTGTGCATAAAGAATAATAGAATTTCACAGATGGGATGAGGCCTGTTGATTTTCTAAAGCATCACTACATTTAGGTGGAGTGACTAAGGTCCTGGAGGTTAAAGGGCTCACCCCAGGCCATCCTGGGCATTTGCTGCTCCTCTGGGAAGGACGAGGGGATCTCACATGCAGCTCCCACACCAGCTCCATGCAGACATTTCCCGGGGAGGATGCGAGTTCAGGCTTTGCATTTTGAATTCAGATAAAGGGGCCTGCATCAATGTTCTGTTAGTGCTTAAATGTCTTTAGAAGTGTTTTCTTTCAGAGAGCTTTTGAAAAAGTGAATTAAAAAATGCTGGCTCCTTATTGCACATATCTCTGGGGACAGGATAGAAATAAATTGGAAAGACAATATATAGACTCTGTGTTGCACGCCTCCGTGCTGGGGAGATCAACTACTGGCTCTTCCTTTACCAACCCTCACTCCCACCCTCGCCCTTTTCCATAACAACAGGAGCTGTCTGGACTCCTGCCAGTGTTGCACAAAGCATTTTACACCTATTTCCAGCACTTGCAATAACCCTCGGAGGCAAAGATTATTATTCCCATTTTACAGATGAAGAAACTGAGGCTCCCAAAGATCAACTAACTTGCTACAAAGCACACTGCTTGGTGAGTGGTGGAATTCTAATTTATCTGATTTCAAGGGTGAACATCAATGTGCATCTCAGAGTTCTGTTAAAGTCATGTGACCCAGAGAGAAACCCACCCCCAACTCTCTGTCAAAAACTTCCCAGGACCCGTGTGAGTGAGGGCAAACCGTCGTCTACCTGCAGAACTCCCCTTCTGATTCTGGCAGCATCAGCGAGGCCATGGGGTTCTTCATCAGATCAGCCACCACGGGGTCCTTGGCTGTCATGTAGAAGAAAGGAATCCCAGTGCTATTGTTGAAGGGGCCATCACTGACGGGCAGGCAGTTCCCAAATGGCAGTCCTTGGATCTAACAAACACCAAAAAAGGCTTTTTCAGTGCAGAGCTGTGGCTCGACTTGATCTGGGAGCTTAGCTTGTGCCTCTGGCTAGGAAATACAACACCAGGGATGAGGGGGGATCATGGCATCACAGTGGCTCTGACAGGTAGTAAATCAAGGTGAGGTGGTCCCCAGTCTGCCCAATTCACTCCGTGGTGGCTCTAGAATTTCTCCACAGGAGATACTCAGCAGTGGCATCCTGTTTGGAAGGGGTGGTGAAAGGATTCTTCTTGAAGCTGCCTGTGCATGGCAGATATACTCACTTTGTTAAATTTCATGTTCTTTTGGGGAGGGACAATGACATTTATGGGAGGTGGTGCTAAGCCTTTTCCACAAGCTGCCTGTTACAGCCCCACCGCTTTAACTCCCAAGGTTAACTGCCTGTCCCAAGTTTTGAGCAACTTTAGGGAGGATGTTTAAGTCTTTAACGTCTTGCCTGCTCTCTGGACTTCAGGAACTTTCTATTATTGTTTCTTTTAGGGCTGCATCACTTTCTCATTTATTAGCTGCATTTTTTATTGTAATCAATAATATTTCATTGTACGACTCAGCAAGTTATGAGAAATTGATTTGTTACCCTTTTTGCATAAAGGAAGTCATAGAAACATGATATGCCAATTTTTCTTCATGATCACCCACTAGGGTGGGAGAAGGGTGGTGCCATAGTTTGGATATCCATCCCTCCAAATCTCATGTTAAATTCTGATCCCCGGTGTTGGAGGGGAGGCCAAGTGGGAAGGGTTTGGGTCATGGGGGTGGATCCCTCATGAATGGCTTGGTGCCCTCCTTGAGGTACTGAGTGAATTGTCCCTCTGTTAGTTTCCTTGAGAGTTCCCCTGAGAGAAGGTTTAAAAAAGCCTGGTGCCAACTGGGCATGGGGACTCACCCTGTAATCCTAGCATTTTGGGAGCCCAACAGTTCAGGATCAGCCTGGGCAAGATAGCGAGACCCCCATCCCTACAAAAAGTTTTTTAAAAAATTAGCTTGGCATGGTGGCACACATCTATAGTCCCAGTTACTCGAAAGACTGAGGCAGCAGGGTTGCTTGAGCCCAGGAGTTTGAGGCAGCAGTGAGCTATGATCACACCACTGCATTCCAGCCTGGGTGACAGAGCCAGACCCCATCTATAAAATAAATAAATAAAAATAAAAAGAGCCTGGCACCTTCCCCTCTCTCTTGCTTTCTTTCTTGCCATGTGATCACTGCACACACTGGCTCTACACCTTCCACCATGAGTGGAAGCAGTCTGAGGCCTCCCCAGAAGCAGATGCTGCACCATGCTTTCTGAACAGCATGCAGAACTGTGAGCCAAATACACCTCTTTTCTTTATAAATTACCCAGCCTCAGGTATTTGTTTACGGTAACACAGATGGACTAAGACAGGTGGTATATCATGTTTCTGTGACTGCAGATATAAACAAAAATATTTATTTATTTATTTTATTAGTATTATTATTTTTTTGAGACAGAGTCTCACTCTGTTTGTTGCCCAGGCTGGCATTCAGTGGCACGATTTTGGCTCACTGCAGCCTCCGTCTCCTGGGTTAAGCGATTCTTGTGCCTTAGCCTCCCAAGTTGCTGGGATTACAGGTGCATGCCACCATGCCTGGCTATTTTTGTATTTTTAGTAGAGACAGGGTTTCACCATGTTGGCCAAGCTGGTCTTGAACTCCTGACCTCAAGTGATCTGCCCGCCTCGGCCTCCCAAAGTGCTGGGATTACAGGTGTGAGCCACGACGCCTGGCCAACAAAAATATTTAGTGCTGAGGTTTTCCCAAATCCTTCCAGTCAAGCATCCCAATTTTCCATGATTTTATCCCTAACAAAGTGCACCTTGTTGTTACTTGCTCAGAATTCAGGGGTTGTCTTTGTCCTTGAAATGTTGCATGATAATGGTGTGTAGAATTATAAAAGGCAGGGCTTTAATTTTTCAGGAACATGAAACGTTAAGGAATCTTCCAAAATGGTGATATAACTTTGTTCATATATCCCATTTTTCAGCTTGTCATAGCTGCCCAGAGTCATGCTTTGCATCCATGGCAGTACATTGTGTAAATGCTGTCTGAATTTATTGTTTAAATCAAATGTCAATAAGGATTAGAAAGAGGAACTCCTAACAAAGCTAAGAGAAGGGATATTGAAAGTCAAAATATCTCTAATACATTGGCACGAGACTATTTAATTTCTTGAAAAGATTTGTGTTTTCAACTAAGATCAGTGTCATCTTTAACCTTTATGTCTTTTTAAGATGTGTCTTAGGAGTGCAAGATACAGCTGTGAAAAATCATCTAGGTGTTGAGAATATCCAACTGGATCTGCATTTGACACTGAAGAGGTTAAGACCATTGCCAAACTCGAAATAAAGTTGCCATTTAGGTAGTTTTTAAGCAAAAAAGGACCTTAAAAACTAAACCTAATTTTATAGACGAGGAAAGCAAAGTGGAGAAGCCAGTGACTTGGCCACAGTCTTGGTGAGACCCAGAGCTGGGGCAAGAACCTGGCCAATGTCCTATGCCTTCCATAAAATATTATTTCTCTTTTTTGTAGGAAGTAAAGAGGAGTTCACATTACTGCCTTGTAGCTCTTTCATCTCTCTTAAAACCCCCAAAAGCCTTCTGGAGGCATGGAAGTTACATCTGCATTACTTATCCATGTCATTCTAGGTGGAATCATGTCTAACAGGTGAGTAAAGCATTTGCGAACTGAACAATTAAAAGTGCAGCGAATAGCTCATTCCAGCATTTACACACTTTGCATAATAAGCCTCCTTTCCAGAAAAAATCGTGAACTCCATTTTCTTAAATGCAGATTTCCATCGAAGCCCTCGTGCTCTCTCTCTCCCCATCCCTGCTTCAGCTCCAGGTCAGAAGGTGATGGGGAGTTCAGGTCTATGGGTTTGTGCCCTGCGCTGGGAAGGGCTGTCCCCGCCTACTCTGCGATTCCAAAGGCGTCTGTGGCTGCTCTGGTCTAGGTCTCGGTCGGACGCTGGTTAGGTGTCCCTCTCTCTGCCTGGCCACCTCAAGGTGGGGATTCGGTACCCAACCCTACCTGGCAGGAAACCTGGTTATCCATGTCCCTCTCCGACCCTCCCCCGACTTCGCCAGGCTCACGGAGGCACCATCGCCTTCCATTATGTACAGTGTCGAGGGTCCCATCCAGGGCACCGGGCACGTCTGGTGGACCCGGATCTCAGTCCCGAGCGGTCGCGAGCACGTCCCTGTCCCCGTCCCCCGGCCGCCGCCTGAATGCCAGGCCCCCTCGCGCTCCCCGCCGGGCGCTCACCTTCTTGTGGGTGGACACGGTGGCCAGGCAGCCCCAGACGCTGGCATGGGCCAGGGAGCGGGCGGTGGCGGCGCGCAGTCTAGGGCCCGGGGGCGCACTGGCCGTCTGGCCGCCCTCGCGCCGGTAGGAGAACATCCCGGGTGGCGCGGGGGGCGGCCTGGCCCGGGCGGCGCCCGCCCGGGGCCGCAGGTGCGCGTCCTCCTTGTGGGCAGAGGCGGGGAAGCTTTGCTGCCAGATGCTGCCCGAATCCTCTAGCAGCGCGGGCATAGCCTCCTCAGTGGAGGCGCTGTCCAGCTCCTCGTCCACCTCGTTGGTGACGGCCCAAGACACGGAGCTCACGATCACGTAGCCCGCGGCCGGGGACAGCAGGGCGCTGCAGCACAGCAGCCAGGAGAGGCGGGTCCCCGGCCGCGCCGGCCGCCGGCCGCGGCGCACGGACATCTTGCAGGCAGCACGCCCGGCCGCCGGGGCCGCCAGCAGCGCTAGTGCCGGGGAGCCCGGCAGCGCCCCACTGCGGCGGAAGCAAGGAGCCCGAGCCCCCTTCCCGCCCCTGCAGGATCCCCGGGCGCGGTCCCCCGCGCGAGTCCCGGCGAATCCCTGCAGCCGCGCGCGAAGCTCAGAAGTCCAGGCTCGCAGAAGACCAGGTTCCACGCACACGCCGCGCATCCTGCGGAGTCCTCCTCGCGCGCCAGGTCCCGGGATGGGTTCGTTTCCTGCAGGATGGCACAGGTTCCGCAGCCAGAGGGTGGGCGTTCAAATCCCGGCTTAATACACGCGTCTGCTCAACAGCTGTGAGACCTGCCAAGCCACTTAACCTCTCTGTGCCCATTTCCTTCATTAGCTGACAAAGATAATATCTACCTCTTAAGGATGATGGATGGGACGGTTGAACGATTAATATTTGAAGAGGCTTAGAACAGTGTGTGGCATGGAGCAAACGCTCTACAGCAGTCCCTTGGTATCCGAGGGGTATTGGTTCCAGGACCCCCGTGGATACCAAAATCCAGAGATGCTGAAGTCCCTTATAAAAAAATAGTGCAGCATTTGCATATAACCCATGCACATCTTCCTTTAATATCTGATTTGCTTATAAAATGCCTAATACAATGTAAACACTATGTAAATTGTTGTTTACTGTATTGTTTAGGGAATAGAACAAGAAAAAAAGCCAATATATGTTCAGTACAGATGCAATCACCCTTTTTTATTTTTTATTTTTCTGATAAAGGGTCTTGCTCTGTCTTCCCAGGCTGGAGTGCAGTGGCACAATCACAGCTCACTGCAGCCTCAACTTCCCAGGCTCAGGTGATCCTTCTGCCTCAGCCTCCCAAAGTGCTGGGATTACAGGTGTGAACCACCACGCCCGGCCATGGCTGTTTTCTTACTCCTGCCTCCTCATGGGAGAAGTGACTCATCTGATGGATGAGTTTCGAAAGGCAAGCTTAACATGCTTTTCTCAGCCCCTGCAAAGCTATTCTTTTCTGAATGATCTGTTCACCCTTCTCTTCTGTCTTGCCTGAGCTGTCCTGCCCCTTCAGCAGATGAGAGGTCGCCCTGCCCTGTCTGTGACTAAGGGAGTAAGTTCAGTTGCAGAACCTAATAGGAATCCTATTTGGTCAAAATTTCCCATTAGCTTTACTTCTATTAAGCTTTCTGATTCTTGAGTTTTATTTCCCAAATTAGTTCCACACTCAAAGGGGATTTAAGAGGGTGATCAATAATCACTCCTCAAACCCCATCACACAACTTGTGCCAGAACATAGTAAATGCTCCATTAATGACAGCAATTGTTGTTTGTTTTGGCCATTTACCCCTGAATATTCAACAGATCCCTCAAACTCAAATTTTGGAAGATAATTCTCCATGGATTTCCTGGTTTCCTGCAGAATCCAAACCTGTTTGAATAAGCTTGAAAAGCTAGAGATAGTGTCTTTCTGGAGAGATTTAGGGATCTATTTTGCAGAGACATCCCAGGTACTAAAGATATGGGTAGGAATATGTTTATATATATATATATATATATACATATATATATATATATATATAGAAAAAAAATATATATCATATGAAAATCAAACTTATTTTCAAAATGATTGTACCAGTTTATATTGCTACTGTCAGAATGTGAGAGTTTCTGTTACAGCTCTACATTCTCATCAACACAGATTAGCGTTAGTTTTTTTTGCCCATCCCCCGCACCCCTCTCACGCCAACCAAATCTGGTGGATGAGCAATGGTATCTCATTGTTATTTTAATTTGCATTTACCTAATGACTAATATGGCTGATCATTTTTCATGTGTTTATTGCCCAGTTCGAAATCTTTTATAAAATGCCTGTTAATGTCTTTTGCCCATTTAAAAAAATGTGGTAAAAAATGTAACAGGAGATCTATCCTCTCAACAAGTGTACAGTGCAGCATTGTTAACTATAAGAACATTGTTCTATAGCAAATCTCTAGAATTGTACCTTGCATAACTGGAACTCTTTATCCACTGAACAGCAACTCCCCATTTTCCCTCCCCCCAGCCCCTGGCAGCAACCATTCTACTCTGTTTCTATGAGTTTGACTATTTTAGATACCTTATATAAGTGGAATTATACAGTATTTGTCCTTCCATGACTGGCTTACCTTACTTAGCATGATGTTCAAAATTCATCCATGTTATAGCATATGACAGGAGGTTATTCTTTTTAAAGGGTGAATAATATTCCATTGCGTGTGTGAAAGGAAAATATCTTGGGCCCCCAAAATCAAAATCTGAGACAGGTCTCAGTTAATTTAGGACGTTTATTTTGCCAAGGTTGAAGATGCTCCCATGACGCAGCCTCAGGAAGTCCTGATGACATGTGCCCAAGGTGGTCAGGGCACAGCTGGGGTTTATATATTTTAGGGAGACATGAGACATCAATCAAAATACTTGTAAGAAGTACATTGGTTCAGTCTGGAAAGGCTGGACAACTTGAAGCAAAGGCAGGAAGACTTGAAGCGGGGAGGGAGCTTCCAGGTCACAGATAGGTGAGACACAAACAGTTGCATTCTTCTGAGTTTCTGATTAGCCTTCTGGGTTCACATATGTATATATCACATTTCCTTTTTTTTTTTTTTTGAGTCAGGGTCTCACTCTGTTGCCCAGGCTGGGGTGCAGTGGCACGATCATGGCTCACTGCAGCCTGGATTGCCTGGATTCAAGTGGTCCCCCCATCCTCAGCCTCCTGAGAAGCTGTTACTACAGGCACACCACCATGCCTGGCTCACTTTTATTTTTTATTTTTTGTAGAGATGAGGTCTTACTATGTTGCCCAGGCTGATCTCGAACCCCTGAGCTCAAGCAATTCTCTGACTTCAGCCTCCCAAGGTGCTGGGATTACAGACGTGAGCCACTGCCTCGGGCCCATATTTTCTTTATCCATTCATCATTGATGGACATTTAGGTTGTTTCTGTGTTACAGTTATTGTGAATACTACTGCAATAAACATTTGAGTGTAAATACCTCTTTGAGGTCCTGTCTTGAATTCTTTTGGGTAAATACCCATAAGTGTGATTGCTGAATCATAAGGTAGTTTACTTTTAATGAACCTCCATACTGTTTCCCAAAACGGCTGCACTATTTTATATTCCCACCAATGGTGCACAAGAGTTCTAATGTATCCATCCACCTTCTCATCAACACCTGTTATTTTTTATAATGGCCATTCTAATTGGTGTAAGGGGATAACATTGCAGGATTATTATTATTATTATTATTATTATTATTATTATTATTATTATTTCTTGTTTGTTCATTTTAGAGACAGAATCTTACTCTTTTGCCCAAGCTGGAGTGAAGTGGTAATGATCATAGCTCACTGTAACCTCAAACTCCTGTGCTCAAGCGATCCTCTCTCCTTGGCCTCTGGAGTGGCTAGGACTATAGATAGGCACATGCCATCATGCCTGGCTAATTTTTAATTTTTTTTTGTAGAAATGGGGTCTTGCTATGTTGTCCAGGCTGGTCTTGAACTCCCGGACTCACATGGTCCTCCCACCTTGGCCTTCCGAGGTGTGAGCCTCTGCACCCAGCCACTAAGTGGATTTTGATAGGAATTGAATTGAATTTGTAGATTCCTTTGGGTAGTATGAACAGTTTAACAAAATTATGTCTTCTGATTCATGAATATGGGATGTCTCTGCACTTATTTGTGTTGCCTTTAATTTCTTTTATCAATATATTATATATTCTATATATATTGAGGAGATTAACGGACTTAAAATCATATATATATATAATTTACTTAATGGCCATAAATTTGAAGTGTATATATATATAAAAATCATATATATGTATAGTATATATGATTATATATATATCATATATATGATTTATATACAGTGTGTATATGATTTTAAATATATATACAGTGTATATATAGAGAATATATATGATTTTAAGTTCCTTAATCACTTCAGATTTATGGCCATTAACTTCAAGGGGGCATTAGCCCTGCCTGGTTGTACTCTCCTACTTCTCTGATTCATTCTCCTCCCCTTTTTAGGAGACTCTCACACCTTTCCTTTCTCCTACCTTCTTCAGGTCTCTTTTCAGATTACACCCTGTGAGAGAGGTCTTGCTTGAATGCCCTATAAGAAGCAGCATCAGGCTGGGTGCGGTGGCTCACGCCTGTAATCCCAATACTTTGGGAGGCAGAGGTGAGCAGATCACCTGAGGTCAGGAGTTCAAGACCAGCCTGGCCAACATGGCAAAACCCCGACTCTATCAAATAATACAAAAATTAGTTGAGCATAGTGGCACACACCTGTAATCCCAGCTACTTGGGAAGCTGAGGCAGGAGAATTGCTTGAATCTGGGAGGCAGAGATTGCAGTGAGCCGAGATTGCGCCATTGTACTCCAGCCTGGGTAACAGAGAGAGACTCTGTCAAAAAAAAAAAAGAGCATCCCCATCCCCATAGTGAATTTTCACGATAACACTTATATCTACTTAAGATATTTTGCTTTTATTTGCTCAGTGTCAGTATTCCTGTACGAGGAACACAAGCTCAATAAGAGCAGAGATTTGTCTATTTTATTCATGGTTGAGAAAATCATGCCCAGAGTGTAACGCTTTGACATGCTGAGTACTTTGAAGTAAAGGACAGCGGAAGAGCCTCAGAAGCAAAATCTCTTTCTGGCCTTTTCCTACCCTTCTTTCTCCTGCTCTCGTCTCTCCCACAAGGCAGGCCATAGGAACTAGAATTTCTCTTCCCCAAGGTGGATCATAGGAATTAGGACCCCTCTCCTTCAAAGGCAGCCATAAAGCCTAGAAATATGACTGTAACTCCCTCTGCCTTTCTGTATAGGAGCTGGCCATAAAGAGGTTCTTGGACTCACCTTGTCTGAGAGTAGGTCATGAGACCTCATTCCAGAAGGGGTCCTGCCCCACACCTGGGGGAAGGGAATGACACACAGAAGGAGGAAGGAGAATCTGAACAGACAGACCTTGCTGGGTTTCCCCACTCAGTCTATTACCATTAGATCATTTACTTTTTGTCCAATCACGTTTCTTCATGATTGTCCGTTCTTCACCAAACCTAAGCATGAAAATGGACAGTTTTCCCTGAGTCTTTGAGTCGTTATTTATTTAGGCTTTCACGTCACATAAAACTTTGATGGTACAGTTTGGATCTGTGTCCCCGCCCAAATCTCATGTCAAACTGTAATCCCCAACGTTGAAGGTGGGGCCTGCTGGGAGGTGATTGGATCATGGGGGTGAATATCCCCTTTGGTGCTACTCACTAATAGTGAGTGAGTTCTCGTGAGATCTCATCATTTAAAAGTGTATAGCACCTATCCTGCTCCAGCCATGTAAGATGTGTCTGCTTTCCCTTCACCTTCTGCCATGATTGTAAGTTTCCTGTGGCCTCCCCAGAAGCCAAGCAGATGCGTCATGCTAACTGTACAGCCTGTGGAACCAAGAGCCAATTAAACCTCTTTTCTTTATAAATTACCCAGTTGCGGGTATTTCTTTGTAGCAGTGTGAGAATGGCCTAATACATTGGATTAAATATTAAATACATTTGTTATGCTTTTCTCTTTTTTCCTTTGCTACAGGAGTGTTGGCCATGACCCTCATGGTGGGTGAGGAAAGGTATCACAGCTTTCCACCCCTACAATCCCAAGTGTTTAAAGAGTACCTGGTAAAAGAAAAAATACACGACAAATACTTAATTTTGGAAAACATCACTGTAAATTTTTGATCAGATATGTGTTTCTGAAAAATCTGTCTGCTGCCAGCATGTTAGTGGGCTTCCGACTTATCATCATGAGTGAACATTTATGTTCCAAGATACATGTGGGTGCAGCTATTATTACTGTGAAGAGAAGTGTGATGTGCCTCTCTTTCTGTACTCACCATATTGACAATCAGTAATGTGCCCTGGGGGATATCTGTCTGTACAGTTTCTCATTATTATTCCTATTTCAAATTACTGTTTCAGAAAATAATATTGCTTCTATGCATACTAACGGATCAAATGTTTGTTTCCTATCGAGTTAAGTTGCATGGAGGGCAGTGCTGTAATAATGTCACAATTGATGGGGGTGATTGATTGTGGAATCTGCAGATGGCCAGGATCTCACTGCTGCTTGAGGACCCTGAGCAGGTCATTTCCACCTGGGAACGGAGCAATTGGGATAATGATTTAGATGTTATTTTGAGTGAGTTGAACTGGATAAGGTAGGTGGTGAGTGATGTGGTTGACAACTCCAGTTGTCTGACACCTCCCTGCATCCATACCCATTAGGTGTACCTTATCTTGCTAACTCTGAGTTTGGCAACATGACTTGCTTTGGTCAATGGTACAAGACCACACTTGATGCAAAAGGAGGTGTGAAAACATGCTTGTGTGTTTCCACGTCTGCTCTCTTGGACTCCCTCCTGTCATGAGAACATGCATGAACTGGCCTGTTGAAGGAATGTGGGAACCACATGGAGGACAGCTGAGGCCATCCTAGACTAGCCAGCCCCCTACATACCTGTCAGGAACCTTGGAGGTCTGAGTGATCCCAGCTGAGATTTGTTGAGTCCAGCCCAGAACAGCAGAACCAGCTACCCAAGCAAACTGCGGACTGGTGGGGAATAATAAATAGACAGTGGTTGTTTTAAGCCGCCATGAAGGATTAGTTTGTTACGCTGTAATAGTGAACTGATCCATGGTACAAGCAGAAAACAATCTTTGCAACCTGCTATGTGGATTCTTTATGGCTCTTGAAGAAAAATCTAAGTTTGGGATGGGGATAGGGGGATTTCCTGTTCACATTCATGCTCACTTTCAAGTAATAGACCACCAGTTACTTTCAATCATGGGAACCATCTCTGTTCAGTAATTAAAACGTCAGTGTAATAATCAAAATGTCAAACTTTATGAAGGTTGACATCTTCTCCTCTCTCCTGCTAGCTGCTTTAGGATTTGAGGGCTGAGGTGGGCAAGGCAGATGTGTTTGTATTCTTTTTCATTTTTCTCCTTGCTGGGCCTCGTGTCTCAGCTCATCAAGGAAGGGGATTGGGAGTTAAAAACAAAGACTTGCCTATGAGGCAGGTGCAGCTCTGTTCTCACACCAGAGCTTGTTGGTTTTCTTTCTTTCTTTCTTTCTTTCTTTCTTTCTTTCTTTCTTTCTTTCTTTCTTTCTTTCTTTCTTTCTTTCTCTTTCTTTTTCTTTTCTTTCTTTCTTTTTCTTTCTTTCCTTCTTTCTCTCTTTCTTTCTCTCTCCTCTCTCTTTCTTCTTCTTTTTTCCTTCTTTTTTTTTTTTTTTCCGGACAGGGCCTCGCTCTGTGGCCCAGGCTGGAGTGCAGCAGTACAATCATAGCTCACTGCAGCCTCAACCTCCTGGACTCAAGCTATCCTCCCGCCTCAGCCTCCCAAGTAGCTGGGACTACAGGCGCTAACCACTATGCCTGCCTAATTTTTTATATTTTTTGTTAAGATGAGGGTTTCACCATGTTGCCCAGGCTGGTGACAAACTCCTGAGCTCAAGTAATCCAGCTGCCTTGGCCTCCCAAGTGCTGGAATTATAGGTGTGAGCCACTGCACCTGGTGACTTTTCAAGCCCAGCTTGCTTTCTCTTGAAACCCTCCTGTGTGCTTTTTAGTCTTTCTTCCACCAGGAACCTCCAATCCAATTCCCATAAAGTGGGCAATGCCATTTACTTATTTATTTTTAAGACAGGGTCTTGCTCTGTCTTCCAGGCTGAAGTGCAGTGGCATGATAGTAGTTCACTGCAGTCTTGAACTGGGCTCAAGCAATCCTCCTGCCTCAGCCTCCTGAGTAGCTCAGACTACAGCTACGTGCCACCACATCCAGCTAATTTTTTTCTTTTATAGAGATCGGGCTCTCATTATGTTGCCCAGGCTGGTCTTGAACTCCTATGCTCAAGCGATCCTCTCACTTGATCTCCCAAAGTGTTGGGATTATAGGCGTGAGCTACCGTGCCTGGCCACCTTGCATTTTTTAAGATACACTTTCATATATAACATATGCAGAAATGTAATCAAGTCAAATCACAAACTTCGTGACACATTTTTGCAAGGTGAGCATACTACACTGTATGGCCAGCCCCCAACCCAAGAACGGGAGCACCATGAGGGTTCCTGGCATAGATTTCATGGAGTGGCAGCCTTGACAGCCATTTTTAGACCTGACATAAGCTGTTTGAAATCCAGTTGAACCCTGTCATCCTTGTCCTCAGTGAGACTTCTCCTCTCTGTGTGGTGTTTGCAATAGAGCCTGCTTATTCCTCATCTCACTGATGCCAAATCCAGCTCATGCCACAGCTGCTGTCTGTGGAAAAAATCTAATGATCAACACTGGAGTCATGTAAATGAGTTCCCTCCTTTAGGTATGTTTTCTTTAAATGACCCAGATCCACAAGTCCCAAGTGAAAGCCTAAGGAATAGTACCCTGGGCCTTAATAAAGGCAGGTCCCGCAGGCTCAACCACAGGCTGGTTGAGCTCCCTGCTGCCTCCAGACTCCTCCTGGCCCTCCTAGTGATTCGGTGCCCCAACCTCTCTGGGTCTGTGAGCAATAAACTTCTGCTTCTTGCATTTTAGTTTCACCAACACACCCAAACCTTACTCTCTCCCCCACCCACCCAATCAGGGCTCTCCTAGACAGGCCCCAAGATCAACTAAGAAAGAAACCATACTAATACAAATCGCAACAGTCCCAGAAGTCCCTCCTCCTCTCTGTTACTACCCATCCTCATCCCCTATCCTAACGTCTAATGCTACAGAGAAACAATGAAAATTGTTTTCTTTGGTAAACTTGGGCATTCAAGGACAGAATGCCCAGAATGACTTCTGCTAGCTCTTAGCTAATCAGTTTATCCCAAAACATGCAAACAAAATTCACCATTCCCAGACTTACAGATCCTGTTGTTGCCTGTGTTCCGTGACTCAGTCCACCAACTGTCTACTTACTTATGAGCAAACACATGACATGCAAAGTCACTGAGCAGTGAGCAAAAGAATAAATGTCTCTCTGACTCATTCTTCGACAAAGAACAACTCCTCCCAGATAGCTTGAGATAATATATTAAATGTAGTTGAAAAGGGCTCTTAAATATGATTACTTTTTTATCCATAAAGATGAGTAATTCTTAATGAATCTACAGACATATAGCTCCTGTGGTTTTTTAAAAAATTTCCAAGCATTTGGGGAAATGTAATTCATTTCATAAGTAAATTTAATTCATTCCCTATGTAAAGATACAGGAAATTTAGTTCATTTCATATGTAATATGAGATCAATAAAATATTATCTATTTTTTCCATGTATACCGGAAATCATGTGAAGCACGAATTTTAAAATTCCTTTTAAATATTATAATCAGTTACATAAAAGTGGATTTTCTGTAACAATGATCTATTCCTAGTTTCAGCAGTTTTTAGGATTTTGCTACAAAAAGAGAACTAAAGAGTGATTCAAAGCAGGACATTAGCCTCTGCTGCAGACATTGTTGCATCCAAAATTCTCTCATTAAGGAAATCGGGATAGTGAACCAAAGGTGTTTAATGGACCAGTGAATGAGTTTAACAGTGATATCATATTGATTTTTTTTCTGTTCCTCACTGCCTGAGGGGATCTATCTACAAATTCTATTTCGATTGAGGCACCACCAAGGGGAGGAAAAATATTACCACTGGCATTTTACTGCTTGCACCAGTTGGTATTCTTTGAACTTTTTCTTTCTCTGGAGCCTTAACCATTTATTTACTCCCAAAAAGCATTCTCAAATTTCTTTTCTGCCATGTCTCAAAATAGAAATACTCAGACAGCCCCAAAAGAAAAGCAACAGAGGCAAAAATTATTCTCCAAATCAGTTTACATATTTTATCGAAACCACCTCCTTGAAATACATATAAACATAAAATAGACAATGCTACATCTATTATATACATAACATCATCTTTCGTCAATAGAAAAACTTTAGTATTTAATATTTTTAAGAATGCAAGTCTATCAGTTTTCTTATTCTCTATTCAAATAAATAATCTCACACATTAGCATTGTTTTCTCTGAAATAAATATCTTCAGAGCTTTGGGGTACATCTGATATCTGAATCACAAATTGTTGTCCATCTTTTAGGGTTATGAGGGCTTCTTGTCCCATAGGAAGGCTGAGTTTAACTGCGCTTTCAGTGGTTTCATCTTCCAACAGCACCTGGATGAGCTGCAAGAGGGAAATGTTTTAAGGGAAAAGATAAAAAGAGACAGATACTATTCCTTGTTGCAGGAACTACCATTTGAATTCTTCTACCAAGCCCGTGCTCCCACCCTGGGATGTAAAGGAGAAGTTCATGCATTTATTCCTTTTTTTTTTTGAGACGGAGTTCCACTCTTGTTACCCAGGCTGGAGTGCCATGGCGCCATCTCAGCTCACTGCAACCTCCGCCTCCTGGGTTCAAGCGATTCTCCTGCCTCAGCCTCCCAAGTTGCTGGGATTACAGGCATGTGCCACCATGCCCAGCTAATTTTGTATTTTTAGTAGAGACAGGGTTTCACTACGTTGGCCAGGCTGGTTTCGAACTCCTGACCTCAGGTGATCCACCTGCCTCAGCCTCCCAAAGTGCTGAGATTACAGGCGTGAGCCACAGCACCCAGCCCATGCATTTATTCTAAGAGAACTCCTGATTTCTCAGGAAAACACTCAGGGTCCAGTGAGGACTCAGTGGGAGGCTTTGCAAGGCAGGGATGGTGCAGGGGCGGGGAGCTGATGGGCTCTCTTTAGGGAAAGGCAGTTTGTGAGAAATGTCCTCGTGAGAGCAAACCAACACTCTTCCTTAACAGACACTGGAGAAAGAAGATGAGTCATGAAAGTCGGGAGGGAGCCTGTGAAAGGCACCCACGGTCTCCATGTAGCTGGAGACCCCCCATCAATTTGGGAGTCTCCAGACGGGTACTAATCCCCACATTCTCAACAAGTCTCTGGAGCTGACATAGTCAGTTCAAATTCCCACACAGGCTCTCCTTCCCCCATCCGTCAAATAAACCACTAAATGGGGGAAAAAACCTATGAAAACAGCAATCTGGTATTGGTGACTCAATTGGGAAGTAACAGATTCGAGAGGTGGGGAGGTTCTAAGTTAGCTGAAGCTCTCCTCAGCCACTTCACCTGACGAGCAAGTCTTCCTATCAGAGAAAGGCGAATGTACCATCCCTCCCTTAGCTCCAGGAAACTTGGTCATGACTACTTTAAAACCAATAGAAATGTATTCACTTGGTCTGATTTCATCAATAAACCTCCTATAAGCTAGTATACTTTGACAGAGATGTGTGCACCATAACTTCAAATGCAAGGTTCATGAAAGCATGTCTCACTCTTTCTCTAAATTCGACAAAAACCATCACCACCCAGTGAAAAGGTGTTTTTCTTCTTTTTCAAAAAATTGTTTTCACCTTTATCTTAGAGGTGAAGAGACACTTAAAAAAATTTGTTTTGCTCTGCTGTAATCCTGGAGTACATGACCTAAATTCGTTATTTAATATCAGTATAGTTTTTCACTTTGTTCTTAAACACGCCTTGGCATCTGACTATTTTGAACGCCGCTAGAATGTAGAAGAGGGACAGATGGGTATGGCAATCCGGAATGCTGACTTCAGTTGTTACCGGAGGTGCAGGCCAGCGCTAAATTGTTCAGGGAATGAGGCTGCCACAGCTGTGCAGCTGAATGGGTGTTAAACGGTGGCAGATGAATGCAGATGGGACATGCAGGGTGTGCTTTTTTGTTGATGATGAGTGCAAGTGCTGAATAATGGATGCAATGAAAATCAGATGAGCGTAACTTTTTGGTGTGATTGTTTAAGTCATTATAGCTAATTCAGCAGGCATGAATGAACAGAAGCAGGTTTAATTAATCTCTAATGTGTATTACCTTGGATTACCTGACATTTGTCTGCTTGTATTGCTTTATTCTGTAGTTCAATTAAGTATGTAATATCTTCTCTATTGTTTCCAACCATTAAATATAGGTCAAACCTCTTTGCAAGGAACTTCAGAGGAGCTAAGGGATTGGGCCAACAGTGTTAAGAGGAAGTGCTCAGCTTAGGAGGCCGTGGTGGAGAAATAATAACGATGACCAGTGGTTATTGGGTACTTACTACATTCTAGGAAATAGTCTAAGCATTTTACAACAATTAACTCATTTAAACCTCATAATGTTCCTGTAGAATTAGACATGAGTATCCCCATAAGTTAAGCAATTTGTCCAGTGTTCTATCTAATAAGGGGAAGAAGTAGAATTTGAACCCAGAAATGTATGTACCAGGATTGCCCTTATCAGATTTGAAGGTATTTTTAGTAATTAGTCCCAAGAGACCAATTTTGGAATTAAAGCAGATGGTAGAAAACACTGTTGGGGAGAGAGAGAATGCTGAGAAGGACAGTCTTGGAAGGATCTGTGGAGGTGTAAATTCCTGTTCTCCCACTGATTAGTGAGGTGACCTTGGGAAAATTACCCAACCCCTTCAAGATCCTCAGTTATGCCAGCTGTAAAATGAGGTTGATGATAACACCTATTTCATTGAGATGAAAAGATGCATTTAAACGCTCAGCTCCGGGAGACTGTCAGCGTCTGCTCTTCACGCCTTCTAACTGTGGCTGAAGACGTAAAAGCTTACTCCTGGTTACCTTGCTGACTAGGAAGCATGTGTATATAATTTGACTAACATTCTCCGCTTGGCTGAACTTTAGTCTGGCTCCTGAACCTTCTCCTTCGCCCACTTCCTTATAAAATCCAGTTTTAGCAAGAACCCTGCTGAGTCACTTTAGCGAGAATGCCCCATCTCCATATGTGATCAGTTTCCTCATCCTCTGCCAGCCTCCAGGTGATGTCTGGTCACCCCAGCTGGCTGGACTTCTACAAGAATCCTCTTAGGTGGGTTCAGCAGAATCCCCCTTACCTCTGACATTTCTTCTTAGTAAATTCCCATCCATTGACCCCCACCTGGCTCCTAGGCTATAAATTCTGCACCCGCCACCCTGTCCCTTCTGTACTCAGAGTTAAGCCCAATCTCCCTCCCCGGTTGCAAAAGCCCTGTGGAGATGGTACTGAATAAAGCCTTCCTTACAGATAAAGCCTCCCTTACGGTGCTTTAACGAGTGTCACTGCAAGATGTTTTTGTTTTTCCTTTCACAAGTTGTCATGCTACACTCCGACCTCTTGCTCCAGCCGGTGAGCGCAAAGAATTTGCTTTCACTTGGAGCTGAACACTGCAGCCCAGCATGAATGCTGGCCCTGCTAGGGCTCTACAGAATGCTCCAGAGTACACTCAGGCGCTTTCCACTGGTGGCCCTTGGAGGGCTCTGCCGCCAGGTACAGCAGCAGGGAGAGCCATCCTCCTAGGTATAGCCTAGCCAAGCCATCGCCTCTTCAGATCTAACTGGGCCTTCTTTCTGCCAACTGTCTGGAAACACCTGCTTCCTGAAAGCGCCTTAGCTGCTGCCAGCTAAGGAGGCCCAGCTCTCATCAGCACCCCCAAGTTGGGGTCAGTGTTTCGCTGCTGCATCCTTCATCGACCATGTCTGCTTTTTTCACATGGACACTCGTGGAGGAGGTGAGTTTCTCATTTACAGACAAACGTTGGAATCTACCTCACAGAGAGCACCGAATGCAGCTGGATACGTGACTTACTATCTCAAAGTGAGAAACAAAGACCAAATACAGATAGAGAACTGGTAAACCTGAGAGATGCATTTCCCCGGCTCCTGTTTTGTTTTGTTTTGTTTTGTTTTTTTGGTCTAGGGAGGTGTCTTGTCCAAGCATTGCTCAGTAACAGGTGTGCAGGATCTCTGCAATCGGAGAACTCGCAATGAGAGTCTGCTCAAGAAGGAAAGGGCCCTGGAAGGTTCCTGTTATTCTGCGGACTCTAAGGCATGAAGAGTTTTAGGCTGTGACTCACTGCCACAACTTGCTTCAGGTTGAATGATCGCACCTGCCTCAATTTCCTACTAAGCACAACTCATCTGTGCGAGAGGGGGAACTTGTGGGCACAAAAAGAAGAAGGCGGATAGCGGCTAAACATCAAATATGTGCAGAGAAATTAGCCCTAAGACAATCGCTGTCAGTTTTTTTTAACCAGCCCACTCCCCACTCCTCAATGGAGGCATTTCAGTTGTTCCTCCATCAGTCCAGCTCTGCTTCATGGTACTGAGGTCCATGTCCGACCTCTACAACCTGCGTCCTGCACTCCTCAGGGCATAAAACAACCTCCTGTCTAGGGTTGTAGGTGAAGAATGGACTTGAGATCAGGCAGGCTGGGGCTCCAATCTCTGTTCCACTATTTCCTCGCATTTCCTTGCTGTGTGACTTTGTGCAAGTCACTCAGCTTCTGTGAGCCTCAGTTTCCTCATCCATCAAATGACAATGACAAGAACAAATATTCTATAGGATGGCATGGCTTCGAGATAACATACATAAGGGCTATATAGTAGGTGTTAGGTAAATAGTAACTCTAATTTTTGTATCTTTCAACAGGTATCCCAATGTAATCTTTTCAAAATCCTCTGTTCAGACTATTCGACGTTTCCGTCTTTGAACACTAGGGGAATTTTCAGTGCATGCCACTCAGACGTTAGTGGTGTGCTACTGCTGAGTTAGTCTAACCAGGCCAGGCACACTCTGGGAAGGCAAGAAATACCCAGGCCATCAGATGGTCACACTTCTAATCATGCCAGGCATCTATCAATGTCCCACAAACCTGAGCTGACCAGTAATCAACAGATAGTGAATTAAACTCACCCCTGGCAAAATCACCTAGGGTAAAGATGACTGTAGAATCGTTTATCATTGTTTGGACAAAGTGATCTTGAGGGTTTTACTAATCACCTGTGGCTCTTATTCCCCTTGAAACAGCTGTGTGGAAGGGGGTCCTGGTGTCCCTACCTTATTGCCCATGGCAGTGTCCACCAGGAAGCCCAGGATCCTGAGGACCATGTTGCTCACACCCACGGGATATCGGCCCTGGCCCATGTGTGTGGGCATCACCCCCAGTGGCTCCATGCTGGGGCTGGCACACGCCTGCGACAGTGAGGAATTCAGAGAATGGAAAAGTGCCTGGTCTGGCTGGCCGAGAGTCGGGTCATCTGGTAGCATTTCCTTGACAGTCCCCATGTCCTCCTCCTCCTCTTCCTCCTCTAGGCATGACTGAAGTATATGAATCATATATTCCAAAAGCAACAAGTGAAACAGATGCCAGGAGCCTACATTTAGATAATAACCAAAAATGAATACATTTGATCGACAGACAATAAACAAATCATTGTGAAACTAACAACTTTTCTGGGGCTAACACCTGTGTACGTGAGCCTCGTTCCAATAGCTTACCCAGAAGAGGCCTGGGTCGGCCTCTTACGTAGCATCCATCAGTAGAAAACCCCTGGCAGGGCAGCTTTTGGACAGAAAGGACCAAGAGCTAAATAGCCTAAGTCATGAAAAGGAACTTAAAATCCATCCGGTGTGAGATGGGAGAAAAGCAAACCCTACAGGGAACTGGGTGCTGCTCCCAGAGCTGGAGAGGGTACCCCTCAACCTCATCGTGCCCCATGTATGATCCACAGGAATGTCCAGAAGGGGTGGGAGGAAACGGGGGCAGTGTGCAGAGGGAACCCTGCTGCTGTTTTGTGGTGTTTGAAACGTAGCGCCTTGCCCCTCTTGCAGACCCTGTGGCTGCAGCTCTTTGTGTGGGAAGTGGGTAAGGAGGCCAGCTGGCATTCCACCTGTGAGAGGCGTCTTCTCAGGTGGGCCTGCAAGTGCTGTCATCAGAGACAGGAGGGTATGTGACTTAGCTGAATGCTCCAAATCCCAAGGCCTTTGTGCTCCCAGAAAGGAAAACAATCATTAATGTTTGCTTGAGAAACAGAGGGGGAAATCTGGCCTATTGCAATTGTTAAAAGATAAGTTTTAAATAAAGGTAAAACCATGACTCTTATACAGATATAAAATGGACACATCAGGCTGGGCACAGCGGCTCACGCCTGTAATCCCAGCACTTTTGGAGGCCGAGGCGGGCAGATCACGAAGTCAGGAGATCGAGACCATCCCAGCTAACAAGGCGAAACCTTGTCTTCACTAAAAAATACAAAAAATTAGCCGGGCAGGGTGGCACGTGCCTGTAGTCCCAGCTACTCGGGAGACTGAGGCGGGAGAATCGCTTGAACCCAGGAGGCGGAGGTTGCAATGAGCCAAGATCGCACCATTGCATTCCAGCCTGGGTGACAGAGCGAGACTCCATCTCAAGAAGAAAAAAGAAAAAAGGACATATCAAAGGTTTTATTTAACTCATTAATTAAATGATGTATTACATCTTATTGCTACATCAGTAAGATGTTGCCACTGGTTCAAAAGAGAATTCAAAGTACTAACTATATACTATAGACAGAAAATAATGCTGACAGTGACAAATAGATGCAAAAGGGATCTGTCCTCAGGGTAGTATCAATCACAACCACCTGACACAACTAGCTTGTATTTCTGTGGATGAGGGTCATCTGCATTATCAGTTTGCTGCAACTTACAGGGCTGTAAAAATAACTCAAAGACAATGGAAGGTAGAGATAACCCAGAAGGCTGTGCCAACCTTTTGTCCATTTCAAAGCCTTTTGTCCATTTCAAGTAATCTTTTCATCCATTTCAAAAGCCCTTCACAGTTTTTTCCCTGAGTAGTGTTCTATTCCTCCACGGATCTGGGTGAGAGATCATTGCCCCCGTGGAAGGCATGACCTTGCCTGAAGTGAGCCTGACAACATCGTCTTTCCTATTTAACCTTGAAAAATCATAGTCCAAGTCCTGAAACCATTGTTCAAACTACTGGTGTGAATACATTGATTTCATATGGAGGTACAGAGAAGGTAGACTGGGAAAAGTAACAACTACAGACTAGATTTCTTTTCTTTTTTTGAGACAGAGTCTGGCTCTGTTGCCCAGGCTGGAGTGCAGTGGCACAATCTCAGCTCACTGCAACCTCTGCCTCCCTGGCTCAAGCAATCCTCCCACCTCAGCCTCCCAAGTAGCTGGAACTACTGGGCCACCACACCTGGCTAATTTTTTTTTTTTTTCGTAGTGACAGGGTTTCACCATATTGCCCAGGCTGGCCTTAAACTCCCAGGCTCAAGAGATCTGTGTCCCTCAGTCTCCCAAACTGCTGGGATTACAGGTGTGAGCCACCACACCCGGCTCAGGGCTAGATTTCTTCCCATGATGCATGTGAACTCTGCTGTCTCTCTGCTCTGAAAGAGCAGGAGCATAAAGCAGAGTCAGTTTGGACTTCAGTGAAGGGAAGAGTCCCACTATAAGTGAGTGTCACCTATATGGCAGCTGATAGCAGCAGCCCTCAGGAGCTCCAGGGTGTCTGCAAAGCTGGTCTAGAATAGGGCTTGCTTTCTCTTCCTTCTTGCTGTGAGAGTATCTGGCAGCTCTCTATGCAGGGATCACTTGCCATAACTACTGTGCAAACTCACAGGAGTGGAGACTTTATCTTTCCACTGCTGTATGCCCAGTGCCCAGGAAGGTGCCTGGGAAACAAGAAATACCTTTTGAAGGAATGATCCATTCCATGAAGCTGGTGGGCTGAGTGGTGAACTTCCCTTCCTATAATCCTTTTTTTTTTTTTCTTGAGGTGAAGTTTCGTTCTTGTCACCCAGGCTGGAGTGCGTTGGTGCAATCTCAGCTCGCCACAACTTCTGCCTCCCAGGTTCAAGTGATTCTCCTGCCTCAAGCTCCTGAGTTGCTGGGATTACAAGCGTCCGCCACCGCGCCCGGCTAATTTTTGTATTTTTAGTAGAGACAGGGTTTCACCATGTTGGTCAGGCTGGTCTCGAACTCCTGACCTCAGGTGATCCATCTGCCCCAACCTCCCAAAGTGCTGGGATTACAGGTGTGAGCCACAGCACCCAACCCCTACAACCCTTTTTATAAGGCAATTGCATCAAAGATGTGACCTTCCCCAACAGAGGAAGTGATTTGACCAGGAAGTTTGCAAAATGAACATTACTTCACTCTCTCTACCATCGCATACAATGGCAACTTAATCATTATTCCTGAGAGTTAAGTATGAGTGCTTCAAAGAACCCATTTTGTTCTCCATCTCAGTTGTCTCTCTCGGTGCTTTTCTCTAAATGTCACAAAGCTCATAATTCAAGAACAAGGAGAGTGTGTCTAACGATGATGAAACAGGAAGGAAAAGCATGGTCCATCTGTTTGACAGACTATCACACTGACACTAAAAATAAAAATTACTATCGTGTTGTATGGTTTGCTGTATCTATGTTATATTTTACATAGAAAGGTTAAAAGAAGACGGCTGGATTCTACATAGCAATACGCAAAATACTTATGCCATAATGACATTTTTAAAAGGTAGAATACAAAATACTTTCTTATTCTCTGACTTACCAAAACTATCTCTGTGGCAGAGGGTCATGGCTTTGCTTACAGCAGTGAGAAGAAGATTCCATCTCAGCTGGAAGCTGGCGGCCAATTTGGTAAACTCTTCTTTGCTTCTGCTTGTCTGTTAAGTTTTTGTGAGAAAAAAGGCTGCAGTTTGTAATAAAATCAAGAAGCATAGTATGTTTTCAAATGCACACATTTGTCATGCACACGCATTTTTAAAGAGCCAAAGAAGAGGAAGATGAAATAACAAAAGCGGGAACTGAGGCAGCGGGGCAAATGTCTGGTCTTTCTCTGTCTTCCATGGAGACGGTTCCAGGGCAGAGCCCTTTAAAGTTGGTGGAGAGAAGGAGGGAGGTAGGAAATTGGCTCACTTTTTCTCTTAAAATAAAAAAAAAGCAAATTTTTTTTTTTTGAGACATGGTCTTCCTGTTCCCCAGGCTGGAGTGCAGTGGCACGATCTTGGCCCACTGCAGCCTTGAACTCCTGGGCTTAAGCGATCTTCCCATCTCAGCCTCCTGAGTAGCTGGGACTACAGGCATGCACCACTGCACATGACTAATTTAATTTTGGGGGGGAGGGTGGGTAGAGATAAGGGTCTCACTATGTTGCTCAAGCTGGCCTTAACTTCTAGGCTCAAGTGATCCTCCTGTCTCGGCCTCCCAAAGGCACTGGGATTAGAGGCATAAGCCACCATGCCCAGCACCACACAGTTTTTAAAAAAGAGGTCACTTGTGATGTGTGACACAGAAACACCGTAGGGACAGCCTCATTGAAGTCCACTTTGGAATGGCCATCAAGAGGGGCAGGGGCTGTTTTATTCCTGCACTTCTGCATGTCAAATCTGATTGTGGAAAAGGGGCACAGAATCCCATAATAATGAAAAGCAGTGGTGCCTATTTGGAAAAGCTGGTCGTCATGCTTGCTGTGTAACCAAGCTCCAAACTGCAAAGTCCCAGCCCCTAAACCCAGTGGAACCAAGGTCATCTGACAGCCTCATTGGCACTAAACTGTGTACCAATAAGATGCTGCTGCATGCAGACTAAGAGATTCCCTCTACCCAGACAGAGAGCAGCCTTGGGCCACACTTGAAGCCATCTGTAAGCCATGAGTCATGGATTTCAAATGCATCTGTTGATATGCATGCTCCAAGCCTCTTCTCATCCTCAGTCACATGCCTGTGGACCCACCACAGCTCCACCACATGTCTTTGAGGAAGAAATAGAGAACTTGGCTACAAACAAAGAATGCCCTTTCTTGTCATTGCTTCTTTTCCCTTCTGCCCCAGTGAAATCCTTGGCACACCAGAAGGTGGCCCTGAGCTTCAGGGGACGTGAGGTCCTTTCAGTAGCATCCTCCTCCTCAGTGCTCCTCACCATCTGAGATGGACTCTTGGGAGGAGCTCTTCCCATCAGTGTTCAGCAGAGGGTTTTATGTTGAAGGGACAATGAGAGTACAAAAGCACAGGGATCCTGCTGGGCACGGTGGCTCACGCCTATAATCCCAGCACTTTGAGAGGCAGACGCAGGTGGATCATTTGAGGTCAGGAGTTCGAGACCAGCCTGGCCAACATGGCAAAACCCCGTCTTTACTAAAAATACAAAAATTAGCTGGGCAGGGTGGCACACGCCTGTAATCCCAGCTACTCCGGAGGCTGAGGCAGGAGAATCGCTTGAACCTGGGAGGCGGAGGTTGCAGTGAGCTGAGATTGCGCCGCTGCACTCCAGCCTGGGTGACAGAGCAAGACTCCATCTCAATTAAAAAAAAAAACAAAACACAGGGATACTTCCTAAAAGCATCGAGGGATGCAGCTCTGAGTGACCAGGGCTTTCTCTGCACAAATGTTTGAAAGTCAGCCATGAACACCATTGAGCTTTCTTCCCGTCACGTCCACAGTGTGGCACTTCATGTCCCCCAACGTAGAAGCTCCTCCAGGGCCCGAACTGCCCTCTGCTCGCTGACTGCCAGATGCTAACTGAAGCCATGGGGCATCTCTGACAAGCCCAAAGGTGTGCATCTTAATAGTCTGAGCACTTGATTGACAATAATCTGGTTTTGTAAAGATCAGCCAAGCTATTTTACAAAAACAAGTCCTTCAAAGGCACGCAGTTACAAAAACACCATTTTTCTAATTTGCCTCCTTTGTGAGGGCTGAAGGCACAACGATGGAGACTTGGGAAACACATAGCGCTCTGTGGTTTACAATGTAGGACGACAGGGTTGGTAGTGATGATCTCAGTGGGTTCATCTGATTAAAGCTGGAGGCTGGCCGGGCGCGGTGGCTCACGCCTGTAATCCCAGCACTTTGGGAGGCTGAGGCGGGCGGATCACGAGGTCAGGAGATGGAGACCATCCTGGCTAACACGGTGAAACCCCGTCTCTACTAAAAATACAAAAAATTAGCTGGGCGAGGTGGCGGGCACCTGTAGTCTCAGCTACTCGGGAGGCTGAGGCAGGAGAATGGCGTGAACCCTGGGGGCGGAGCCTGCAGTGAGCCGAGATCGCGCCACTGCACTCCAGCCTGGGCGACAGCGAGACTCCGTCTCAAAAAAAAAAAACAAAAAAAACGCTGGAGGCTGAGTTCCAGTTTCCACTTAACGAACAGACAATGGACAGCGCCTGTCTGTGAGGATGTATAATATAAGCCTTCAGCTAGCAAATGAATAAATGTCTCAGTAGCCATCCAGCTCTGGACATGGTCACTGCTGTTAAAAATAAGCTTTGCCTAAGATCAACAGGAGGAATAAAAACCATACAGAATCTGGGATAATTATTTTCAAGAAGCAAATGAGACCAGGCACCTGCCAAGGGTTGGAACTGGCTTTCCAGCTCCTTCCTGAGGATTTTTCTGGTTCATGTCTAGGAGGTTGAAGATCCCAAAGTCCCCTGCAGTCTTCTTGGTCTCAGTGATTATTTCTCCTCTTTCTTCTCAACTGAGAGTTCAGGGATACAGACAAGGCCAGGCAGGTGGCACAAGGGAGTGGCCACAACACGGCCAGAAGCTTAAAGAGAAAGCCCAGAGCCACGCTTCCAGCCCCAGGCCCTCGGAGTCTTTGCTCTCTCCACCAGTGTGGACTGCTCCTTCCTTCCTGGGTAAACTCACTCCTGCTCTTGAATGCCCGATCCCCCTCTCTCAGCTTATTTTAATCCTGCACATGCTTCATATCCCAGTTTTAAGTCCCACCTTCTCTTCAAAGCCCTTCACAACCACTTCAGCCTTGGCAAGCACAAAGTCTCAAGAGGTGGGGCCCGGGCTGCCTCATTTCCCTCTAGGTGTTTTTGTTTGTTTGTTTGTTTGTTTTTTGAGACAGAGTGTTGCTCTGCCGCCCAGGCTGGAGTGCAGTGGTGTGATCTCAGCTCACTGCAACCTCCAGTTCCCAGGTTCAAGTGATTCTCGTGCCTCAGCCTCCCGAGTAGCTGGGACTACAGGCGCATGACATCACGCCCAGCTAATTTTTTTGTATTTTTTTTAGTAGAGACGGGGTTTCACCGTGTTAGCCAGAATGGTCTCCATCTCCTGACCTTGTGATCTGCCTGCCTCGGCCACCCAAAGTGCTGGGATTACAGGAGTGAGCCACCATGCCCGGCCAGACGGAGTCTTTTGTTGCCCAGGCTGGAGTGCAGTGGCTCTCAGCTCACTGCAACCTCCGCCTGCTGGGTTCAAGCGATTCTCCTGCCTCAACCTCCCGAGTAGCTGGGATTACAGGTGCGTGCCACCATGCCCAGCTAATTTTTGTATTTTTAGGAGAGACAGGGTTTCACTATGTTGGACAGGCTGGTCTTGAACTCCTGACCTCATGTGATCCTCCTGCCTGGGCCTCCCAAAGTGCTGGAATTATAGGCATGAGCCACCGTGCCTGGCCTCCCTGTAGGTTTTAACCTGCAGCCCCTAGCTCTCCCCACCTGCCCTGAGCCCATGGAGTGAAGGGCCGTGGCCTCTCTCAAGGCATTCTCAGCTCTCCACTGCCCCCATGGAGGATGATGAAAATCAAGCCCAGGATCCCACTGAAGCAACTCCCAAGAGCCACATTGGTCGAAAGGATCAAACCTGCCCATATCGACAACGAAACCATCTTTGGGCTTTTGAAATCAAGCCAGACATTTTACTGGAACATGTCTGCAAAACATGGGCTGCTCTCCCCCTGAAATAGACAAAACCCCTCCTCCTTTTCCACACTCCCTTTGCTGCAATACACACCTGCAGACGCAGTCACCCACACCCACTTACACACATGCTCACACACACTGTCACACACATGCTCACCTGTACACACACTCATCCATGCATGCTCACCCACACATACATACTGCACACGCTCATGCACACCCACTCACCTGTACACCACGCTCACCACACTCACATACACACATGCTCACACACACCCTGACACACATGCTCATCACAGGCTCGCCCCTCCACACACACTCCCACACACCCAAACATATGCCCACACTCACACACACACACACACACACACACACTTATGTGATGTGCTCCACCAGACCCCCATTCTCCACCTGCTACAGAGTTCGAGGCCATCCCCTGCCCTCACACCCAGGCCAGCTTTGACACATTTCCGACCAGAGCCTAAGAAGCCTCTTTCCCATCCCTTAGGCAATGGGCACTCATTTATCTAGAATGGTCAACACACTTTTTTTTTTTTTAAGTCACAGCTTCCTACCTGGAACACAAATGCTTGGAGATGTGAAGACAGACAGCTGAGGAATACCCTGAGATCTGTTGATGTTCCCAGCAAAGAAATTAAGTTTCTTAAACCTACAAAGACACAAAATAAACAAACAAAAGATTGCATGCAGCAGAGCAGAATTTCTCTTAGGTATTTGTGTACTGGGTAACCTGGAAACATCACTGAACAATAGCTCGAAGGGACTCCCCAGGGCCTCATGCTCATTGTGAACACAGAGGATGTCCTGAGGCTGGCTTTGTCACTTCTGCGGTCATCTATTCAGAATTACATGGACATACCTGTTGTGAGCCACCTCTGCCACTTGTTGAAACAGAAATATTTTGAAACCATAACTACACCTTGCAATTATCCAGACCTTGTCTTCAGATGAGCTCATTGCACGATACAGACATGACCTCACCTATCCTTGCCATCTTCATCAAAGGGCTGGTTTATTAATGTCATTGAAGTGATGGCAGACATACGTCAAAGCTGCTGAGAGAGGGTGAGCGCCTTGCCTGCGGTTATGCACTCAGTTAGGTGGAGCCTGGTGTGACATCAGATTCTGGGTCCTCCACCTGCACAGGTAGCACTGACAGGGAAAGAACAGCCTTTGGCCTTCCCAGCTTTTTGAGTGCTTCTGCATACCAAGCAGAGTTTGGAAAACTGAGTCGGTTGCAGTGGCCCCTCTGAGGCTTGGTGGAGGTGCGCTTGGACTTGGAACTGGAATCATTTGCCTGCAGGTATCAGCAGTGGCTGGCAGTCTGCTATCTCCCTGCAGAACTCTGCATCTTCCTGTTGGGACTCACAAAGATGCCAGTAGGAGCACAGGAGCCCTGGCCAGACCAGTGGGCAGTCTGGAAGGCACCGGGCGGGGGAGGGGGTGTCTCATGCCCTCCTGGGACTCCCTGTGATCCAGCTGGGGGCAAGAGGAGGTTTTGGTTAGCCAGAGTGTTGGGAAGGGGACCTTTTGGGTTCCTACTAGTCAGAACTGCAGAATTACTAATCAGAATTAGTAATCCTACTAATAGTTCTGAAGCCTGCCAGATTAGGTGTTAACCTTTTAGTTGCTGGATTGGTGGGAAAAAAAAGTGCCCTATGGGAGGATCTGGAATTGGGGTCAGCCAAGGGACACTATCAAGGGACAGGACAGTAGAGGGGAGCAGAGGTCATTTACCAACAACTAGGGATATATTTTAGTATTTTAATAACTGGCACAACCCTACCAAGGCCAGCCCTACTTCAGGGTGAAAGAAAGAGGATGGGCTAATTTACAGGTGGTGCTTTTGTGTACTCCTGAATTCTGTATCCGTCAAGTCACGAAACACTGAAGTGCTCCTGTGGGCCAGTGCAATGCTGGGTGGCCCAGGGTGAATAAGACACAGTTGATAGCCTGAAGGGGTTCATAGGAACTGAGCGGGCAGCTGTAGACACAGCTGAGAGTACTACCAAGGAGTTATGCCCATAGAGGGAGAGGCCATTCGACTTACCTGGGGCATCTTGGCAGCGAGTGTTTGGAAAGGACACACACAGGGGAGCCTGGCACCCTCCCTGTAGCCATCATAGGAGGGCCTAGAGATGCCCATAATTCATAATCGGTAACCATCCTGCAGCTTCCTGCCTCCCAGGTCCTCCCTGAGTCTGGAGAGCTCCTGCTGCCACTATGTTCGCTCCCCAAGGACGCAACAACACACACCAGCCAGCAACGCAAGCTCTTTATGGAAGGGGGATTTTTTTCTTGAAAAACAATGACAATGATCAATAGCAAATGGCAAGAATATCCACCTGCTTCCTGTCACTTGTTTGGAAAGTAATGAAATATGGTAAAAGCACCATTGTTAAACTTCACATTGCAAGTAACAAGAGTGATGGGAGAATGTGTCGACGCAGACATCTAGCTCAAGGCAGTTTAGCATGATTGAGGAGACACAGGAGTCTGTGTGTGTACAACACAGATGCAGAAACTAAGCTTTTCCCCCACAGGAGATATTCTGGAGATAAATACTGTCAAGCAGCAAGCACACTCATCTGATCGTTTATGGACTCAACTAACAGGTATCAGCACTGCTGCCCTGTCTGGCCCTGGGGTAGGTCCTGGGAGCACAGGGACAGGGCGTCCCCTGGGGTGTTCATCACCCCACTACAGGAAGAGAAGTGTGAGCAGACAACTTAGAACATCGGAGTTATAAAGTTCTACCCCTATTAAGAAATTCATGAGTTAACGATGGCCATGCTAGCCCCAAATCTATGCCCAACACGCCAATAAAGCAAGCTGCAGAAGGAAGATTACATTTCATCTCTGGGTTGTTCTCCAGTTCATCTGCGCCACTCCGGTCACTTGCCAGGGCTTTCTTAGAAGTAGCCAAAGTGCCTTGATTGATGATGGCCTGTAGATCTGACTTCAAAACGCTGACACGCCTCTTACTTTTCAATACCATTCGCATAGTCTAAAGATAACAGGGAGGCATAATACTTAATTCAATCTGGTCATTTTATTTTTGCCTAACTCTCCCCCAAATTGCCAAGATTTTTGTTGTGGGGGAGAAAGAAACATTGATGTGGATATTACCCATTAAAAATGAATCTTAAACAAGAATGAAAAGGTTAAAATTGCACACATTCTGGAACTGCCCTTCTGGAAGGAGAAAGAACGCATCTCTAGGAAGATGCGTTCAGGGCTGTCTGGCACTGCTGCTGCTGCTTCTCTGCACCACAATCGCCCCACGCCCAAATGACTCTAGCGAGGGATCCCGGGGATTGAGCCTCTGCAAGGAAGGTGTAGGTAGAGCCTGCACCGATCCTGAGGGAGCGGCTGCGGGATTCGGAAGCTGGCTGTCCCTTCCTCGTGGGAGCCTTGGCCATGAGGAATTTGGCCTCTGGGAGGTGATATCCTCAGCTGTCAAATGGGGACTATCTAGTCCCCAACACTGTCCGACTGCCTGGGATGCACCTGGTTGTCCTCACAGCAGTCCTGGGAGAAGGCACGAGTTACCCCTCCCTTTTACAGAGGACACAGAGGGCTCTTGGGGCGTGAAGTAACTTTCCTGAGGGGCAGTAAGTGGGAAGATAAGGCTCAGAGCAGGGGCAGGCTTCAGAACCCATGCTTACTGCTCTGGTTGTGTTGAGAGGAAGAGCACACTGCCAGGTCATTTCCAGACTGACCGAGTCAGGACTGTGAGAGCCCTGGAGAACAGGACTGGCTGTGACTGACAGTGGGACACAACCCCGCTGAGCTCAGATTCTGGGGAGGGCTCTGCACTGGGAGGATGGGGCCCAGCTCGGGGTCATGGAAGCCACAGTTGGGATCCTCCCAGTGGAGACTGATTTGGAGCACAGTGATGGTCCCCAGGCTCTATCCCAATAGGGTGCTCACAGGACTTGAGAGAGGACTCCTGGTAGCCCACGAGCCGGGTGCCAGCATCATAGAATCTTTTCTTCAGCCCTTCTCAACCTTTCTCTAAATCACCCCAGGATTGAAAAGGTCAGAGCTGAAGTAACTGGTGGCCTGGCCACACTGAGTCCACAGGGCCCCACACACGGGTGAAGGGTGTGTCTGTCTGTCTGTCATAGGCTCTGCTATGACGCCCTGTTACCTCTGACACTGGCACCTCTGTGTGGGGCCTCCCTCTGGCATCTTTTAATTTTATTTTTTTATTTTTTTGAGATGGAGTCTCGTTTTGTTGTTCAGGCTGGAGTACAGTGGCACAATCTTAGCTCACTGCAACTTCCACTTCCCAGGTTCAAGAGATTCTCCTGCCTGTCTCCTGAGTAGCTGGGACTCCAGGCACACACCACCATGCCCAGCTAGTTTTTGTATTTTTTTTTTTTTGATAGAGACAGGGTTTTGCCATGTTGGCCAGGCTGGTCTCGAACTCCTGACATCAAGTAATCTGCCTGCCTCGGACTTCCAAAGTGCCGCGATTACAGGTACGAGCCCCCCACGCCTGGCCATCGGGCATCTTTTAAGTGTTGACCTGCCTTCCCTCCTGCCCTGAGAGAGCCAGGAGATTGGAGCCTTCCTGAGGATGGGTGGAAAGGGGGCAGGCTTCTAGCTTTGAGTCACGGGGGCCCACCTGGACTCCTCTGCCAATGGCCAGGCAAGGCCACCCTGCCTGCCCTCTGCCCTCCAGATGGACAGAGCAACCACTCACTCTTAACAGGGACTTAGAGCTTTCACCTCTTTTCAGGAAACTGCTTTGTTCCCTCCTATCTGCTTGGCTGAAGCCTACCTTAGCCATGTTGGAAAGGTACGTCTTTCTTCTTAGTCTTTTGACAAATAGAGTAACTTCTGTTAAGAACAACACACGTGGCCATTAATACAATAACTTCAAGTTCTCATGTGGGCAGTGGGGAAGAGAAGGTGCATGTTTGGGGTAGGAAGGCACAGCTGGCTAAACTGCAACTTCCCCCACCCCCGTGTCTGCTGGCCCTCTCTGAGTGGCTAGAAGATCCTGGCAGGGGACGCTTGGCTGAAATGTCCTCATGTGCCAGAAAAATTAAGTAACCCCAGCATCTGACATGCGTGCTACTATGATCTGAATGTGTCCCACACCCCAAATTTCATATGTTGAACCTCACCCCCATTGTGATGGTGTTAGGAAGTGGGGCCTTGGGGAGGTGATGAGGCCCCGAGTGTACAGTTCCCATGAAGAGGATTAGAGGCCCCAGAGAGACCCCTTGCCTCTTTCACCATGTGAAGACAAAGCAAAAAGACAGCCATCTGTGAACTAGTAAGCAGACCTTCCCCAGACACCCATCTGCTGGTGCCTTGATCTTGGACTTCCCAGCCTCCAGAACTATAAGCAATAAATTTCAGTTGTTTATATACTGCCACCTAGTTGGTGGCATTTTACTACAGCAGCCAGATTGGACTAAGACCAGTACTCAAAGGAACAACCCCAACTTTCTCATCCTACACTGCTTTCCTTGGAAAATAATCAAAGGAAAGGAAAGGATGAAAAGGGAACGCATAGAAACAGGTGTTCTCCTCTTGAACGCATTCATTCATTTGACAAATATATGGGAGAACACTCGTGCAGTGTTTGCTCAATAACTATTTGCTGGATGGCTGCTGAGCTGATGGACGGAAGAGGACAGCCCTTCCCTACAAAGGGCTCATGCTCCAGAGGGTGGGTCACCAGATATGCAAACACATCCCAAAAGCAGGCTAAGTGCTCCCATGCGATGTGCGAGCACAAGGAAGAAAGGGAGGCTGTCTGGAAGAAGGTATTGAGGAAAGCTTCACTGCGAAGGTGACATTTAATCTGGGCTTTGACGCATAGGTAGGAGATAGCCAGGAGTAATGGGGCAGGAGGCAGTCCAAGCATAGAAAATGGCAGGAATAAGGGCCTTTTCTGGGGACAGCCTGTCTAGTGTTGCTGAAGAGCACTGTTGGGTCATGGGAGTCCCTTGGGAGATGGAGACAGGGATGGGGCCAGAGGCCAAACTGTGAATGACTGCACAGCAGTGGAGGAGAGTGGGCCATCTGGGCAGTGGAGGCCAGGGAAGGTTGGTAATTGATTAATTGCTGCTTTAGAATGATCACTGGGGGTGGAGGGAGTGTGGCTGGGGAGGGGGGTGGAAGAAGGATGACCAACTAGGAAACCGCTGAAGTAGCCTACAGAATGAAGAGACAGAGGCTTGAATTCGGGCAGATGTTAAAGGAGCACAGGAAAACTGGAGGGAGGCTCTGCTCCCCACTCCTTGGACCGCTTTTGCAGCAAGTCCCAGTCTCACCTTCTGCAACGTCCCTAAAATTTCCAAGTGGGACAAACTGGATCAGGGTACCCAGTGTTAGTAGTGAACACAGCTGGGGGCGTGGGGTCGGGAGGAGTGGCGATTAGACATGGTCCTATGCTGTAGGCACTTTGAGAAGTCCCCTATCTGCACTACCTAGGAGATAATTGCAAAGGAAGCAAGACTCATAGAAATGTGGGGAAATAACTGGTGCCAGCTTGGTGACAAAATGACCCTGACCTGGCAAGGAGGGTGGGACCCCGTAGGGAGTTCGAGAGCTGCAGGCAATGATAGCAAAACTTCACAAAGGCAAGAGGGAGAAAATGGGTATTTCCAGGATGATCCGACAGGGCATGGCAGGTGCAGGCTGGCCTTTGAAGGAGCATGGAGCTGCAGGGACACAAAGAGGATAGATTTATAGGGAACTGGACCAGCTGACAGAGCAGTTCAGGCTCGCGCTTGGAAGCCACTGCAGGCCTTGAACAGATAAATAGCCTGGTGGAAGCAGCATTCAGAGACTGCTGCCTGGCAGCCAGACAGAAGGGGAAAGCATTCTAGAAACTCAGCAGAGAGATGGTGCAATTCAGGTGTGAGAATGCCCTGGTGAATATCCACACCTAGAACACCTTGACCTGCCAAAAGTCCATGTTATTATTCAAAAGAGAAATAGCTTAAAAGGGTGTGGCTGGATCAGCACAAAAATCCATCACCAGCACTAAAAGCCAGAAACCCTGAGCAGGCTGGGCCTTCCGGACTGTAGCTGAGTGCATGGGGCAGCAGCTGAAAGCTACCACCCAGGGTGAAAGTCAGATGCTTCATCTACGCTTACAGAATTTATTTATTTATGTATTTCTTTACTTTAAAAACAGGGTCTTGCTCCATCACCCAGGCTGGAGTGCAGTGACATGATCATGGCTCACTGTAGCCTTGACCTCCTGGGCTCAAGTGATCTTCCCGCCTCAGCCTTCTGAGTAGCTAAGACCACAGGTGTGTGCCACCACACTCAGCTAATTTTTAAAACTTTTTTGTGAGACAGGATCTCACTATGTTGCCCGGGCTGGTCTCAAACTCCTGGCCTCAAGCGATCCTCCTGCCTCGGCCTTCCAAAGTGCTGGGATTACAGGCATGAGCCACTGTGCCAGCCCAGAATTTATTTTTTTCATCGAAACCTACCTTTGAGTTTGGAGATCTGCAAGAGGGCTGGAACACCTTCCAAAGCATTAAGGAGCCACAGCTTAAATTTCTTACTAAATAACTGCACAGATTTCAGGTACTGAATAGAAACATCTTCCAAGAAGTCATGAAGGAGAACATCCTCAATTCCCTACAACAAAAGTAACAAGACACTATGATTCTGCTGATGGTGCAGGTGTGGCTGAAGCTTATGCATGCCACAGGGACAGGGCGGGTCTCAAGAAGTCTGAGAGCGGGTCCCCACCCAGGTTGAAGGGGCAGCACCATGCAACGTGGCCACTGCTTCCCATGCAGGATGTCAGGCTGGTGCAGCCACAGTTGGAATTTTTTTCCAATATTTTTGTTTATTTATTTGAGACGGAGTCTTGTTCTGTCACCCAGGCTGGAGTGCAGTGGCATGATCTCGGCTCACTGCAACCTCCGCCTCCCGGGTTCAAGCGATTCCCTACCTCAGCCTCCCAAGTAGCTGGGATTACAGGTGCATGCCACCACACCTGGCTCATTTTTTTGTATTTTTAGTAGAGACGGGGTTTAACCATCTTGGCCAGGCTGGTCTCGAACTCCTGACCTCGTGATCCACCCGCCTCAGCCTCCCAAAGTGCTGGGATTACAAGCATGAGCCACTGCTCCCGGCCTCAAATATTTTTAAAAGATTGATAACTGATTCAAGTATTTTTTTAAAAAATCACACAATGCTGGCCAATATTAGGTGGGTCAAACCAAATATATTTAAGGGCTGAACCCAGCTTCTAGTTTTCAAACTTTGTGTTAAAAACTTGGAAGTACTAGATGGTTTCCTTAAAAATAATAAAATAAAAGGTAAGGCTTGTGACACGCTGAAGGAGAACACCTTTTTAATCCAGAGAAGATATAAACCTGACCCTCCAAATACAACCCTCCAAATACAATCACTTTAGAGATAGAGCTTCAACCAAAGCAAAGCAAAACAAAACAAAACAAAAGCCCTGGCAGTTATGCATATTACAATTCCAATTATTCATTTTAGAATGTCTTCTTTTACAGAAATTCCCAGAGAAAGAACTTCGACTCAATTCGGACTTCACTGATATGGAACCAGAGGTTACTATGTGCATTGGCTTTTGGTTTCCATGAGGTAATTCACAAAGGAAAACTGAGTGTTAGGCAGAGATCAGAGGGCTCCTGGTCCATACACCCCACTATTCACTCCTCAGAGGACCATGGAGACTGCAGAGAGGTGGAGCTGTGGGTCCAAACCCAGCATTTGCTGCCAATTTCTGCAAAGGATATACTCTAGAGACTCACGCGTCCTCCTACCTTGTACAGCTGGACGTCGTAGCATTTAAAGAGCTGGCACACGTCAGGCAATGACATCAGCATGACTGTGTCTTGCTGCAGAGACTTCCAGAAGGAAGTAAGCAAGTCCTCCACCTGGGGTAAGTAACAGAGCATATCGCCAAAACTCGTTTTCCACCTCGCAAGACTAACCCCCCGCCACAGATACTTCCTTAGCCCCAGATGACAATGGGATGAATTTTGTTCCAGTGCGTGTAAAGCTTTGCCTCTCAGCTTTTCCAAGCTGTATTTTGATAGAATTCTTTCCAACAACCCATCTGAGAGCACCTGCCAGTTGGATGGGATAATGTAGAACATTATTAATATTTTCTTGAGGCAGTTTCTAGAAGGGAAGCTGTTTCTGACCACAAGGGGGCTCCAGTTGATTATACTAGGATGAGGACTGGGCCACAGGGCACAGCCCAGAGAGAATAAATGTTCATTGACTGACTGACTGACTGCCTCAATCATTTTTCAGCTCAGAGAAAGGTGTGATAGTACTTAATCTAAGAGACCCCCTCCTTGCCATCAAGTTAGAAGTCACCTAACGACTGTGGAAGGAAAAGGAGACTGGCGTGGTTCTACACAGGAGCCTTCTCTAAAGACTTATGTGGACTACTTCGTGGAGGATCAAAATGGCGGCTCCTCTTTTCTGTTTTTTCCCACGTTGACTTTTCAGTTTCCGTTCTTTAACCAGGTGACCGATCTGCTTCGCCGCCAATAAAGACTCTTGCCTGTTTGGGATTTCCACAGGCTCAGATACTGTGAGGCATCACAACCTTGTCGTATCTCCCCTGGTCCTGGTGCTAGGACCTGCCAGTGACACCAGACAAGGCGCTGGCCCCATGCCTAGGTCATCATGGAAGTTAGGGTCAACTCCCGAATTACATGGCCACAGGCGCTGATTTAAAATCCCGTTATCAGGGCATTCATTCTAGAGAGGACTTCTCCAAAGAGACTCTGAAAAATACAACACAGGGTGTAGCAATCCCTTTTCTCTCAGGCTGGGAACCTCGGAGCAAGGAGCTTTGGGGAAGGGGGGTCTGGGTGGAGCCACCACCACAGACCCGTCTCTGCTCACCCCTCACCACCCGCGTCCAAGTCACCAAACCCTGTTGCGCTTGCCTCTGAAATATTTCTCTAACCTGCCCTGTTTATCTCTGATATCACTGTCACTGCCCCAGAACCCACCCTTGTCGCTTCTCACCTCAACTGTGACAAAACCTCCTCGCTGCCTCTCTGTTCCACGACGGCCAAGCCCTATTGTCACTGCTCCCCCACTGTCTTCTCAACAAGTCAGAGTTCTTCTGGGGCATCCGAGGCCCCTTCTGGCATCAGCCTACTTTCCCACCTCCCCTCTGGCTTCTCTTCTTTAGTAATAATAAAATCTAGGCTGGGCGCGGTGGTTCACGGCTGTAATCCCAGCACTTTGGGAGGCCGAGGTGGGCAGATCACCTGAGGTCAGGAGTTTGAGAACAGCCTGGCCAGCATGGTAAAAACCCCGTCTCTACTAAAAATACAAAAAATTAGCCGGGCATGGTGGTGGGCGCCTGTGATCCCAGCTACTCGGTAGGCTGAGGCAGGAGAATCGCTTGAACTCAGGAGGTGGAGGTACAGTGAGCCGAGATCGCACCACTGAACTCCAGCCTCGGTGACAGAGCAAGACTGCGTCTCACACACACACACAAAAAAGAAAACAAAAGAAAAGAAAAAAAGAAATAATAAAATATAGTCATAGTGACCTTTTTGTCACATCATGCCCGTGAACATCATGCTGCCTTTACCTGCACCATGGGTCCTACCTGGAATCCCTCTCCTACCCCATTTTCTGTCTATTGCACCTCTGCCTTTCCTACTAGAGTCAGCAGCAACGTGGCCTGCTTTGGAAGCACTCCCTGGCCTTCTCTGTTACCCTTCTCTGGGCACCCAGAATAGTCTAATCATGCAGCTATTCTAGAACTTTCCACATTGCATCATATTTATTGGGTAATATTGCTCCTTTCATTACCAACTACTAACTTCTCAAGCCTTATGGAGAATACTTTCCTAGTCCTGGTAACGGTGTCGGTCACAGGGTAGGAATTAAATATGTATTTGATGAATAAGTGAAGAAGGAAAGGAATAATGTCAGACATCCAGTGTGGATGGATATTTGTAACATTGCATCAATAGGACAGGGGCCATCCTGAAGACATCTTGGTCTCTCCCTCACTACAATGCTTTACGCCGAGTAGGTAGTAAATGCGCTCGTGCTGAATGAGCGTTATCACCCAAAGTTGAAGTGCTTAGAATATACTAAAGCATCAGGAAAAAAATCTCATTTGAATGTGCACTTGTTTCCTTGGATTTTCATCTCACACTGCAGAAGATGAAACTCAGAATAGCTGAAAGATTTATTCATGTTTTCCACAGCCAATTCTAGGATTAAATCCAATCGTGACAATACCCATGCCAGATCACTCAGCTGCGAAGTCCTGCTCCATCTTCAGTTAGCGCGTATCAATCAAATGGCTCTTCGGCACCATTGAAAATTCCAGGGTGAATTTTATTACCAACACTTTATTCAAAATGAGCAGAATTAGGATCTAAAAAATAGCTGAATTTGTATTTAGAGCCTAAAGTTATCTGTATTAGCACCTTGGAGAATTTCCAACTGATTACACTGAATATCGATCTCACCTTCCAGAACTCAATGACTACAACATAGGTACATAGCATGTAAGCACTTCAGTGCAGTGGGTTACCATTGGACATCTGTTGACGGGGTCTCTTCAAATAAAAATGATTAATAAGGAGTCATAAATGCTTGTATTTTATAGATAAAACCCTACCCTCTCAAGTTCTCAGTTCCTCACATTTCGTAAAATGTCTCGACAATAGTTGCAGTATTCGTCAGCAAGGAAGGCCATCTAGGAAGAATATGGAAAATTATTTCAGCATGTGGGCCTTTTCAATAATGAACTGATCTTCACAGACTTTTCTGAAGCTCTCAGAGGCCGCTCTTGTTGCAATTCTCAAATGACAATAGCTGCGCTCTTCACTTGGGCCACAGCATTTTTTTTGTTTCTATGAACTAATGCAGACCTTGTAGGCTGATAGTTCATGTAGCTTTCATTTCAATGTCATAACTCATATTTGCAGATTTATTCTACCACTACAAAGGCCACCAAACTTTGACACCTTTTTTTCTAAACTTCAATTTTCCCCCTCCATAATCCCCAGCCCTAATTTCTAGAAAATCCATATATCTGTTTCTTTCTTTGTCTTGGGGAAGAGGCAGTCCCAGCGGGAGCCTTGCCATAGGATGTGATAGGGAACCCTGAACTTGCTGAGCACCATCAAGCCAGGGAAGGTTGCTGGTCCTCACGGGTCCAGCAAAGGCAAACATTATTCCATGTGACACAATCATGACCACAGGCACAAAAGGAAGCTATTTACTGCCCTAAGCATCATACAGCGTGAAAGGCTAATCTCCCCATGAGTGCAAACCTACCATATTACAGGAGTATTTCTTTGCCTGTTCTTGCTCCAGAAATGGACATCTCCTGAATTCAGACAAAGGGGATCCAACTGGGTCTGTCTTCATCGGTGAATGATCTTCACACTAAAAATCATTTGTGCAATGGATTATGTCTTTAAAATACAATACTTTTTTTGGCATATAAATCTTCTTATGATCACACTACTATAAGTTAATATTGTGTATAACCTTTTAGCCACACCTCTGCACACATTACTGATTCCAGCAGCTTTCCTCTCATATTGTATTCCAAATGCTGCTAATTTTTGTCTGTAATTCTATGAACGATGGCCATCAGGGAAGGGATAGGATTTAATATATTACCAAATGTATCTCTCTTGGGATCATCTATTTACAAATCCTCTATAGGAATGTACAATAAGACTATTATCTATGAATTATTTAATATCACAAATACACTTCTACAACCCTTGTCCATGTAATTGTTCCTCCTTGAAATAAAATCATCCCTGTTTGGGTCATTCTGCCTATATCATAACAACCGTTGGTTGTATCAGAAATCTCAGGGCCATTGCCAACAAGGAAAATGAGGAGCATGGACTTTCCTTTAGAAGAACCAATTACAGGCCCGGGCATGGTGGCTCATGCCTATAATCCCAGCACTTTGGGAGGGCGAGGCGGGTGGATCACTTGAAGTCAGTAGTTCAAGACCAGCCTAGCCAACATGGTGAAACCCTGTCTCTACTAAAAATACAAAAATTAGCCGGGTGTGGTGGCAGACACCTGTAATCCCAGCTATTTGGGAGGCTAAAGTGGGAGAATTGCTTGAGCCCGGGAAATGGAGGTTGCAGTGAGCCAAGATCACGCCACTGCACTCTAGCCTTGGCGACAAAGAGCAAAACTCCATCTCAAAAAAAAAAAAAAAAAGAAGCAATTACAGGATGGGAAGGAGGAAGAAAGGTGGCATGGCAGAAAGCAAGTGCGACATTCCTCCCTGCCTCCCTGTGTCACTCATGCTGCTGTCCCCTCTGGGCATGGGGAGGCATGAGGGCTCCTCCTGGTCTGAATAAAGGGTATCAATTTTATTTGAAATGATTTCTTCAGCATTGTCATAGACTGCTTTTGAATAATTTCCCTTACAATAAAGTAGGATGAAAGAATTCCTCCAAGTTGAAAATTGAGCAGCCAACCCTGCTACGCCAGACTGTGACTTTTCATTTTCTCTCAAACCTCATGACCCGCTCTCTGACCCTATAGTTCCAAGGTCAGCATTCCATCCTTAGCCTGCCCAGTCTTTAAGCACCCTAAGCCTCACTAAGCTACTCACTTATAGAATTGCTTATGTGGGTTTTGGTATGTTCCTGTCTATAAGACATCTGAGGGCAGGGCAGCTTCTCTAACCACCTGTGCCCACCCTTTAGCAGAGGAGTGAGCTCAGACACCATCCCACACAGTGCTGCACACACCGGAAACAGGCACCACTGTGTTTTCCTCCTCTCCGATGCCCCAGTATCAACCAGTACTGCATTGAGGATCACAGAAGTTTAGAGAGCATGTTTAACTGTCCTCTCAGTGCCCTAAAATCTATACTTCATAACTCTGTTGTGATTCTGAACCTCTTTGAGAATCTGATGAAAGCAACTGACTCTCTCCCTGGAGAAAATGCATACTACGCACACAATATTATGAAGATGCCACGTTAAAACTTCCCCCGTTAATACTGTTGGAATGATGTAGGGGTATAGATGTCTAAATAAATACATAAAGCAGGAACACAGAGGGGACAGCTCAAAGGGGTCTCTCTATTGGGTGCTGTCTAAACCTCATTCACACCACACTTTACAATATTGGCTTTATTCAGAGTCATCAGAAGATGGGTCTTCTTGACATTTATGCAGCCAACAGACACATGAAAAAATGCTCATCATCACTGGTCATCAAAGAAATGCAAATGACAACCACAATGAGATATCATCTCACACCAGTTAGAATGGTGATCATTAAAAAGTCAGGAAACAACAGGTGCTGGAGAGGATGTGGAGAAATAGGAATGCTTTTACACTGTTGGTGGAGTGTAAACTAGTTCAACCATTGTGGAAGACAATGTGGCGATTCCTCAAGGATCTAGAACTAGAAATACCATTTGACCCAGTGATCCCATTACTGGGTATATACCCAAAGGACTATAAATCATGCTGCTATAAAGACACATGCACACGTATGTTTATTGCGGCACTATTCACAATAGCAAAGACTTGGAACCAACCTAAATGTCCATCAATGACAGACTGGGTAAAGAAAATGTGGCACATATACACCACGGAATACTATGCAGCCATAAAAAGGATGAGTTAATGTCCTTTATAGTGACATGGATGAAGCTGGGAACCATCATTCTGAGCAAACTATCGCAAGGACAGAAAACCAAACACTGCATGTTCTCACTCATAGGTGAGAATTGAACAATGAGAACACTTGGACACAGGGCGGGGAACATCACACACCAGGGCCCGTCAGGGGGTCGGGGCCTGGGGGAGGGATAGCATTAGGAGAAATACCTAATGTAAATGACGAGTTGATGGGTGCAGCAAACCAACATGGCACATGTATACCTATGTAACAAACCTGCACGTTGTGCACATGTACCCTATAACTTAAAGTATAATTTAAAAAATAATAATTTGAAACAGAAAAAAAAAAGAAGATGGGTTTTCTTGTATGTGGGTATGGGTGATGCTCACGTTGATCATACTAAAGGATGGAGCTATTCCATGAAGCTCATTGGCCTGATCATAGGCGCTCTGTTAGAGAACTGAGGAATCCTCAATTTCAGCTCTGGGCTAATGTCTCATAATGAAAGACCCCAACTACATCCATATTTTCCAGAGCACTCACACCCTGGTTATGTCAATGTTCTCTGGGTGTTACTGCTGATATTCCCAAAGCAGCATTCTCAAACACATCAGAATCCCTTGGGGCCCTTGAGATCCATGTTCCTAGGCCTCTAGTGAATCTGATGAGACAAGAACTCTAGATGTATAACCAGCTTCCCTACTGAGCCTTCTGCATGCCCATGTTGAGAACTGCAGCTTTAGGCAGACAGTTCTTTATCGAATGCTACAGAAATGTCTACATTTCACCATGGCACATACAACACAGTTTCGCCTGTTCAGAAGAAAACATCTGACAATGTACTGTTAAGATATTCAAGAAACAATTACAAGGAGAATATAAAAGTGTTTTATTACACAACATAATAAAGAGCAAATTCATGATTTCCTGAAGTCAATCCCTGAGGTCTCTTCCTCCATAGACATTACTTATAGGCATAAACCTTTCATTAAAAACTGTGAAAAGAATTGTTCTTTCACAAACAATATTTTTAAAATCATAAATGGAAATATTTCCTTTACAACATAAACAATCAGAAACCTAAAGTAAAAGTAGCGTACAGAGCCACTAACGTGTGGACCCTGCAGGAGATTCGCTACAGCAGAAGGCATTCAGGAAGCATGCTGAGGAATTCCAGTGTGGAAACAATAATTCAGCAAAGCAAAGAAGAGGATGGAGAGAAGTTGATCAATGGGTACAAACAGACAGAAGAAATGAGACCTAGGCTTTGATCAATCTAGTAGAGTGACTATAGTTCACAAAAATCTAGTTGATATTTTCAAATACCCAGATAAGAATCATTTGGCTGCCTCCAGAAAAAGAAAAGATACCTGTTTAAGGCAATAAGTATCCCAATTATACTGATTTGATCTTTACACAGTATAGAAATGTGTCAAAATATCACGCATATCCAGAAAATATATACATCTATTATATATCAGTCTTTAAAAATCCACCAACTTTTAAATAATAACTGTGTTGAGTGTGGTGGCTCATGCTTGTAATCCCAGAACTTTTGGAGGCTGAGGCAGGACGATTGCCTCGGGCCAGGAGTTCATGACCAGCATGGGCAACATAGTAAGAGCCTGTCTCTACAAAAAATTAAAAAAAAACAAAAACACAAAAAACATTTCTGGGCATGGTGACATACGCCTGTAGTCCTAAATACTCAGGAGGCTGAGGTGAGAAGTTGGCTTGAGCCTAGAAGTTGGAGACTCCAGTGAGCTGTGATCGTGCCACTGCTCTCCAGCCTGGGCAAAAGAGCAAGACCTCGTCTCTAAAAAATAAAATAAATAAATAAATACTGCATAATGACAAATATGTATAAACAAAAGCTATATCTAAAAAATGACCATTGAGAAATTCTACGTGGATTCTTTAGGTATATTAAATGCAGTTTGAGATTTTGACAGACCCAAGAAATGTCACTGGAGTTACATGCTACCATTCATCTACTCATTCTTTAGTGAGCATGCACTAGGTGTCAGCCCCTGGGAGTCTGATGTGTGCCACCTTTCCACCATCACCTGCTCCATCAGGCACCATCTGCCTCCCCTGGGTTACTCCATCAATTCTCCTGAATGACTTTGATCCTTCCTGAATCCTTGAAGACACTGTTCCCAGAATTATCACCCCCCAAAGCAAATGTATCCTGTCACTCTCCTTCTGAAGATGCCTTGATGGTGCCCCACGGTCTCCTGGGTCAAATCCAAGTTCTCTGCCTAGCATCGACAAGCTCTGTGCCCTCTGGTCCTCTCCACCCACCTCGCCCAGTGTGCTGCTCCCCAGCATATGCACGCTGGGTTCCACACACGTTTGTCATCACCTCCCGGCTCCAATGCAGGCTACACCCTCAAAATGAACACCCTCCTAAGAGAGAAGCCAGTGACCCCTTCCAGGACTAGCTCAAGGATAATATGACAGGCAGAATCAGGCCCCTCCACCCCAAAAATGTCCACGTCCTAATCCCTGGAACCTATGAATATGTTCCCTTGCATGGCAAAGGGACCTTGCAGATGTGATTAAGATTAAAGACCTTGAGATGGGAGGTTTTCCTGCCTTATCCAAGTGGCCTCATGTCATCACAAAGGTGCTTTAGAAAAGGCCACCTTTCCCAGCTGCAGGGAGCCAGAGAGACTGCAGCGTGAGAAGGATCCGGCCTGCCTTTGCTGGCTTTGAAGATGGGGTGGAGGCCGTGAGCCAAGGAATGGGAGGGACCTCTAGAAGCTGGAAAAGGGAAGGAATGGATTCTTCCCTAGAATGTCCGGGAGGAACACGGCTCTGCGAACATGTTGATCTTAGTCTGGTAAGAATGGTGTTGAAATTATGACTTCCAGGGCGTGTGATAACAGATTTGTGTTGTTTTAAGTCACTGACTTTGTGCTAATTTGTCACAACAACAGTGGGAACCGCACTCTTCAGTGCAGCCCTCTCTAATCACTCTTGCCTCCCACAGCCCCTCTCCCGGACCCCCAATTTGGAGTTCCCAAACCACCCATGGCCTGCACTGCCCGCTCGACATGGTACCCATTGTTCCACGTCTATCTTAGCTTCCCGACTACAAAACTGTGTCCTACTTAAGTAGAGGGACTTTGTTTGTTTTTAGCGGTTCTTTCACAACCCATTCAGCCCTCAAGAAGGCTGGTCACTAAACACGTTTATAAAAGGTTATCTGTTCAATGACACTTGTCAACAAGACAGTATCTGTTACGGACAGAATGTTGTTATCCCCCCCGCCCCCCGCAGGGTCATGTGTTAAAACCCTAATCCCGGCTGAGCGTGGTGGCTCACTCCTGTAATCCCAGCATTTTGGGAGGCCAAGGGGGGCAGATCTCTTGGGGTCAGGAGTTCGAGACCAGCCTGGCCAACTTGATGAAACCCTGTCTCTACGAAAAATACAAAAATTAGCCGGCGTGGTTGCAGGCACCTGTAATCCCAACTACTTGGGAGGCTGAGGCAGGAGAATCGCTTGAACCAGCCTGGGCAACAAAACGAGATTCCATCTCAAAACAACAACAACAAAAAACCTCTAATCCCATGTGATGGTATTTGGAGGTGGGGCCTCTGGGAGTAATTAGGTCACGAAAGTGGAGCTCTCATGAATGAGATTAGTGCTTGCTCCCTCTCTTTCCACCACGTGAGACACGATGAGGAGTCGTCTGCAACCTGAAAGAGGGCCCTCCGGTAACCTGGCCACGCTGGCACCTGGGACTTCCAGCCTCTGGAACTGTGAGAAATAAATGTTTGTTGTTGAAGCCATCCTGTCAATGGTAATTTGCAGCTCGCACTAAGACAGTATCCAAGTACTATCATATCGTTTTGGCCCACTAAAATAAAATCAACTCATGATGTCATACATTAGTTATTCATAGTTCTGGTGTCCTAATTCAAAGAGCTGTAACTGTAATAGGGAGACACTTCAGACACATTTATTGCCAACAGCCTATATATCCTTTTTAATTTTAGCTGAAGAAACACAGTTAAGCAGGGAATGTGCAGCCAAACAGTACGTTCCTTAAGGACAGAGACTATGTCTGTCTTGGCACGGCATGTGGAAAGTGGTGGCACTGAACATTCATGGTCAGATGGGTGAATGGTTAGGGGCTACCTAGAGTCAGAAGAGTACGCACAGAAAAACAGCTGGATCGAATTAAGCAATCACTGGTATTGCTAGGTCTGGGTCTGTTATAGTAAATCTGTTTGATTAACACTCACTGTTGCTTCTTGTTGGATAATGCTGTTATAATTAGTAGATTTTTCAAAGGCAATGG